>NC_000006.12:33393333-33696363 GCF_000001405.40 Homo sapiens
GACTTTTACTCTGAGTGAGATGGGGAATCATTGGATGATTTTAAGCAGAGAGATAAGATTTGTTGGGTCCACCAGATTTTCGTAACCATAGCACCATTGCCTTTTTTTTTTTTTTTTTTTTTTTGAGACAGGTTCTCTTTCTCTGTTCCCAGGCTGGAGTGCAGTGGCATGATCATGGCTCACTGGAGCCTTAACTTCCTGGGCTCAAGTGATCCTCCCACCTCAGCCTCCTGAGTAGCTGGGACTACAGGCAGCTGCCACCATGCCTGGCTGATTTTTTGTATTTTTAATAGAGACAGGGTTTTGCCATGTTGCCCAGGCTGGTCTGGAACTAACTCCTGGGCTCAAGCAATTCGCCTGCCTCGGCCTCCGAGAGTGCTGGGATTACAGGCATGAGCCACCGTGCCCTGCAACATTTTTTTTTTTTTTTTTGAGAAGTAGTCACGCTCTGTCGCCAGCCTGGAGTGCAGTGGCGCGGTCTCGGCTCACTGCAACCTCCGCCTCCCGGGTTCAGGCGATTCTCCTGCCTCAGCCTCCCGAGTAGCTGGGACTACAGGCGCCTGCCACCACGCCCGGCTAATTTTTTGTATTTTTAGTATAGACAGGGTTTCACCGCGTTAGCCCGGATGGTCTCAATTTCCTGACCTCATGATCCTCCCACCTCGGCCTCCCAAAGTGCTCGGATTACAGGCATGAGCCACTGCACCTGGCCAACATTTTTTATTGTCGTGACTAGGTGGGGGGTTGCTACTGGCATCTAGTGGGTAGAGGGCAGGGATGCTGCTAGGCATCTGACAGTGTACAGGACTGCATTGGACATTGTCAAATGTCACCTTGGGGATAAAATCACCCCCAGTTGAGAACCACTGGTTTATGATAATCTAGGTGCCAGATGATGGTGTCTTAGGTCAGGGTGATAGCAGTGGAAGAAACAGTAAAAAGTGATTGGATTCTGGATATATTTTGAAGGTACAATCAGCCATGCTTTGCTGACAGATTAGATGTGGTATGTAGGAGAAAGAGAGGACTCTGGGTTTTTGGCTTGAGCAACTGAAAGATGGAGTTATATCAATTGAGATGGAGAAAGCTGCAAAAGGAGCAAGTTCAAAGCAGGGTTGGACATCAAGAGGTCAGTTATTAGACTTCCAAATGGAGATTTTTTTTGATACGGAGTCTCTCACTCTGTTGCCCAGGCTGGAGTGCAGTGGTGTGATCTCAGCTCACTGCAACTTCTACCTCCCAGCTTCAAGCAATCCTCCCACCTCAATCTCCCGAGTAGCTGGGATTACAGGCACGTGCCAGCACACCTGGCTAATTTTTGTATTTTTAGTAGAGACAGGGTTTTGCCATGTTGGCCAGGCTGGTCTCGAACTCCTGAACTCAAGTGATCCGCCCGCCTCGGCCTCCCAAAGTGCTGGGATTACAGGCATGAGGCACCACTCCCAGCCTTAAATAGCGATGTTGACGATGCAGTTCAGTATAGGTGCAGGATCGAGGTCTGAGCTGGACATATAAATTTGGAAACTGTCAGCATATCAATGATATTTAAAGGCATGGGAGTGGATAGTGAGTATAGATAGAGAATGCTGTTAAAATCTGGAGAGATGAGGAGGACCTGCCAGTGAGGTAAGAAAGAGTGGTCTCCTGGAAGCTAACTGAAGAAAGCCTATTAAGGAAAAGGGAGTAATCAGTTGTATCAGATGCTGTTTGATGGGTCAAGAAAATGAAGATAAAGAATTGACTTAGCAACATGAAGTTACTTGTGATCTTGAGGATAGCAATTTCGATGGAATGGTGGGAATGAAAGCCTGATTGCAATGGGCTTAGGAGAGAAATTGGCCACGATGAATACACTAGAGGTAATACTTTAGAGTTTTGCTGCGAAAGGCGGCAAGGAAAAAGGATAGTACCTGTTAGGGAAAGCAGAGTTCAGATTCTTTTAGTTTCGAAGAAATAATAGAGTTTGTGGTATGCCAATTGGAGTGATGCCATAGAGTACAAAGCTGATGGTGCAGAGGTGAGAAGGGAGGATTGCTGGAGGAATGTTCCTGAAACTGGGAGGATTTGGCGAGTCCAGGATTTGGTGAGGAGGGATGGGAATGTGATGCATATATGAAAGGGTTGCCTTAGGAGCAGGGCCATCCACCTCTGATCTTGTGGTGAGGTGGATGTAGGCAGGGTTGCATGAATATCTGTTCTTATAGAAGGTTAAGTGCTTATGCTTCTCACTGTGGAAAGTTGGAGGGCATCATTCTAGCTTTATATTAATAGATGGGAAAAATATATATACTGTGGTCTTTGGAGTTGTCCTGAATAAACAAACCTTTAAACACATTTTCTGAACCGGCATAAATTCCAAGGAGGTAGGTCTGTAGCAGATCCACTACGGTAGTGTAGAGAGGAGGAAGGGCACAGGTTATTTTTAAAAATTAGTGTTTGACTTTGGAATACTTAAAGAAAAATTTGGTTTCCATACTATATTTGATTACACTAAATTAAAATAAGCTTTCTTTGTGCACACTTCTGTAGGTGGCAGGAAAAATGCTACCTCTTTTTTTCCCTTTTTATTTTTATAGAAGCCAATGGTATGGATATATCACAGTTTAAGTATTGCCCCACTGATGAACATTCAATTTCATTCCTTCAAAAACTGTAGAGTCCTACCATGTAGCAGACATTGTACTAGGCCCTCTGGTTATATAGTTATGAACAAAACAGATGAATTCTTATGGTGCTCACAGTCTTATGTAGGGGTTATGATAATAAAAACAAAAGAAAACAGTGTATCAGGTTGTTTCATGATTTTTAAAAATAATGATGCTCTGTGAACTTCCTTGAGTAAATCTCACTGTATCACGGGTAGCTCAAACTCACTTTCCCAAAATTGAACTTAGCATCCATGAAACCAATCCTGCTGGGTCCAGTGGCATGTGCTTGTTGTCCTAGGCACTTAAGAGGCTAAGGCAGGAGGAGCACTTGAACTCAAAGTTCAAAGCCAGCTTGGGCAACCCTGTCTCAAAAACAAATAAACAAAAAACAACTCTTCAGGTACTCAGATCTCTGTGTTATTTCTTTTCTTTTTCTTTTTCTTTCTTTTCTTTTCTTTTTTTTTTTTTTTTTTTGAGACAGGATCTCAATATGTCGCCCAGGCTGGAGTGCTGGAGTGCAGTGGCATGATCACGGCTCACTGCAGCCTTGATCTGGGCCCAAGCCATCCTCCCACCTCAGCCTCCCTTGTAGCTGGGACCACAGGCAAATGTCATCTGGTTCGCTAAGGTGGATGTCTGCCTAGCTTAGCCCTCAAGCTTCTAGAATAGCCCCTTTCAACTAGGTTCCATGAGAATTAATTTCTTTTTTTTTTTTTTGAGACCGGAGTCTCGCTCTGTCACCCAGGCTGGAGTGCAGTGGCACAATCTTGGCTCACTGCAAGCTCCGCCTCCCGGGTTCACGCCATTCTCCTGCCTCAGCCTCCCCAGGAGCTGGGACTACAGGCGCCTGCCACCACGCCCGGCTAATTTTTTGTATTTTTTAGTAGAGACGGGATTTCACCGTGTTAGCTAGGATGGTCTTGATCTCCTGACCTTGTGATCTGCCCGCCTCGGCCTCCCAAAGTGCTGGGATTATAGGCATAAGCCACCGCGCCTGGCCAAGTTCTTTTTTTTTTTTTTTTTTTTGAGACGTAGTCTCGCTCTGTCACCCAGGCTGGAGTGCAGTGTTGTGATCTCGGCTCACCGCAACCTCCACCAATCGTTCAAGCGATTCTCCTCCTTGGCCTCCCAAGTAGCTGGATTACAGGCACATGCCACCATGCCTGGGTAATTTTTGTAGAAACAGGGTTTCACCATGTTGGTCAGGCTGGTCTTGAACTCCTGACCTCAAGTAATCTGCCCGCCTCAGCCTCCCAAAATGCTGGAATTACAGGCATAAGCCACCGTGCTCGCCCAGAATTAAGTTCTAATGCCCTTTTTTTTTTTTTTTTTTTGAGACGGAGTCTTACTCTATTGCCCAGGTTGGAGTGCAGTGGCGTGATCTCGGCTCACCGCAACCTCTGCCTCCCAGGTTCAGGCGATTCTCCTGACTCAGCCTCCCGAGTAGCTGGGATTGCAGGCATGTGCCACCACACCCAGCTAATTTTTGTATTTTTAGTAGAGACGGGATTTCACCATGTTGGTCAGGCTAGTCTCAAACTCCTGACCTTGTGATCTGCCCACCTCTGCCTCCCAAAGTGCTGGGATTACAGGCATAAGCCACTGCACCCGGTCCAGGTGAAACATTTCAAACATGGCTCAGTAAATATTGCCTGATTCTCCCAAGCAGTCTTCAACACTCACATATCTTCCACTCTCTCCCTTGTTTATGATTCTCAGCTCCAGCCAAAAGGGCCAGTTGGTTTCTTAGCCATGCTATGTACATATTTGAATTTTTGCCTTCCAGGAAGAGCATCCATTCCTCTCTGCTTGTTTGAGTCCCACCCTTAAAGTTAGTCAAGTCCAGCTTTTCCCCTAGAGGTTATTCCCACTTTTAGGTTATGTCCTCACTTCTGTTCATGCTGTCTGGCACATAATTCAGCTTTTGGCACAAGTGGTGCTCAGTGCTTGGTGGTGGTGTTGACAATTGAGGCTGGGGGCCAAGACAGGAAGTTCTTGGGACATTTGGGCTCCTGGGTATTGTCTTAAGGGTCTCTTTTCCCAACAGAGGTCCCCCCTATTGGAAGTAAAGGGGAACATAGAACTGAAGAGACCTCTGATTAAGGCCCCTTCCCAGCTGCCTCTCTCAGGAAGCAGACTCAAGAGGAGGCCTGACCAGATGGAAGATGGCCTGGAGCCTGAGAAGGTGAGCTGGGCATGGAGAGCTGTGCATGTGTGTGGGGGGTGTGTGTGTGTGAAAGAAAGGAGAGAGAGAGTATAAACCATTAGGGAGGGTGACTATGGACCTTGTCTTTATCTTTCCCCAGAAACGGACAAGAGGCCTGGGTGCAACGACCAAAATTACCACATCCCACCCAAGAGTTCCATCCCTCACTACAGTGCCACAGACACAAGGCCAGACCACAGGTGGGCTCTCAGGATGGATAGACTCCAAGGACATGGAAGTCCAGTGCTCTTCAACTCACTTGTTTCTTTTCTTTCAATTTTATTTTATTTTTTTTGAGACAGAGTCTCGCTCTATCGCCCAGGCTGGAGTGCAGTGGCTCAATCTCACTCACTGCAACCTCCTCCTCCCAGGTTCAAACGATTCTCCTACCTCAGCCTCCCGAGTAGCTGGGATTACAGGTGCCCACACCATGCCCAGCTAATTTTTGTATTTTTTTCAGTAGAGATGGGGTTTCGCCATGTTGGCCAGGCTGGTCTTGAACTCCTGACCTCAGGTGATCCACCCGCCTCTGCCTTCCAAAGTGCTGGGATTATAGGTGTGAGGCACCGCACCCAGCCTATTTTGAATAGGTAATAACATTTCATTTGGTTCAAAATTCCAAAGGCACAAAGGTTGTTGTATAGTGAAGTTTGCTTCCTATTTCTGTCCTCCAGCCACCCAATTCTGCTACCCAGGGCAACTGTGTGTTCTTCCAGGGAAATTCTATTGGTATTCAAGCAAGTAAGACTATACTCCCCCACCTTTTTTACATAAATGGTGGCATACTTTAGACATGGTCCTGCTTTTACTTATCTTAATCCAAATTGCTTTTTGGCATATGGAGTACAGTTGGCCCTCTGTATCCGTGGGTTCTGCTTCTGCAGATTCAACCAACCATCGGTTGAAAATATTCAAGGAGAGTGGGCACAGTGGCTCATGCCTGTAATCCCAGCACTTTGGGGGGCCAAGGTGTGTAGATTACCTGAGGTCCGGAGTTCCAGACCAGCCTGGCCAATATGGTTGAAACCCTGTCTCTACTAAAAATATAAAATTAGCCAGACGTGATGGCCCGTGCCTGTAATCCCAGCTACTCTGGAGGCTGAGGCAGGAGAATTGCTTAGAACCCAGGAGGTGGAGGTTGCAGTGAGCCGAGATTGTGCCAGCCTGGCGACAGAGCGAGACTCGGTCTCAAAAAAAAAAATGAGAAAATATTCATGGAAAATAAAAAATAAAACCAAAAAATACAGTATAACAGTTATGGTCATGTGTCACTTGGCAATGCAGATACATTATCAGAAATGCATTATTGTGGAAACATCATAGAATGTACTTACTGAAACCTAGATGATCTAGCCTGCTACACACCTAGGCTATCTGCGATAGCCTATTGTTCTTGGGCAACAAGCCTGTGTGGCGTGTTACTATACTGAAGCATGGTAGGTAACATAACACAGTGGTAACCATTTGTGTATATAAACATACCTAAACATAGAAAAGGTACAGTTAAAATATAATATAAATGATAAAAAATGGCACACCTGTACAGGGTACTAACCATTAAATGGAGCATGTTTGAATGGAAGTTGCTCTGGGTGAGTTAGTGAGTGAGTGGTGAGTGAATGTGAAGGCCTAGGGCCTTACTGTACACTGCTGTAGACTTTAGAAACATGGTACAGTTAGGCTACATCAAATTTATAAAAAATAGTTCTTTTATAATAAATTAACCTTAGTTTACTATAACTATTTTACTTTATAAACTTAACATTTTTTTTCCCACTTGCCAAGGCTGATGTAACATTTTAATCTTTTTTTAACTTTTTTTTTTCGACCAGTTGTCAAATGATCCTTTATTGAAATATTTTCCTTTGTGCTTAACTAGCTGGGCATTCCACAGCACCACTGTTGATGTCATCTATGATGTCATGAGGGTGGTGGCCATCAACATTACAGCCCATAGACTGGGCAGTCCCCGGAATCTCTTTAATGGTTCCAGAGAGTTCTCTGGCTAAGGATCGGTGCCGCATCTGTCGAGCAATGTTGACGATCTCATCAAAAGTGATATTCCCATTGTGTTTAATGTTTTTCTGTTTCTTTCTGTCTCTTGGTGGTTTCTTGAGGGCTTTGATGATCGGGGCAGAGGCAGAAGGCACCACCTCAATCTGGGCCTGTCTGTTCTCAATGGTCAGTTTCACTGTAATCCTCAGGCCCTTCCAGTCACCCGTTGCCTTGGCAATGTCATCACCAACCTTTTTTGGAGACAGACCCAGGGGGCCGATCTTGGGGGCCAGGGCAGAAGTGGCACCGACTTCACCTCTGGTGCACCTCAGGTATACGACCTTGATCTCGTTGGGGTCGAACTTCGGTGGCATGGTGGAGGCAGCTGGTGTCGGATGAACCCAGATTCAGGATGACCGAAGAAAGTTGCACCTTGGCCTCCTCCGAGCCGAAAGCCGAGAGCTTCTCTCTCTTTTTTTTTTGAGATGGAGTCTCGCTCTGTCGCCCAGGCTGGAGTGCAGTGGCACAATCTCGGCTCACTGCAAGCTCCGCCTCCCGGGTTCCCGCCATTTTCCTGCCTCAGCCTTCCGCGTAGCTGGGACTACAGGCGCCCTCCACCACACTTGGCTAATTTTGTTTTTTTGTATTTTTAATAGAGACAGGGTTTCACCATGTTAGCCAGGATGGTCTCGATCTCCTGACCTCGTGATCTGCCTGCCTCAGCTTCCCAAAGTGTTGGGATTACAGGCGTGAGCCACTGCGCCCGGCTAACTTTTTGACTCTTGTAATAACAACTGAAAACACAAACATTGTATAGCTTTACAGAAATATTTTATTCCTTTATATCCTTATTCCTCATGCTTTTTTTCTATCTAAATTTTGTTTTGGGCGGGGAGCATATATTCAGGGCAATATGAATCTCTGTCTCCTGGCTTGAAAATAAAATTTTTGTTTTTTGTTTTTTGTTTTTGAGACAGAGTCTCGCTCTTTCGCCCAGGCTGGAGTGCAATGGCGTGATCTCGGCTCAGTGTAACCTCCGCCTCCTGGGTTCAAGTGATTCTCCTGCCTCAGCCTCCCGAGTAGCTGGGACTATAGG
The DNA here is from genome assembly GCF_000001405.40 of Homo sapiens. Classification (NCBI taxonomy): domain Eukaryota; kingdom Metazoa; phylum Chordata; class Mammalia; order Primates; family Hominidae; genus Homo; species Homo sapiens. Next base: position 33,401,279 of record NC_000006.12, read on the forward strand.
TGTGTGCCATCATACCCAGCTAATTTTTTGTATTTTTAGTAGAGATGGGGTTTCACCGTATTAGTCAGGATGGTCTCGATCTCCTGACCTCGTGATCCGCCCGCCTCAGCCTCCCAAAGTGCTGGGATTACAGACATGAGTTACTGCGCCCCGCCTGAAATTCTTTTTTTAATTTAAAATTTTATTTATTTGTATTTTTTCCAAGAAATAAGCTTAAATTTGAAAAATTTTAAATATTATTTTGCTTTTCAAACTTTTTGTTAAAAACGAAGAAATATACACATTAGCCTAGGCCTACATAGGGTCAGGATCATCAACATCACTGGCTTTCACCTCCACATCTTGTCTCACTGGAAGATCTTCAGGGGCAGTAACACACATGGAGATGTGACTTCCTGTGATAACAATGCTTTCTTCTGGATTGCCTTTTTTTTTTTTTTTGAGACGGAGTCTCGCACTGTCGCCCAGGCTAGAGTGCAGTGGCATGATCTCGGCTCACTGCAAGCTCCGTCTCCTGGGTTCACACCATTCTCCTGCCTCAGCCTCCGGAGTAGCTGGGACTACAGGTGCCCGCCACCACGCCTGGTTAATTTTGTTTTTGTATTTTTAGGAGAGACGGGGTTTCACCGTGTTAGCCAGGATGGTCTCAATCTCCTGACCCCTTGATCTGCCCACCTCGGCCTCCCAAAGTGCTGGGATTACAGGCGTGAGCCACAGTGCCTGGCCTGGAATGCCTTTTGAATGACATGCCTGAGGCTGTTTTATAGTTAACTGTTTTTGCAAATAGAAGGAGTATACCCTAAAATAACAATAAAAAGTACAGTACGGTAAATATATAAACTAGTAACATAGTCATTATCATTATTAGGTATTATGTACTATATGTAATTATATGTGTTATACTTTTATACAACTGGCAGTGCATTAGGTTCGTTTATATCAGAATCACCACAAACAGGTGAGGAATGCTATGACATTACCATGGCTATAATGTCACTAGGCAATAGGAATTTTTAGCTCCATTATAATGTTACGGGGCTACTGTTGTATATGCAGTCTGTCATTGACCGAAATGTCATTATGGGCACATGACTGTATTAACATAGCATTTACATTGTGTTAGATATTATAAGTAATCTAAAGATGATTTAAAGTATATGCGGCTGGATGTGGTGGCTCACGCCTGTAATCCCAGCACTTTGGGAGGCTGAGGCAGGCAGATCACCTGAGGTCAGGAGTTTGAGACCAGCCTGGCCAACATGCTGAAAACCTGTCTCTACTAAAAATACAAAAAAAAAAAAATTAGCCAGGCGTGGTGGCGCTTGCCTGTAATCCCAGCTACTCAGGAGGCTGAGGCAGAAGAATTGCTTGAACCCTGGAGGTGGAGGTTGTAGTGAGCTGAGATCGCGCCATTGCATTCCAGCCTGGGTGAGAAGAGTGCAACTCCATCTCAAAAAAAAAACAAAATGGAGGCCAAGGCAGGCAGATCACCAGAGGTCAGGAGTTTGAGGCCAGCCTAATCAACATGGTGAAACCCCGTCTTTACTAAAAATACAAAATTAGTTGGGCGTGGTGGCGCATACCTATAATCCCAGCTACTCGGGAGGCTGAGGCGGGAGAATCGCTTGAACCCTGGAGGTAGAGTTTGCTGTGAGCTGAGATCATGCCATTGCACTTCAGCCTGGACAACAAGTGAAACTCTGTCTCAGTCAATCAATAAATAAAGTATATGGGAGCGTGTGCATAGACTATATTTAATACTATATACCTATTTATGTAAGGGACTTGGGCATCCTTGGATTTTGGTATTCTTGGGGGGTGCTGGAATCAACCCCTTTTGGATACTGAGGGATGACTGTAATTTCTGGTTCTAGGGGAGGTATCATTAGGAGCTGGCCAGACTTAGGGATAAGGGAAGGAAGTTATCCTATTTCTAATTCTGAGAAAAGCACTTCTTCTGCCCCTGTCCTAGCAAGTGTACATGCCATCTTAAGAATGATCATTCTACCTTTGCTCTCTCCCATCTCCTGGGCAGCTCAAAAAGTTTCCAAGAAGACAGGACCCCGGTGTTCCACAGCTATTGCCACAGGTAACTGTGCTCAAGAGCTGGGTCTGAGAAGGGATTTGGGGTATGTGTAAAGGGAGAATGATGGAGGTGGAGGGACACTGGTCCTGTAATTCCTAAGTCACCTCCTCAATTCTGTAGGGTTGAAGAACCAGAAGCCAGTTCCTGCTGTTCCTGTCCAGAAGTCTGGCAGTAAGTGACAAACATAACCACTGGGTGAGAGGCTGGGATAGGGAAGAGAAGATGGTGAGTGACCAGAAAAATCCATTTGGTCTCTAAGGGGAAGGAGATGTAGCATCAGGTGTGGATCCCATAAAGGCTAGAAGGGAGGAGGGATAGAGAGCCTAGACTTCACTGACCTTTGTCCTTTCTGTGTTCATCTTAGCATCAGGTGTTCCTCCCATGGCAGGAGGGAAGAAACCCAGCAAACGTCCAGCCTGGGACTTAAAGGGTCAGTTATGTGACCTAAATGCAGAACTAAAACGGTGCCGTGAGAGGACTCAAACGTTGGACCAAGAGAACCAGCAGCTTCAGGACCAGCTCAGAGATGCCCAGCAGCAGGTCAAGGCCCTGGGGACAGAGCGCACAACACTGGAGGGGCATTTAGCCAAGGTACAGGCCCAGGCTGAGCAGGGCCAACAGGAGCTGAAGAACTTGCGTGCTTGTGTCCTGGAGCTGGAAGAGCGGCTGAGCACGCAGGAGGGCTTGGTGCAAGAGCTTCAGAAAAAACAGGTGGAATTGCAGGAAGAACGGAGGGGACTGATGTCCCAACTAGAGGAGAAGGAGGTAAGGGCCAGATTTTCACCAGATGTCAGCCCCGCTTTCCTGGCAGAGGTCATGCCTCCCCTCCCTTCCAGGTACCCCTCAAGTCTGGGCTGAGAACTCCTGAGCACCTATCTTTAGCAGTATAGGTGCTGCTGAAGATACCTCTCTCTTGACCTGTCTGCACCCCAGCCCACTCCTGACTGTCTTGCTTTCTGCCACGCTTCTTCCTACCCTTGACTGTTTGCAAAGCTCTCATTTAGATCTGTGTCTTTCTTAGTCCTCCATCCCTCTTTCTTTGGGTTCCCATCCTGATCACAAATTCCTGTGGTACTCTCTTTCCCTCCTCCCATGTCCACTTGACTCCTTCCTGGTGAGCACCAACTAGATTAAGTTATTTGCAGTCTCTTAAATGACTCAACTTTCACTTCTGGGCATTCTGCATATGTGCTTCCCTCTTTCTGGAATGTTCTTTGTATACTACATCCTTCCTTGGTTCACTCCTGTACTTCTGGGTGTCACCCTAGATATCATCTTCCTTGTGCTCCTCTTTGTGCTTGGACATACCCATAGCACTCCCTGTCTTAGTACCATGATTCCTTATTTTCTCATCTTTCTTTGTTTACCAGACTTTGAGGTCCTTTTGAGCAGGGACCTCACTTCCACCCACTCCATACGCCCCACAGTTTGTTCTTCTTCTTGGTTGCATCTTACCCTCTGTGTATGTTGTGTTCTCTTCTGGGCAGAGGAGGCTGCAGACATCAGAAGCAGCCCTGTCAAGCAGCCAAGCAGAGGTGGCATCTCTGCGGCAGGAGACTGTGGCCCAGGCAGCCTTACTGACTGAGCGGGAAGAACGTCTTCATGGGCTAGAAATGGAGCGCCGGCGACTGCACAACCAGCTGCAGGAACTCAAGGGCAACATCCGTGTATTCTGCCGGGTCCGCCCTGTCCTGCCGGGGGAGCCCACTCCACCCCCTGGCCTCCTCCTGTTTCCCTCTGGCCCTGGTGGGCCCTCTGATCCTCCAACCCGCCTTAGCCTCTCCCGGTCTGACGAGCGGCGTGGGACCCTGAGTGGGGCACCAGCTCCCCCAACTCGCCATGATTTTTCCTTTGACCGGGTATTCCCACCAGGAAGTGGACAGGATGAAGTGTTTGAAGAGATTGCCATGCTTGTCCAGTCAGCCCTGGATGGCTATCCAGTATGCATCTTTGCCTATGGCCAGACAGGCAGTGGCAAGACCTTCACAATGGAGGGTGGGCCTGGGGGAGACCCCCAGTTGGAGGGGCTGATCCCTCGGGCCCTGCGGCACCTCTTCTCTGTGGCTCAGGAGCTGAGTGGTCAGGGCTGGACCTACAGCTTTGTAGCAAGCTACGTAGAGATCTACAATGAGACTGTCCGGGACCTGCTGGCCACTGGAACCCGGAAGGGTCAAGGGGGCGAGTGTGAGATTCGCCGTGCAGGGCCAGGGAGTGAGGAGCTCACTGTCACCAATGCTCGATATGTCCCTGTCTCCTGTGAGAAAGAAGTGAGGACCCATGGGCACTGGAACTGGGAAATGGGGAGGAGTGGGCAGGGTGCCACGAGATGGAGGTAGAGGGAGAAAGGAGCAAGAGAGAATTGAAGGATGAAGTGCAAGTTATCAGGCTGGGTTACCACATCCGGTTTTGGCCTGTGGGCTGTCGGTAGATCTGCCTTAACCTGGGAGTGGCGAGGGAGTGATGCATCTGCCAAAACGAGGAGGGTCACTACATCTCATGTCTCATCTTCTTGCTCAGCTCATCCTAGCCATGCTGGCCTCCTGGCTGTTCCTCAACCAGCTAGTCGTGCTCCCCATCTCAGGGCCTTTGCCTGGATGCTCTTTCCTGGAGATCTTGGCTATCCTGTCAAAACTTGTGTTCCCCACCCCGCCTTTATACACTCCCTATTCTATGTATTCCTTACCATTTTCAGACATACTGTGCATCTTATTTTGTTTCTTGACAGGCTAGAAAGCTTCAAGAGGGTGGGGGTGGGCTCTTATTCATTTCCATACATATTACTATGTACTGACTTCTGCCTGCCTTTTTGCCCCTTCTGCTCCCATCCCCAGGTGGACGCCCTGCTTCATCTGGCCCGCCAGAATCGGGCTGTGGCCCGCACAGCCCAGAATGAACGGTCATCACGCAGCCACAGTGTATTCCAGCTACAGATTTCTGGGGAGCACTCCAGCCGAGGCCTGCAGTGTGGGGCCCCCCTCAGTCTTGTGGACCTGGCCGGGAGTGAGCGACTTGACCCCGGCTTAGCCCTCGGCCCCGGGGAGCGGGAACGCCTTCGGGAAACACAGGCCATTAACAGCAGCCTGTCCACGCTGGGGCTGGTTATCATGGCCCTGAGCAACAAGGTGGGAATGGGAGTGGGGTGAGATACGGGACCTGGGGGACAGTTGGGGTTGGCTGTGCAGAACCCTGCCTATTCCTAAACATCTGTCCCCACCTCAATCATCTAGGAGTCCCACGTGCCTTACCGGAACAGCAAACTGACCTACCTGCTGCAGAACTCTCTGGGTGGTAGTGCTAAGATGTGAGTGAAAGGGACAGATGGAAGGGGTCAGGTAGGAACTGTGTTGGGGTGAGGGGTAGAAAGGGGAACAGTGGAGACCTGTCCAGGCTCTGCTGGCCCCTAATGCTGGGGTTGGGCACATTGTCTTTTCATAGGCTCATGTTTGTGAACATTTCTCCACTGGAAGAGAACGTCTCCGAGTCCCTCAACTCTCTACGCTTTGCCTCCAAGGTGCGATTACCACCCGTCAGCCTTGTCAGGACCCGTGGGTGGTTGTAGGCTTCTCCATTCCAATCCCTTTTGTCTTCTAGGGCAGGGAGCACATTTGTGCAGAAAGGTTTTGCAGGTATCTGAGGCACTGCTCACCTGGTTCCATTTTTAATTATTAGCTTTTGAGTTAAGTTTTTTAAAAAACGGGTGATTAATTTAACCTGAGAAAGCTGATTAAAAAAAAAAGAAAAGGTGACTAAAAGGTCTAAACTGGTTGGGCGTAGTAGCTCATGCCTATAATCCGAACACTTCGGGAGGCCAAGGCAGGAGGATTGCTTGAGCCCAGGAGTTTAAAATCAGTCTGGGCAACATAGTGAGACCCTGTCTCTACAAAAAATAGGAAAATTAGCTGGGTGTAATGGCTCACACCTGTAGTTCCAGCTACTCAGGAGGCTGAGGTGGGAGGATCACCTGAACCTGGGAGGTGGAGGCTGCAGTGAGCCGTGATCCTACCACTGCACTTCAGCCTGGGTGACAGAGTAAGACCTTGTCTCAAAAAACCAACACACAAAAAATCCCTAAGATTCCTCCCTATCAGCATACAGAGATCATTATTTTTAGGTCTGCCTAGACTCCACTATGTAGCTGCACCAAAATTTATCCACCAGTTCCCTCTACTGGACACTTGGATTGTTTCCACACTTTTTTAGTCACAAACAAGGCCACGTTGACTAACTTTGTACATACATCATTTTGTATTTTTCAGTTACATCTAACTAGGGAAATAGTCCTTGAAATGGGATTACTGGATCAAAGACTTAGAGGTTTTTCAGACTATTCCAAATAGTGTGAATTCAGACTCCAAACCTCATGAGGGTCAGCCAGTGGCTATATGAATTCTCACTAATGAGAATTCCTTCCACTAGAATCTCCTTCCACTAGTGTTAAGCAAGTCAGAAAGTTTCCTTACTGTCTGCCTCCACAGTAATTTTTTTCTCTGGTACACCCTCCTCCTGCGCGTATAGCCCTTTGATGGGCTCTGGCTTTATTTGAGGTCTGATCAGGTCTGTCCTGCTGTGCGCTTGGGCCTCCTCCCAGTCAGCACTGATTGTTGCTGTGGAGTAGCCAGCACCTGCACCCTGATCTGGTATTCTACTTTGATGAGGGTTTCCCTCACTATCTTGCAAGTTCAATTTTAGAGGGTGGTGATGTTTTTTCTAACTTTTTATTAATGTTATACCAATGTAACATCCAACAACATGAACTTTAATATCCTCTAATACCCAGTTTATGTTAAATTTCACCCAACTGTCTCAGAAGTGTCTTTTATACATAATAGGTTTGTTCAAATCAGGATCCAGGCAAGGGCCACCCACTTGGTTGAAATGTCTCAAGTTCCACAACCCTATCCCACACTGCCACTATTATGTCGTTTGTTGAAGGTCATTTGTCCTATAGAATATACTATTCTGGATTTTGGCTGGTTGCTTCCTCTTTCCCCCATACTTTCACTTATTTATCATATTTGGGTGTTGTCAACCTGACCCATCCATTTACAAGCTCCTTATTGACTTTTTCACCTAGTGATTTTATCCAGCAGTGACCATACCTGGATCTTTATTTCATTAAGGGGTTTCTAAATGGGGATTTTTCTAATCTTAGTTGTTCTGCATTGGTTAGTCACGATTCTTTTATGAAGACATTTGCCTTGCCATCTACTTGGTTTCTCTGAAATTCAATTCATACAGGAAAAACAAGATAAATGCTGAATTATTTATTGATTTTCAGTATTGAGTTGATATCCTAGCAGCTTCCAAAGGTGACCAATGAATGTTTATCTGAGGGTTATTTTTATTTTTATTTTTTTTGAGACAGGGACTTGCTCTGTTGCCCAGACTGGAATTCAGTGGCTCAATCATAGCTCATTGTAGCCACCAAAAGTGTTGGGATTATAGGCGTGAGCCACCCAGCCCGGCCACAGTCGTTCTTCTTTCTGATGCTCAAATTGCCCCATCTTTAGCCAATAGGAACCTCCTGGCCGGGCGCGGTGGCTCATGCCTGTAACCCCAGCACTTTGGGAGGCTGAGGTGGGTGGATCACGAGGTCAGGAGATCGAGACCATCCTAACACGGTGAAACCCCGTCTCTACTAAAAATACAAAAAATTCACCGGGCGTGGTGGCGGGCGCCTGTAGTCTCAGCTACTTTGGGAGTCTGAGGCAGAATGGCTTGAACCCGGGAGGTGGAGCTTGCAGTGAGCCGAGATCGCGCCACTGCACTCCAGCCTGGGCGACAGAGCAAGACTCCGTCTCAACAACAACAACAAAAAAAAGAGCCTCCTTCAGATTGGTGCCAGTGTCCTTTAGACAGAACTCTAGTAGTCTTTTCAGATTCAACTTGTACATTTCCTTCCCCAGACTTCAACTGATCCATTTTCTAAGGAGTCCTAGTTCCTAAATGGGTGTTATTACTATTTTATCTCGGTTTAAGTGTTTTACAGTGGGAGAGGTTGGAGGTCTCTAGTACAGGGTATTGCTGGAAATGAAAGCCTCCTTTCTCTGCTCCTGTATTTTCTTCTGGGGCTTCCATCTCTTCTCAAGCCTTTTCACCTCCTCCAAACCTAGTGTGCAGAGGAGAACAAACCATAACTGGCACCAGCCTGAACCAGCCTTTGGAGGCCTTATTTCGGTATTTCTGAGGGCAGCCCTAGCATTGGAGGATGGGAGATCTTGGGAAAAATGTTGTATTGGTTACGCTGCAAACTTTTATCCTGTCTAACCCCCTGCCCCCAGGTGAACCAGTGTGTTATTGGTACTGCTCAGGCCAACAGGAAGTGAAGACGGATCCAGATCTGTGTGTGTGTGTGTGTGTGTGTGTGTGTGTGTGTGTGTGTGTGTGTGTCCCTATGTCTATGTATCGGGTGAGGGGTGGGAGGGTTGCTGGAGGGTGCTTTATTGGGTGGAGGGCACCATGTCCCAGGGCTATCAAATAAAGAATAGTTTGGTTTTTTTTTTAAATAAAGGTTTTATTAGCATTTGCCCAAGAAGGCAGATACTTTCATATCTGTAAAAGTGGGAGCTGTGATCTGTACCCTCTGCCAAACGTTTACGTGGGAGGCGGGAGCGGGGGCTGAGGGCTTCGTCTTTTCTCCCCTCTGCTATCACCGGTTCTGGACCTTGGCCTGGATCATCTTCCCCTCTGCTAATACCCCCTACCCCGTCCGTCACATCAGGGAGGTGTGCCCTCTAGCTATCCACGCCCCCTCCTTGGTCACTAGTTATAGGTAACTTTCACCCTTCCGCCGGCCACCCCAGCCCCAGGGAAGAACGTTCCTTTGGTGGGTGTCGGCAAATGGGGACCGGACCCCAGAGTCCAGAGGCGGGGCTAGCGCGCGCTCCCAAACTGTTGGCTCTTTCCTCCCGTCCCGCCCTTTCCCTGCCTTTCCGTTCGAACGGCTGGGGCTCTGCCCGCTCGCTGCCCATTGGCTGGCTCTCGGTGGCGTCACCGCCTTGGGTCCTCGCGCCCTTCGTCTGCGCCAGCCCTGGAAGCACGGGGCGGGACGTCCACGGGAAGCGGCGCGCACGCCCGCCGACTCCCTCGCGCCAACCGCCGACGGCCGCCGCCCGGTGAAGGAGGGGCTCAGTCCTCCCAGGTGCCGCGCGCAGGAGGGGACACGCGTGCGCAAAAGGGCGGTGGGTGGGGCGCGACTCGTCACGGGGAGGGCGGGGCGCGCGAGGGAGGAGGGCGTGGTGGGGGCATCGAGAAGGGTGAATGGAGGGCGGGGCTGTGAACTGGGGCCGGGGGGCGGGACTTGGAGTGACCATGGGGGGTGGGGCAGCTAACGGATGTGGCATGGGGCGGGGGACCAGGCCGGAGGCGGGCTGCCGGGAGGGGGGATTCCCTCGTGCCCCAAGGGCGAATCTCAGGTCGGAGGAAGGGGCTGAGGGGATTCCCTCTCCCACCGGGTCCGACTCTTCGCTCCCCAAGCCGCGGAGGGCCAGCCTCTTCTTCGGCGCCCTCCAGGCCTGTTGGAGGTGAGGGAGGTGGGGTGAGGTGGTGCCCGCCCCCCCCTCCGGCTCCTCCTTTCCCCCAGTCCTCCCCTCCCACCACCCTCCCCCCCAACCGGTCCGTCCCTCCCCTCCCTCCCTCCCCCCCGCCGCCTCCTCCTCCTGCCGCTGCCGCTGCTTTGGCTGCTGCGTCATACGCCCCAGAGCCGCCGGGACGGAGGGGCTGGGCCTGGGGACCCCCCGGCCTCCGCCTGCACGCCCCCCCACGCCCGGACGTGCCCTCTCCGCGCGGGGGACTCGCCTAGGTCTCCTACGTCTGCCCCTGCCCGGCTCCCGGCGGCCCCAGCTGTCACCGGTAAGGAGGCGGCAGGAGGCGCTGGTGGGGGGCAGGGAGCCGGGGGTCGGCGCGGGGCGCGGGCGGGAGAGCCTCGCCGCCTTGGCCTCGGGTCCGGGCTGGGCCGACACAAGTCCCTTCTCGGACTTGCCGTCCTGGGGAGTAGAGACCGGGACTGGGACACGCCCCCCTCCCGGGGCACTCAGAGAAGTTGTCTAACCCGGGGGCAGGGAGCCCCGAATTTGAGGGTGACCTGACATAACCTGGCACCAGGATGATTGTTCTTAATGAGACGCGCAGGCCTGGGGAGACAGCCGTTTCTGCTCTGGAAAACATCTCCAGAAAAGGTCCCAAAACACGTCTCTGGGCAACAGGACACCCTAATTATGATACCTCTAAACTGAGTAGCCTTTGCTTCTACAACCATAATTTCTCCTAAAATTTCAAGGCCAGTATATAATATCCCAGGAGAGCTCTGGAAGCTGGGAAACTAGCAACTAGGTTTGGGGTCGGGGGGAGGGCTGTTAGTTACCGAGAGGAGAGCCAGTCACTAGAGTTGGAAGAGGACTCAAAAAGCTGGTGATGGGTGCCCAGTGGTTTCCTATCAAGGTGTCTCAGGGATTTGGAGATGGGGGCACAGATACTTCATTCTTGATGGCAAAATAGGCAAAGAAAATGGGGAGGCTGGCCGGGCCCGGTGGCTCACGCCTGTAATCCCAGCACTTTGGGAAGCTGAGGTGGGTGGATCATGAGGTCAGGAGTTCGAGACCAGTTTGGCCAACATGGCCAACACCTCATCTCTACTAAAAATACAAAAATTAGCCAGGCATGGTGGCATGCGCCTGTAATCCCACCTACTTGGGAGACTGAGGCAGGAGAATTGCCTGAACCCGGGAGGTGGAGGTTGCAGTGAGCCAAGATTGTGCCACTGCACTCTGGCCTGGGCGACAGAGCAAAACTCCATCTCAGGAAAAAAAAAAAAAAAAGAAAAAGAAAATGGGGAAGGTTTCTCAGCATTCATAACCTTCTCCTCCCCATTTCTTTTCTGGCTAGGCCCCCCCAGGATGCAATGGCGCAGCCCCCCCGGCTGAGCCGCTCTGGTGCCTCCTCACTTTGGGACCCAGCTTCTCCTGCTCCCACCTCTGGCCCCAGGCCTCGGCTTTGGGAGGGTCAAGATGTGCTGGCCAGATGGACTGATGGGCTGCTATACTTGGGTACCATCAAAAAGGTAAGACCTTCTACCTCTGACCTTCTTCCTAGTTCCCTTATCTAATTCTGGTTCCCATTTCATCCTGTTTGCTCACCCATTCCAGGTGGACAGTGCTAGGGAGGTGTGTCTGGTCCAGTTTGAGGATGATTCGCAGTTTCTGGTTCTATGGAAAGACATTAGCCCTGGTAAGACTCTAGAGACCTGAGATTGCACATCCCATGGAAAACAAACCTGGCCTAGAGGGGCAGAAAGAGACTTAAAGGCAGGCCCTGTGACACTGTGTTCTCTCACAGCTGCCCTCCCTGGAGAGGAACTCCTCTGTTGTGTCTGTCGCTCTGAGACTGTGGTCCCTGGGAACCGGCTGGTCAGCTGTGAGAAGTGTCGCCATGGTGAGAGGGCAGGTCACCTGAATGGTCCAGCTTGCTCTTCCCTCCAGGATGGTCTCTATATCACCTGTCCTGGCCTTAGTCCCCAAGCCACTGCTCTGGCCAGGCTGCTTAGCCTTATCTTAGTCCTCATCCGCTTTCAGCCCAGGGAGAAGCAGCCATGGAAAGGGGTGGTATAACCTTTGCAGGCAGAAGATGGTTTAAATGCATCCTTTTCTAACCATATGACCTCGGACAAGTCCCTTAACCTCTAGGAGCCTCAGTTCCCTGACTTGTAAAATAAGGATAATGCACCCCCTCATCAAGACCATGGTCAGGGATTAAATGAGATGGGTAAAGACTATTCCTGTCCCAATACCAAGCACACACAGGTATGCAATAAGTGGTCTACTATTATCACTGCAGCTTATCACCAGGACTGCCATGTTCCCAGGGCTCCAGCCCCTGGAGAGGGAGAGGGCACATCCTGGGTATGCCGCCAGTGTGTCTTTGCGATCGCCACCAAGGTAAAGGCACTTCCCTGTTACCCTTCCTGTGGGAGCCTCCCATCCACAGCCTCTCCCAAGCCTTTTCCTCTCCCCACCCCTCTGAAGCCACCCACCTGTCCTGTCTCTGCAGAGGGGAGGTGCCCTGAAGAAGGGCCCCTATGCCCGGGCCATGCTGGGTATGAAGCTTTCTCTGCCATATGGACTGAAGGGGCTGGACTGGGATGCTGGACATCTGAGCAACCGACAGCAGAGTTACTGTTACTGTGGTGGCCCTGGGGAGTGAGTAATGAGAGGGGAGCAGACTGTGGAATGAATGATGTGGTGGTGGATCCCAGGAAATGAAGGAAAAAGAACAGGATGAGGGTAGCACTCAGGGGGATAGGAGGTAAGTTTAGGGTTTGGGACAGTTATGGGGAAGGGGGTTTCTGGAGGCCAGAAGTCCTGTGTTCCCCCTCAGGTGGAACCTGAAAATGCTGCAGTGCCGGAGCTGCCTGCAGTGGTTCCATGAGGCCTGCACCCAGTGTCTGAGCAAGCCCCTCCTCTATGGGGACAGGTGAGACCAAGGCAGACTCTCTAGGAGCCAAGGATGCCCTCTTTCTTCGTGTTCCACCCTCAGTTCTCCCACGCCCTTCTCCACTCCAGTCTCTTCCCAACCTCTGCAGCGTTACCTCACCTGTTTGCCCCGTCCTTGCTTGTGAGTCTTCCAGGGGATGGCACAGTTTTCCTGTGTAAGTGTGTTTGCTCCCTCTTGCCCATGTCCAGGTTCTATGAATTTGAATGCTGTGTGTGTCGCGGGGGCCCTGAGAAAGTCCGGAGACTACAGCTTCGCTGGTGAGCTGGATTGGGCATGACCTCAGTGTAACTCCACACCACAGTATTTCACTCTATATGCCCCAACCTCCCACCTCAGGACTCCCCTGGCTCTTAAAATGCCTCTGTGGTCTTGAAAACTTTGTTTTTCCAGGGTGGATGTGGCCCATCTTGTCCTGTATCACCTCAGTGTTTGCTGTAAGAAGAAATACTTTGATTTTGATCGTGAGATCCTCCCCTTCACTTCTGAGAATTGGGACAGTTTGCTCCTGGGGGAGGTAAGGGGTAGTGCAGTTTTGGGGGTTGGGATGGGACAGGGAGATGTAGCGGAAAGGGGAAGAGAAGAAATCACTGCTCCCCTGGCCCCATTTTTCTTCATTTCTCCCAGCTTTCAGACACCCCCAAAGGAGAACGTTCTTCCAGGCTCCTCTCTGCTCTTAACAGCCACAAGGACCGGTGAGTTGGAGGGAAGAGGAGGCAAGGATGAGGCTCGGAAAGAGATGGAGAGTGGAAGCCTGGAAGGGGAGGGGCTTGCAACCCACCTGGAAGACTGTGACTGAAAAGGATTGAGGAATGGCGTAAGGAGGAACCGTTTTTTACAGCACTGACCCTATATCATTTCTCTTCTTGCCCCAGTTTCATTTCAGGGAGAGAGATTAAGAAGAGGAAATGTTTGTTTGGTCTCCATGCTCGGATGCCTCCCCCTGTGGAGCCCCCTACTGGAGATGGAGCACTCACCAGGTCACTGGTCCAGGGGGGATGGGGGAAATTCTCAGGGTGTTAGTCCTGGGGGGTATATGTATAGAGATGGGGAGGTCTTGGGGGTGTCCGGGAGGGGGCTGGGGGGATAAGGAGGCCTCTTACAGCTTCCCTTCAGGGCAGGGCCCTGGGGGAGGGGTCTCACGTCCCCTGGGGAAGCGCCGGAGGCCGGAGCCAGAGCCCCTGAGGAGGAGGCAGAAGGGGAAAGTGGAGGAGCTGGGGCCACCCTCAGCAGTGCGCAATCAGCCCGAGCCCCAGGAGCAGAGGGAGCGGGCTCATCTGCAGAGGGCACTGCAGGTACTGGAGCAGGGGGAACCCGATGGAGCAAATGGTGGGGTGTGGGAAGGAGTCAAGGATTATCTCTCAGTCCTTTGCCCCCTCTTCTAGGCCTCAGTGTCTCCACCATCCCCCAGCCCTAACCAGAGTTACCAGGGCAGCAGCGGCTACAACTTCCGGCCCACAGATGCCCGCTGCCTGCCCAGGTCAGTGCTCCTCTGCCCCTCCCCCACAAAATATGCTCCCAATTATTCACATCTTCTGGACTTTATCACCCAGAATTCTTTTCCCTCTCCCCCTTGGCTACCCACTTCTTGGCCTAGACCGACTTCTAGAACTAGTGTCTGGTAGCCAGTATTCTGGGGAAGGGAGTCCCTTGGGGGTAGTGTTTGAGCTCTGCACTTCCCAGGGGGAGAAGGTCCTGTTCCCCTGCTTCAGGTCCTGACTTTCCCCACTCCAACCCCAGCAGCCCCATCCGGATGTTTGCTTCCTTCCACCCTTCTGCCAGCACCGCAGGGACCTCTGGGGACAGTGGACCCCCAGACAGGTGAGATTCTGTCTTCTATTACCAGTGATGCTCTTCTTCCCCTCTATGTGCTCAAGGCTCTTAGTCTCTAACACTGTTTCTCTGATTCACATGTGCTCTCCATTTCTGCCCATTTCTTACAATTGCCTTCTCTCCCTAGGTCACCCCTGGAACTTCACATTGGTTTCCCCACAGACATCCCTAAAAGTGCCCCCCACTCGATGACTGCCTCATCTTCCTCAGTTTCATCCCCATCCCCAGGTCTTCCTAGACGCTCAGCACCCCCTTCTCCCCTGTGCCGTAGTTTGTCTCCTGGGACTGGGGGAGGAGTCCGAGGTGGGGTTGGTTACCTGTCCCGAGGGGACCCTGTCCGGGTCCTTGCTCGGAGAGTACGGCCTGATGGCTCTGTGCAGTACCTGGTTGAGTGGGGAGGAGGGGGCATCTTCTGAACAGCCTGCCTCTGCCCAGCTCCCCATTCACACACACCGGCACTTTCATACCCTGACCTCTGACCTCACCTACAGCTGGGATGTACCTGGAGAGATAGGGGGTAGTTCTCCCTACTGCCCAGGCTGGAATCCAAGAGTGGGGAGTGGGGAAGAGGCCCTCTTCTCTACCCTCCTTCATGATTCCTGACCCCTCCCATCCTTCCCATTTCCTTTGATGTTATTTTGTTACAGCTTTTTAAATATTTTTTAAAATTATTTAACCCCTGGGGGCAGAGACTGAGGAGGGAGGATGATAAGGGATCCCGGACTCTGTATGATTGAAATAAAGAGAAATAAACAAATCTAGCAGCTCTGAGTCATTCTGAAAGATGTAGAGAATACAGGGACTAGAAGCACTTATATTCTCCCAACAAATTTGCATACATGACAAAAAACAGGCAAAAGGCAGAGAGACCCAAAGACGGGATTTATTGGGGGCCCAGTCATCACCTGGAAGTCAGAAGGCGTTGAAGTATCGCGGGGATCTTCATGATGAGCAGGAACAGGGCTCATCATGGCAGGACTGTGATAGAGTCAGAAACTGACTCTGTGACCTGGCGCACCCACTGCAGGTACGGAAAGTTCCCCTGTTCCACAGGCAATGCAATTACCTCGGCCACTTCGTAAGGGTGCACAGAACTACAAAATAGGTGGGTGGGGGAAGGGGATCACTCAAAGATTTACCCAAAAGAACCCACTCCCTTACACGCAAGCCCTAGACTGCCCAGCAAGTCACACCCACACAGTACACACCCTCACCCCATCCATCTCAAAGTTCTCACCGAACAAAATCTGTCAAAGCTGGGACCAAGGAACTTTGGGTTTTAATCATCTAAGGGACAAAGATAAACATGGTTGAATCAAGGAGTGGGATTGAGTTCAGTTTCTCAGAAGAGGGGTAAGGGCTAAAGGGGTCAGGGATTGGGGATATTTTGTTGGGTGGGGGAAATGTTTCTCACCATCAGCACCTCACTGTCTTCCTCGATCTTCCCTTTCCACTCATAGCTGAAAGGTCAGAGGGGGAGAGTTGTGGGGAGCAAAGAATTTCCCCCAGGAAAGAGGTTCCCAGTCAGCTCCTACAGTTAGGTTAACCCCCCAACTCCTATGACTCACATGGATGTAATCTGAGGGATGAGGTTGACGCAGGCTGCTAGGCGCTTCTCCACCACGGCCCTGGAGTGAAGAGACAGTCCCATTCAGAGTACCCCATAACCCCAGTTTTTGTACTGGCAGCCCAGAGACAGGCTTCCAGAGCTGGAGAAAGGAGAAAGCAGCACTCTTCTGCCCCACCCCCAACTGTCCCTTCATGATCATCCTTTCTCGCTGCACATCGAGGTCCCTACCTGGCGATCTCCTTGGCGACCTTCTCGTTGGGGCAAGTAACAAAGGCTGCAGAGACCGAGCCCGGAACGTAGCCAGAGCCGGAATCCGAGGCCGGCGAGGGCTGGGTCGGAGGGCTTCCAGAGGCCATGGTCAGCAAGACTCGGGGTAGCAACAAAAGGCGGGAGGCCACAGGCAGCAGCGCCGGCATCCAAACAAAAGACAGGAGCAGAGAGGCCTGAGAGCAGGAGGCGAATTCGATCTCTCCTCACAAACAGCCCAGGAAATTACACCCGGGGAAGCCTTCGCTTAGATCCTCAGGCTCTGCCCTCCCTCTGATGCACCCCCGAAGAATGCCCCTGAAGGTGAGAGAGAAACTTGGAAAATAAAGCAAAAGCTCATTTCACTCACACCTCAGGGGGCCAACCTCTGGGATTTAGGGTGCGGGTAGCGGTCGAGGCTTCGAGGACCGGAAGGGGCGGGGCGGGGCCGGTCACTCACCACTCCGCCGAGCAGGACCGCGGGAGCCCGCCCCCCACTCATGCGGCCTACGCTGGTACAGGAGAGTTGATCTCAAAGGCCACACGTCACACGGAGAAACAACCCCAGGAAGAGCGGCCTCTTCTTACCTGGGTGGCAGCCACGTGATTAGAAAACAGCGCGCACCATGTGACAGTAGAAGAAGGACCACCTGCGCCTCCAGAGCCAGCCAATCCCGACCCTATCATGGCGCGGTTTGCCCACCTCCTGATGAAGGAGGAGCCATGGGAGACTTGACCAATCGACTACCGCATCTGCAGACGTGCGCGGAAATGGCACGCCCGTTTCCGTGTGAACCCGAAACTGCCACTTGCTGGCTGAGGAGAGCCGCTGCGGCGTTCCACTGTCACGTGAGGGGGCCGGTCCTCTTCGGCGGCGGCACTCAGTGAGTGACGCCAAGTGGCCAATCACAGGCCAGCCTCGCAGGCCACGTGAGGCGAGAGCTGGTTCCAGGAAAGGGGGGCCAGAGACCCCGCAGAGTCGATGCGTCAGGCTGTGGAGTGGGGAATCATCCTTAAACCCCACAATGTGCCTAGTGACCTCCCCTGCACTGTTTCCGAGGTCTTAAGGAGTGGGAGGGTCTGAGAAGGACCCTTCACCCCAAACTCAGGGGTTAAGAGAGCGCCCCCTGCCCTTTTAGTTGGGCAGAGATATGCCTGGGTTTGGGAATGAACAACGGTGATCTAGAAGCCCGCTGTCCCTGGGTAGCAGGGAGTGATTAGGCAGGCACGGGCATGGCAAGACAATAGCTAGCTGAGGAAAGAAGCATTTTAAAACAGAGCGAGACCCTGTGGTAGAGGATGGTGAAAATGGGGCCTAGCCATCTTAATTGAAAACCCAAAGCTTGAGACAGACTACTGAATCAGAGGGAAGGAGAACGAGGGCTGCAGGATGGGGACAGTGGTGATGGTCCTTCTGTCCCCTCTTCCCTGCCTATTCCACTCCCCAGGATTGGTCCACCTCTCAGCCTCGGGTCTCCTTTCCCTAACCCATCCCCCAAGGAGCCAGGACCTGCCCTACATAACTTCCCTGGGGCCCAAGCACATCCTGTGACCCAAAAATGGAGAGAGGGGCCAATGAGAGGCAGAGAGGTGGGAGGAGGTGCAGAGAAAAAAGCTCTTGCCACTGCCCCCACCCAATATTTCCCCTCCCTTCAAGGTCTGAGGTCATTGGTCTGGTGGTGGGGATGCCTCGGAGTTTCCCAGGCTGACGTCAGGGTTATACCTCTCGGAGGTTCTAGGGCAGGGAAGTGGGGAGGGGAGGTTCCCTGAGATCTCTGTCTTTGAGTTTGGAGTTTGTCTCTGAGACAGATTTCGGAGGGGTCTTTCAGTATTTGTGTGGAGATCTTTCTTAGGATTGAGTTTCCTTTTATGCTTCTGGTTTGGGGGGTTTCTATGTTTCAGGGTCTGTGGTCGCACTCTGAGGTCTTTCGAAGTCTTCTTCATGAATTTTGGGTCTCTGAGTTGTCCATCTCCGGACCAGCTGAAGTCTCTATCTCCCCTTAAGTCAGGAGTGTCTCTGTCTCTAAGTTATCAGTCTCTGAGATCTGAGTCTGGGGTCTCTTTCTAGGTCTGAGTTCTCTAAGCTCTAATTCTACATCTGGCTCTTTCTGAATCTGGGCCTCATCTTTTTCTGAGTCTAGGTCTCAGGTCCTGGTCCCTGAAATCATCATCTCAGGGTCTGGAGTCTAAGATATCTGTAGGTATGGAGAACCCTTTTTAGACTGGATTTTCAGATTTTGATATTGAGCTTCTCTCTCTGGGGGATCTGGGGTCGTTTTTTCCTCAAATCAGGAGTCTCTTTTCCTCTAGATTTTGGCCCTGTGTCTCAAATTACCCCACAGTGGGGGGTGGTGAAGTATCTTTCTCTGTGGGTCTAGGGTCTCTCTGTCTCAGGGTCTGGGGTCTGCATCTTTAGGACCTCTGTCTCTCTCTGGTGTGTTTTTGAGTCAGGGGTCTCTCTCTCTCTCACAATCTGGGCCTCCCGGAGTAGGGGTGGGGGCTGCAGAGTCTCTCCCTCCTCCTCCTCCTCCTGCTCTCTTCGCTCTCGCTCGCTCCCCCGCCCCCCCTCTCTCTCGGCTGCCGCTGCTGCCGTTGGCTCTTATTCTCCTCCTCCTCCTCCTCTCTCCTCCTCTCTGCTTCTCTCTGCTCCTCTCTCCTCCTCTCTCCTCCTCCTCCTCCTCCACCTCCTCCTCCTTCTCCCCCTCTTTCTCCCCCTCTTTCTCTCTTCTTTCTCCCCCGTCCCCCCGCCCCCTCCCCCCAGGCCTGATGAGCAGGTCTCGAGCCTCCATCCATCGGGGGAGCATCCCCGCGATGTCCTATGCCCCCTTCAGAGGTACGTGGTGGGGGGAGGGGGAGGGCCATATGGGGGGCAACAGGGGGAGGGGCAGGGGGCGGGGGAGAGTCGGGGCCGAGGGAAGGGAGCGGCTGAAATGGAGGGAGAGGGGAGGACCGGGAAGGCAGGGGTGGGAGCAACCGGGAAGGAGGGATTGGAGGCCAGAGGGATAGGGGTAGATAAGGGATGGAGGGGCCAGGAAATGGGCCTTGAAAGGGGGCTGAAGGGAAAATGATGAAGGGGAAAGAAAGCGCCAGAAAGGGGTGGGAAGGTAGAAGGATTGGGTTGGGGAAAAAGCTGCAGAAATAATTTGGGGGTGGGAGCTGAGTGATGAGGAAAACATCAAGGAAATAGAGGGACAGAGTCTTGGGAGAGGGGCTAGGAAGGAGAAATGAAAACATAGGGGTGAAAAGAGAAGCCAAGAAGATGTGGGGGGATAATTTGGTGGGGGACTCAGAGTATGGTAAGGGGCGGAAAAAGAGAGGAGGATGGAGGGAGAGAAGGGGCCAGATGGAGAGAGAGGGAGGCAGTGGGGGGTGGGGGGATGGAGGGTCCAGATGGAGGGAAGAGAGAAGAGAGAGGGAACGGTGGGGGAGGGGAGACCAGGGCAGGGGGAGGGCCAAATTATGTGTGCTTGGGGGGGTGGCAGTACAAGTAAGATGAAATGATGGGAGTAGGGGACAGGTTAGGATCCTGCCCCAGACTCTGACCCTCTTAAAGGCTCTTGACCAGTAAAATGTAACCTCTGGGGTCTTAATGCTGTCTTCACTTCATCACTTTTACCCCCTTCCCCCACCCCTCCAATCCTTATTTCCATTCCCCCTCCCTCCTCTGCTGTCCATCACCTATATCTTTCCCCCCATATGGTGTCCGTTCCTTATATGAGTCCCCCTTCTGTCCTTCCCCTATATCAGTCCCCTCTCTGGTGTTCATTGCCTCTCTCTTATCTCTTTTCTATGTGGTCGCTCCCTTATATCTCTATCACTTCTTTACTAGTCCGTCTTGACCCCTTCTCATAGCCTCCGCATTAGGTCTGCCTCCTTTGCTCTGACACATGTCCAGTCGAGCCCTTCAGGTGTATTCCCTTGCCCCTGGGCATTTACCATCATTTCTGCCTCCTTTTCTATCTACTCCTATTATTTGTCTCCCAGACCATTCCTTGTCACCACAAGTCTGTGCCTACCCACTTTCCCTTAATACCTCAACTCTTATTATCATTTCTCTTTTCTTGTCTCCTCTACTTATTGGGGTGTTGGAGATTTGGGGTACAAAGACACAGGTTTTGATGATTAGAACAAGGGATCCCCATCTCAGCCCTTGAGGGATTTCTCATCCTAGTAAAAATTTCCCGTTTCTCAGCCATGTTGCTCTGCCTCTTGCATCTGCCTCCCAGAATCATTCTTCACCAAGTCCAGACAGTATGTGTGTGTGTGTTTCTAGAGTTGTTCCTAAGTTCCCTGCTGCCAGGAGAAAGATGCCCTCTGAAGTCTAACCCGCCTCCCTTGGCTGCAGCCTGAACCAGCCCTTTCCCCAAATGCTTATGTGTATCAACAGATTTCTCCTCTGGGTATACCAAGTGTCTAAGTGCGGTGGGCATGTTGCCTGCAATGTCTGTAGTTTCAGAGGCTAGGTATTGGTGATCTCTGTATCTAGAGAACATTAGTTAGTCTCTGAGATGGGTTGAGATAGAGTTTCAAAGTATGTGGTTTCTAAATGGTGGACATTCTGAGGGTTCATCGCTCACTGTGATCTGGAGGTTGGGTAAATTTGAGAGACATATTTATAGACAGAAAAGGGCTGAATTTGCAAAACTCTGCTACTCAGTGCATTCTGTTGGAATGAAGCTCAAAGACCAGTTCTCCTGCAGTATACTCATGGTTATCCCATAAAGGTGACAGAGTTTGATCTTTTTTCCATCTAAAATCTGATACCTTAAGCCTAATTTCTAGCTCTTTGCTGTCGCCAATGTGACATCTCTCTTACTTCAATAGGGCCTGTGTGGCATTGGGGTTTAAAGGAGAGGCAGTTTGCAGGGAGAGCGGCATGGCAAGAACAACAGAGCTGGGGAAGGAGGACCCTGGTCTCATCTCAGCCATAGGCGACACTTGGTCTACTGTTCTCTCTTCTCAAAGTTTTGTTCCCATCTCCAGCTCTTGTCTTTGGAGGCCCCTCTGTGTCACCAGGCCTGGATATTCCATTCTTTCCCCCTGACATCTTTCTTCCTCAAGCTCCTCACTGTGCCTTGAGAAGGCTCCTGACCTATGGAGTGGCTTCCATCCTGTCCACTGAGACTAGGTGGGGTGAGGTGGTGGGGGCAGTGTTGAATCTCTGGGCACTGAATGGGAGAAGAGATAAATTTGGTCTCTACTTGTCCAAACAAGGGCATATTTCCCACCTTCTGCCCTGGGGCCTCCACAGCCAGATGCCGACAAAAGCCATCTTCTCCTTACCACCAGAAGAACCAGAACTTTCCCTAAAGGATGAGCAGGGTTGAACTAGGGGAGGAGGGCACAGAGGAGGGAAGAGTTGGGAGGGGAGGCCCTCTCATGTCTCTGACTGTGAACAGGTAAGCTCCCCGACTTCTTCTTTTCTAGATATTTAGCCCTCAGAATCTCATGATCCCAATGTTCCTACACACACACCCCATCCTTCTTTCCCACAGCCATGTAGCTTTCCTCATACTCTTTTATAGAGGGGTGGTGCCACCTTCCAAGTCCTTGTCTTCTGCAGCTATTTGGATGCCTTCCTCTACCCAGATATCTGACACCAACTTCTCTGTTTTTCTCCTGCCAATTTTGCGGCACCTCTACCTTATTTTCCTGAAGTAGATGGAGAGCTCCTTCATCTTTCTCTGCCCCCAAACGTGTACCTTCTCTGTCATATAATTCCCATCCCTGAACCTCTGCATTTCTTCCCCCAAGTCTCCAGAGCCTTCTGTGATGTGATCCTCTCCTCTTTTCCCCTTTGTATAAATGCTTGTCTTGTGTTCCTTTAGAGTTGCCAGGTGTCTCACTTTCAACTGTGATCTCCTGAAGGCCGGTAGGGTCCCCTTCTCACTTTGTGGACTCTCTTCTTGCCATTTTAGGCCTCTGCTTCCAAATGCATAGAGCCTCCCTTACTGTTTCTGTGTGTCTCTGTCCTCCAGATGTACGGGGACCCTCTATGCACCGAACCCAATACGTTCATTCCCCGTATGATCGTCCTGGTTGGAACCCTCGGTTCTGCATCATCTCGGGGAACCAGCTGCTCATGCTGGATGAGGATGAGGTGAGTGTGGTGAGAAGGCTGGGAAAACGCATGTGGGAGAATGGGGAGAGTCCTCATTAGTGAAGGGGAGAGAGACACAAAGAAGGCAGACAAAGAAGAAACATTTGCAAATGGCAGGAGGGTGGCCATTGAGACTTGGGTTGGAGTGTGACAAGAGGGGTAGTCATTCTCTCATCTTGGGCAGGGAGTCTTTGAGGGTTATGAGCTGTGTTGGGGAGGAGATGTGGTTCTGAAGATTTCGGGGGTGGGGAGGCTCCTGTTTTCACACTGTCCATATTGTAGGATAGGTTAGAATGGGGAAGGGGAACTGAAGGGTTTGGAGAAGGGGTGAAGACATGGAAGGCCCTCCCAACCAAAGCAATCCTCAGGACCCCTCTCTGCTTTGCCCACTGAGCAAGACTCCCAGTCCTTTCTCCATCAGGGGGCAGAGTGCAAGAAGAGAAATTGCAGGACGCAGAGAAAAGGCAGGGGATAGAGGAGGTTTTAGGTAGCTGGAGGATACTGGGAAAGAAGACTGAGGTCAGTGGATCTTGGCATGATGGGGTGAAGACTGGGAGAGTGATTGAGATCAAGGTTTAGAGAGACACTGAGAGGGCTTCTGCAAGGGAGTGGTTGGACATCAGGAAGGAATATAAGGGAGGGGAACTGGGAGTATGTGGAGTTATCTAAAGGAGTACAAGTGGAGTAGGGGCAGGGACTAGCCAGAGTAAAGGAGATGAAACGGACAGAGGCCTCTTATGGGAGGTGGTGGCCAGGTATGGAGATCTGAGAGCCAGGGAAGTGTGGGTTCTGATTTGGGAGCTGGGTCAGCAGGAGTGTCCATTGGAGGAAATAGAGGATAAAAACTGGAATGGTGCCCCACAAGTGTGAGTCAGGGAATGGGGGTGATTTGGGGGACAAGCTTTAAAAAATGGTAGGGTAGCCTGGAAAACCAAACGTGGTGAGAGATGGACCCTGAAAGTTATTGGGAATGGTGTGATGAGGAAGGGTTAGAATTTGAGTCAGGGCTAACTAGAGTGTCAAGGGACCTATGGGGGCAGGTGAGAGTGTGGAGAGATGGCTGGGTAGACAGCTTCCAGGCCACAGAGTAAAGTAGAGGTGTTAAGGAGAGGATATGGTGACTTTGAAAGGAGAGGTGGCTTGGGGAGTCTAAGTTTTGGACACCATTGGGAGACATTTGAGTGACTGTGGTCAAACCCCTAGATCAAGGTTTGGAGTCTGTAGGAGAAATGGGGGAAACTGGAACCCAGAGTGGGGACTGTTATAGGGATGAAGAGGGAAGACAATGGATTGGGGTAATGAAGGAATGACAGAGATAGGGACAGACTGAAGGGACCAGTGGCCAGCAAGTTGAGGGGCAATAGGAATGGCCGGTCTGGAGCAGGAAGGGCGTGTGTGTGGGAGGAGGAGTAGATAGAATTGGGAAAATGAGCAGCCTGAACAGACGCAGGGAGTTGGAATTGGATGGGTGGTGGAACTGGGGCTGGGGGATAGTGAGGGGTCTGTTCCTGTGGCTCTTTGTAGAGGTGGAGGAGACTGCAGGGGTGGAGGTGTATGGAGGTAGGGATGGAGGTGGACAGGGGGAGCTGGGTGTGAAGCTTAGGGAAAGGTGATGGCTGAGGGGAAGAAGGGAACTGAGAGATGCTGGGTCGGGTGATGGAAGGAGATGAAAGGTGGGGGAAGGTGACCAGGCCCTCTGGCGGGAGGGGAGGTTGGGTCCCAGTCTGGCCGCAAGCCGGGCCGTGGGAGGGAGACAAGCTGTGGATCCTGATTATAAATGCAGCTTCTGCTACCCCCGTGACAGGCTCGGAGGGAGAGAAGGGGGTAAGGGAGGTGGGAGGTTGGGAGGAAAGCAGGGAGAATGGAGGAACTGAAGGTCAAGGGAAAACTGGATTCAGGAAGTAGCTAACTTCTGAGGAGTTGCAGAAGAGCTGAGTAGGGTTTGGGAGAATTCTCCGGAAGGTGTTTCAAGACAAATGGAGGGAGAAAAGAGGGTGGGACGGCAAAGAATGAGAGAGAGAGACTGGGGGAGAGAAGGGAGAGATCCAGTCACCAAGTGTGGAGGGGCCGGGGCAGAAAAAGTGGGCAGGCTTAGGGGGAAAAGGAGGCCCGCCCTTCCTGGGAGGAGGCGGAGGGGGGAAGAGGGAGGGGAGGGGCGGCGTGGGCCAGGGAGGTCTGACACACCCCCACCTCCCCTAGATACACCCCCTACTGATCCGGGACCGGAGGAGCGAGTCCAGTCGCAACAAACTGCTGAGACGCACAGTCTCCGTGCCGGTGGAGGGGCGGCCCCACGGCGAGCATGGTACGGCGGCCGAGCAGGCTCTCATGACCCGGACAGGCGCGGGGAGAGGGCTGAAGATGGACCGGGCTGGCGGGGCGGGGGCGTCGGGGAGCGGCGGGAGCTGGCCGGGGGCGGGAGAAGGCGGAGACAAAGTCTTGCTTCCCGAGGGGAGATGGCGCCCTCCTCTGGAAGGTGGAGCGGGACAGGGGCTGTGGGTGAGAGGCCCCTGTGGGTCCTCGCTCGGCTTCGCTCCCTTTCTCCTCTCCAGCAGTGAAGTTTGACTATTTTCCTGGTGCTTGTAAAAATAGTCTCCTTAGATCTTTAGCTTCCAGTCCGTGTGTTCCTGCCCCTGCCCCTCCCAGCCCCTGGTCTGGGATCTTGGAAAGAATGACCTAGTTCCTGCCCTCCCCCCAGACCTCTTCCCCACCCCTATGCTCCTGATTCTTCTTCCGGACCTTCAGTCCTTGAGGTCTCCTTTTATTACCCCCTGTTTTCTCCTCTCATCAGCTGCTTCTATTTTCTGCAATTGTATCACCCTTTCTCTTTCCTCCCTGATTTCTCTTATTTTCTGTACCCCTCTTGATTACCCCGTCCCTCCCCTCTGCTCCCGGCGAAAGTCCATCAGACTCCCATCTCATCTCCTTTCTGTCTGTAGAGCTATCTGCGCGGTCTGTCTCTCCAACTCTCTCCCTCTCTCCATCTGTCTCTTCCCCTCCCTCCCCCTTTCTGCCCCCCCAACCCCCTCTTTAGTCATTTAAAAAAAGATTTTTGTCTTCCTGAGAAGTTCGCTTAAAAGGTTTCCATGGGAACAGTGAGGGGAGATGAAGGCAGAGAACAGAGATCTGCAGCCAAGGTGCAGAGAGACGCCCTCAGCCCCCGGAAACCCCCTCGTCACTGCCCCCTTCCACTTCATTTCCCTTCCCGGACCTAGCGATCCAGGTTCCCCATTCCTCCAACCCCCAGGTGACCCCTTTTTCCCACCAGCTCCCCCTCCCTTCAGGAATTCAAGCTACCAGTTTCTCTCCCTTAGAGAGCCAGTGACCTGTCCCCATCCTTTGGCTCCTTCCAGCCTTCTGATAGGTCCAGGCCCTACTAGCCTTGTGGGCCGGTTTGGGGACCTTGGGTGGGTGGGTGGGTGGTCAGGGATGTGTGTCATTGTCATGGAAACCCCATACCATCGGGGTGTGTGGGTAGCACATCTCTGTGAGGCAAAGTCAGGTGGTGGTGGAGTGTATACAGAGAATGTGTGTGATGTCTGTCACATCTGTGTGTATATGTATATGTGTGTATGTCATGTTCATGTCTGGGGAAGATGTGTGTGTTTGTGTGCATGTGTGTACACCTGCGTTTCCAGGCCAGAATGGTCACATGCTCACAGAGCATGTTTATCATGTGTCCTGTGGTTGGCAGATCTGCCCACTTATTCCCCATCTTTCTCCTTATCCTGAGTCCTCAGGGTCTAGGGGTCTCTGGCGGGGGTCTCCCGTGTGTTTTGGGTGGGGACACCGTGTGTGTTTGGAGTTGAGGTGGCATGTGGAGGTTGCTGTATTGGGGTTCAGTAGGGGCTGGGAGGGGTTCCAGGGGCATATGTATTTGGGGGGAGGGCTTAGTGAAAGTTGATGGGGGTGAACGTTTAGGGTCTTCAGGCAGACATGGAATGTGTAAAGGGCATGGAGGATGTGCAGTGGACATAGGGGTCGTTGGGACCTTGGGGACTTGGCAATGCCAAGGTGTTTGCTGAGGCTGTGGACTCTCCAGCCCGGGAGAGGTCGCCGGACCTTTGAGGGGCATTGGAATCCTGGGCTCCTCCTCTGCTGGGTGGAGCCGCGAACCCTCGTTCTCTCCGCGGTTTTGTGTGTGTGGGGGGGTCCTGCTCAGGAGGGGATGGTGGGTGGCCTGGTTTGTTTTGGGGGTCCCCTTGCCCCCCTCCCCCGTCTCTCTCGCGCTGTCTCCGGGCGACAGGGCTCGTGACAGAGGCGGCCACGGCAGCAGCGGTCGCCTAGCAACGGCGGCGGGGCCCGGGCAACGGCGGCAGCGGCGGGAGCGGCGGCGGAGGGAGCCGTTCCCGCGGCCGTCACCGCGCGGCCGTCCCGGCCGTCCCGGGCCCCGCCGCCGCCCCCACCGCGCCGGGCGGCGCGAGCCGGGCCGTACCGCCCCCTCTCCCTCCGCACCCCGCCCTTCCCCCGCGCAGGGGCGGGGCCCCTCCCCCACCGGGGACACCCCTGGCCCCCCCGGGGGGCGGTGCGAGGTAAGGGCGGGGCCGGGCGGACTAGGAGCGCGCGTAGAGGGGGGGGCGCCGCGCGCGTGGGGCGGGGGCGCGCGTGTGCGTGGGCGCGGGGAGGGGGGTGGGGAAGCCGCGGTGGCGGCGGCGGCGGCGGCAGCTGCTCCCTCCGCATGTTCTCGCTGCATCTTCCGAGTGGGGGGAGTTATGGTAACCGGAGGGGGACAGCGGAGGACGGGAGGGTCGGGGACCGGCCTCGTGCGGACAGGGTCTTGAGCACGCGGGGGCGGCCGGTGTGTGTGGGATCTTGGAGCCCCTGGTGGAAGGGGCAGCCCGTGTGTCCGCGTGTGTGTTCGTGCCCATGCTCGTGTCTCCTGTGTGTCGGTGCCATGTGCACACGGGGGCCCAGTTCCTCGTGCACACATGTGCAGCCATCCTTGTGCAAGTGTGTCCTGTCTTATCTTGCCTCTGCCTGTTTCCTGCCTAGGGGGCTGTTGGGCCAGCCACGGGCTTGTGGGGCAGTCCGCGGCCTTGCTGGTCCATGTCACCTCTGACCCTGAGCATGCATATCCCTGGCTGGGGCTCACCTCCTGTCAGGCTTCTGTGTGTGGGAATGTGTGGCCCTATGAGCAGGATTTTCTGTGTCCCTGGTGGCAGGTGTGTGTCTTTGCATGTGTGTTCCAGCACTGGCCTGAGTATCTGTGTCAATCCCAGCATGGGTGTCCAGGGCGTGTCTGGATGTGGGTGGTGTGGCTGGGGGGAGTAAGTGTGTGAATGTGTTCCTTGGAATTCTACTGTGTATGAAACACCTTTGGGCTGGGCAGGTGTAAGCCCTGCTTGGTCAGTAAGTGGGGACAGAAAAGCTTAAAAAGGGAAGAAATGGGGTAAAGAGGAAAAGTGGGGAGGGGATAGGAGAGAAGGAATGAGAGAGGCTTGAAGAAGAGAGCAGAGAGCAGCAGGCCAGGGAGAAAGAATAGCTGGAGAATGGGAATGTGGGAGAAAGCCAAGCCAGACTTAGAAGAGAGAACAGGGGATAAGAGCTTAAGATGGGGAACTGGATAGAGATGGTGGGAGAAGAAGGGGTCTGGGAGCTGGGGAGGCAGTGGGGAGGAGAGAGTCAGGCCTTCTGGTAAAGTGATCTCTGAAAGAAGAAAGGGAAGAAGATGGGAGAAGGCACTGGATTCTTGTAGGCCTTGCAGGATCAGGCTTGGTTTTGGATCAGGGAAGGCCACTCAGGCATACGGGCTGGCTCACAGTGAGGCCTGTCATAGCAGGGACTGTCATTAGAGGTTCATATCCCCAGCACAGAGCTCTGTCTCCCATTTCTCTGCTCTGTGTCCAACCCTGTTCTTCGCCCTTCTCTGGCAACCTCCCTCCTCTGGCTCCCCTTGAGAGCTGCCAGCTGGGTGTGGAGAGGAAGAAAGGCCAAAGGGAAGGTTAGGGATTTGGAGGGCAGGGGGAGATTCTGTGGGTGATGGCAAGATTAGAGATGTTGGAGGGGCAGGAGTCCAAGCCCTTGCTGTGTGTGTGTGAGTGCCATTGTGTGTGTACACAGGGTGTGTACATGTGTGGGTGTGTGCACAATGCCTGTGTTACGGGTTTGTGTAGGTGGCTGTTATGTGTGTGCATGCGTGTATACATCGTGCAGGCATGGGACATGGAGACCCAGGATCACAGTTTGTGCTTTTCAGGTTTGCTGTGTGTGTGTGTACACGGGTGTGTGTTGTTTTCTCTGTACATGTCACTGCATGCAGCATTAATAACAGGATGTTCTGTGTTTCTGTCACTCTGCCCCCCCTTTCCTCTGTGTTTCTGCTATTCTTTTCCTGCGGCAACAAAAGTGTTTAATAAGCATATGTGTATGTGGCCTCTGTGTACCTGTGACTTATGAGTGAGTTCATGGATCTTAGTTCTTGGTAATATGTGTAAGGTTATATTACTTCCAAGAACCAAGCAAGCCAATTAGCAAATTTGTTCTTCTGTTAATGCTTTAGTTCCAAAGCGGAATTTTAATGCATTTAAAGTTAGACTTTATGCCTTTATTAGATGAGCTTGCACATGAAAATAATGGCTGAGCTCGGTTCCCTGAAATGAGAGTGAGGCAGCCATACCTGAGAAATGCAGAAAAAATGTTACTAGGGAAGAGATATCCTGAACCATTGGATGCATTGCTTAGTGTGTACCAGAAGGATAATTAACACATTTGCTCCTGGTTTTTCTTTACTCTGGTGGCAATCTCGGATGCCTGTGTTAGAGTGAGAGAAGGGCTGGGGGAGGAAAGGGGGTTGTCCTGAGACAGAGTGGATGTGGTTGTACTTTTCACGTGAATGAAAGGATGTTTGTGCTTCTGAGATATGGGGATACCTTTCTGTGGTCAGGATCATGGTGTACTCAAGCATGTATTTCAGGGGTTAAACTGGAATTCCCCTGCATGGGGATATGTGTGTCTTAGGGTTATAGGTCCATTTCTGTAGTGTGCTGTCCACATGATTGCCCAAGAGACTTGGGCCACAAAGTCCACACCAGCAGCTCTCATGTGGGTCACTGGGTTCAAGTATGTACTCCCTTGTTGCAGAGCTCACATATGTCAAAGCATGTATCCTGTGGGGTGTGTGGGCCTCAGGGTCTCAGAATGTGGATCCGTGCTATGCCCGTGCTCACAGTTGTCTGTATGTCTCAAAAGCACATAGATCCCCAGTTATTTTTCTGTATTGTGGTTCTCATATACACGTACCTCCATAGCTCAGTATATGTTTCTGTACTATACACCTGTTCCTGAGGGAGTGATAGGGTTCTCGTGTCATGGGGTCCACATTTTTGTATGCAAACCTCCTAACACCTGGGTTTTACAGGTAAAGGGAAGCTGAGGACTGATTCTAGGGCAGTTTGCAGGCAATTTGCAATTCTGGAAGCAGACAGTGAAAATATAATTGTGGTCCTCCCTTGTTCTGTTCTGGAACCTAGAGGGTTAACAGGCAGCTCTTCCGGTCCACCCCCCTCCTTCCAGCCTGTAGCTTCTTGTTGCCGTGGAGATGGTGGCCCCGCCCCGATGCAGCACCTGCCCCCCCATTGGCTGCAGTGGTGACTGTGGGGCTGAGGGGGGAGCCCAGGCCTGGGCAGCCATTCTGGAGCTGGAGCCGGAGCTTGGCATCCCCCCACTTACATTCTCTTCCAGCCCCTCGGCCCCTCTAAATTCCCTTGCAGCCGAGCCTCAGCTTCCTTTTTCAGCGCTTGCCATCCCTCTAGGCTCTTGGCAGACTGAGCTGCATCCGCATTCACCTCCCCTCCTCCTCCTTTCCCTATCCTTACTTGGGAGTCCCGAGAACCCCCACTGTCCATCCTTCCTGCTCCCTGCCCATTCCCCTGCATTCTTTGCTTTTCCCCTCCCCCCACCAACCTTCTGAGCCCCTGCCACTGCAGTGCACGTGGAACCGGCTCCTTCTCCCTTCCCCCCACCTGCCCCTTCCTTGGATTTTCTGTCCCCAGCTTCTCCCCCTGCTACTCTTCACAGGTCTCTTCCAAGACCTCCCCCTCCAGTCCAGGGAGGGGGTCATGGGAGGCAGCCCTGGCCCTCCAGACAGACAGGGGTTCCAGGAGGTGGGGGGCAGGTGGAAGATGTGCCCACCAGGGGGAAGAGGAAAGCCTGCCTATGGGCAATGACCTTTAACCCATCTTTCCCCCCAGCTAGCCCCTTCTGGGGTGGGTGGGCACCAGGGACCTAGCCTCCCTGGATCTTTGGTGTCCTTCATTACTGGGGTTTTACTGACCCTCTCAGCCATGCTCCCCTGCTGACTGCCAGCCCCAGTCATGGGCCTAAGGCCTCCCACCCCATCCCCCTCAGGGGGCTCCTGCTCAGGTTCCTTGCCCCCTCCTTCCCGCTGCCAGCCTCTCCGCCGTCGCTGCTCTTCCTGCTGCTTTCCGGGGGGTAGGTGAGGCCGGAGCTGAGGGGCAGAGGGAGGTGGGGGCATGCACTGGGGTCAGGGGTGGGAACCTGGGTTAACAGCTTCCCTTCTGGCCCCCTCCCCAACTTCCCTTCTGGCCATTTCCTCCCCTCCAGAATACCACTTGGGTCGCTCGAGGAGGAAGAGTGTCCCAGGGGGGAAGCAGTACAGCATGGAGGGTGCCCCTGCTGCGCCCTTCCGGCCCTCGGTGAGTGGTGCCTACCAGATGTGGCTCAGTTGGGCCCCCTCCCCTCCAGCCCCAACTGGGGCCCTAGGAGTCTGAGAAAGAGGGCAGGAGGGGGAGAGAGGGAGTGAGAGTGAGAAAAAGAGTGTGTGTCTGTGTGTGTCTCCCCACCTCTTTGGTTTCCCCCTTCTTGGCTCTGCCCCCCTGCTTCTGAGACCAGCCCTCCCACCTTCTCCAAGCTGTGTGTGTGTGTATATGTGTGTGTGTGTGTGCTTGCACTGTACCCGTGGGAGCAAGGAAGACAAACTGGTATTAGGGTTCCTATCCCCCTTTCCTCGCCTCTGGAGACTTCCCTTTTCCCCATCCCACTTTCATCCAGGGGCTCTCTACCAGCTGAGGGATGAGTAGGTAGAACTGACCCTGCCCCAACCCACCCCATCCCCATTTCCCCCCCAGCAAGGCTTCCTGAGCCGACGGCTAAAAAGCTCCATCAAACGAACGAAGTCACAACCCAAACTTGACCGGACCAGCAGCTTTCGCCAGATCCTGCCTCGCTTCCGAAGTGCTGACCATGACCGGTACAGGGGCTGGAGCATGTGGGATGAGATTGATGTAATGTAGGGTCTCCTGTGTGAGATGCAGAGGGAGGGGGTTATCTGTGTGCAAAGGTTGAAGGATTCAACTCAAGTTGGTTGGGGGATGTCATGGCACAGGGGACAGAACAGAAAAGAACTAGAATAGGGATCTGTGAGCAGCAGGAGAGGGGTAGGGTGGCAGAGAGAAGACAGACAGACAGGCTGGAAAGGGAATGAAGGTGAAGCCAAGGAGGGACTCCTCAGGGACTCCTCAGGCCAAGAAGGATGGGCTCTAGCCCAGGATCAAAGGAGCTGTACAGGAGGAGAGTGACCCTGGAGGAATGTTTAAGGAATGCAGGGAAGGGGTTGGTAGGTGAGTGAGCAATAGGCTGTAGGTGGAAGGGTGTCAGGGAAGGTCAGGAAATACAGGGGCAGCAGGTTGGAGTGGGGCTGGGGGTGGCTGAATGAATGGATGATGGCTAGGGCTCAAGGACCTCATCAGTGAGGGAAGAGACAGTATAGAGCATGGCAGAGAAGGGGAGGCTGGGACAGGTGTGCAGGGTGACAGAATGGGAAGCAACCCATGGACTGAGGCATGAAGAAGCAGCCAGCGGAGAAGTCCAGAAGGCACTGTCCCTGAGACCAGGCTGAAGGAGACCTCCACTGTTTGCCTTTGTTGCCTGCCATTTGGGGTTCCTCTCTGGGTTTCCCCCTCACCCAGTCACTCCCCAGGGAGAACCATGCCCTCCCTTTCCCCCATGTCTGGCCACCCCCAGGATTGGGCAGGTAGGGAGGTTGGGATAAAGTGAGTCACACCTTTCCCTGCCCCCCTCCCATGTTGCCAGAGCTGGATTTGGGGCCGGCAGGGGGTGAGGGCATGGTATTCCTGGCCGCGGGGGCGGGGGGGGGGGTCCGGGGGCCGGGGGAGCGTCGCGCTGACGGCAGCCAGAGCCTGCGATGACGGGGCTGCTATAAATAACTTCTTGGAGGCTCCCACACCCAAGCTCCCCTCCCGCTTTCCCACTGCTCTCTACTCTTCATCCCCTGCCCATCTCCATACCGCTTTTGTATTGCTATCCTACCCCTCATTATTCCATGCCCCTAGCCCCCTTTATCTTCTGCCCTCCTGCAGTGATTTTTTTGCATTCCATCCCCTCTTAGCCCTCACCTCGGTTCTCCCGGCCATCTCTCCAGTTGGCCTTCCTCCTCTTCTCCTGTCCTCTGTCTTGCTGCACATACCTTTGTCTCCCCCTTTCTTCTTCTTGCCCTACCTCCTCTTCTTCCCTAGTCCGTGTATTCTGTCTTTTATCCTCTTTGAGCTCTTTTCTGCCCACAGCTTTCTCCTATTTCTTATGCTTTTCCCTCACTCTTTCCCCTGCTTCTGCTAAAACTTGTCCTCTTATGCTGTGTTCATTCATTCTTTGAATCATTAAATGTTTATCAGGCACTAGCCGTGTGCCAGGCCCAGGCTAGACATATCTCTTCTCTGTGCCTTCACTTCTTTACTTCCACTTTTTCCTTTATACTGAGGCTCTGGTTTCTGGGGTTACCTGGAGGTACTACCTAGAAGTGCCCCAGGCCCACTTTGTTCTCTCCTTTTTTTTTTTTCTTTTCTGCCATGGTCCATTTCTGGGTTGAGATATTTCTAGATGTCCCCAGTCCTCGCAATCCCTTAGGTGTGAGATGGTGGGAGTTTCTTTTTTTTCCTTTTTTTTTTTTTAAATAGAAATAGGGTCTCACTGTGTTGCCCAGACTGGTCTTGAACTCCTGGGCTCAAGTGACCCTCCCACCTCGGCCTTTGAAATGTTGGGATTACAGGTGTGAGCCACCAGGCCCAGGTGGAGCAGGGGAGTTCCTTAAAGGATTCTGATTTTTCTCACATCCCTCACGTCCTTCCTGATAGGCAGGGTTTCTTTCTGTGTCTGTTTGGGAAGGGTGTTCAGGGGGCCTTCTCTCCAAGTCTCCATCCTGGAACAGACTGATGATGCAGGGTACCTATGTGTCTAAGAAGAGTAGGGGGGCCGGGCGCGGTGGCTCATGCCTGTAATCCCAGCACTTTGGGAGGCTGAATCACTTGAGGTCAGGAGTTTGAGACCAGCCTGACCAACAGGGTGAAACCCCGTCTCAGCTAAAAATACAAAAAAAAAAAAGAAAAAAAAATTAGCTGGGTGTGCTGAGGCAGGAGAGACGCTTGAGCCCAGGAGGCAGAAGTTGCAGCAAGCCGAGATCACACCACTGTACTCCAGCCTGGGCGACAGAGCAAGACTGTCTCAAAAAAAAAAAAAAAAAAAAAAAAGGAAGAGTGGGAAGCCCTGATCCCTTCCTCTCCTGAACCTCCTGCCTGCCAGGGCCCGGCTGATGCAAAGCTTTAAGGAGTCACACTCTCATGAGTCCTTGCTGAGTCCTAGCAGTGCAGCTGAGGCATTGGAGCTCAACTTGGATGAAGATTCCATTATCAAGCCAGTGCACAGCTCCATCCTGGGCCAGGAGTTCTGTTTTGAGGTACTGGGTCTGGTGGGCTGGGGAGGGCCAAAGGACAGGGGTGATGGAAGGTGGGGGGCAGAGAGGTCTAGAGAAAGTGGCACAGGTGGGGACATCAAGGAAACAGAAACTTCTGGGACTGGAGGAAAGGGTAGGCCAGGGAGGAAGAGAAGGTAGCAGAGTCTCCTCCCCTCTGTAGCCCTTTCCCTCAACTCCACACTCCTTTCTAGGTAACAACTTCATCAGGAACAAAATGCTTTGCCTGTCGGTCTGCGGCCGAAAGAGACAAATGGATTGAGAATCTGCAGCGGGCAGTAAAGCCCAACAAGGTATTGGGGAATAAAGGGGACACAACCTGTGCAGGGCAAAGGTTGCACCAACACGGGAAGCTGGGGGCCTAGGGAGGAAAGTGAGTTAAAGGAGGAGAGGCTTGGGGAAGGAGAGGATTGAGGTACAGTGTATCTGGACAAGCAGGGGGAGACCCCCATTATTCTGAGTCCCCCATTTCTTTTCGCTTTCTGTACTGCTACCCTGCCTTACGATCTCTTTCCCTGCCATAGAAGTCATAGACTTACAGAGTTGATGGGGCTCTGGAAATTCTTTAGTCTAGCTTCCCTGCAGGCAGGAATGCTTCACTAATACCCCGCAGGACACATCAAATACACTTAGCCAAGTTTCTGTACCTTGGTTTCCTCTCTAAGACAGAGGGAACTGGTGGCAATGGGTTGGATTAAATGATCTCTAAGGTCCCTTTGGCACATAAATTCTATGAGTCTGTTCTTCCCAAAACTTCATGCTTCCAGTTCTGTCAGCTATTCTCTGTATCCCAGTTTCTAGCAAGCTTACAGTCCTAGTCACACTCCTCTGGGGGGAACTCTTGTGTCTTGATGTCCTTAAAGAACTCAACCCAAGATGCTGACATGATCTGACCTATGCAGAGTACAAACACCATGTTCCCTTTCAACACACTGCAATATCACCTGAGCCTTACCATTAGCTTGTGCTCAATTGTATCCCCCCAGGCCCTTACTGATTCTTTTTTTTTTTTTTTTGAGACAGAGTCTCACTCTGTCACCCAGGCTGGAGTGCAGTGGCGTGATCTTGGCTCACTGCAACCTCCGCCTCCTGGGTTTAAGCAATTCCTGTGCCTCAGCCTCCCCAGTAGCTGGGATTACAGGCATGCACCACCACACCCGACTAATTTTTGTATTTTTAGTAGAGACGAGGTTTCACCATGTTGGCCAGGCTAGTCTCAAACTCCTGACCTCAGGTTGTCTGCCTGCCTCAGCCTCCCAAAGTGCTAGGATTACAGGCATGAGCCACCACATCTGGCCAAGCTTTACCCATTCTATATGCAATTCTTTTTTCACAATTTCTGATAGTCTCTGCAGGACTTTCCAGTTCCCTTCAAATTCTACATTAATATTTTTGGCTTGTTATTCCAGCTTTTGAAATCTTTCCAATACTGTTTGTGTTGTCTAGTGTATGTCTACGCTTCTACAGTAGCTTCCTGGGGCTGCTATAACAAACTGCTACAAACTGGGTCACGTAAAACAACAGAAATTTATTCTCTCACAGTTCAGGAGGCTGGAAGTCCAAAAGCAAGGTATCAGCAGGGCCACGCTCTCTTTGATGCTGTAGCAGGGAATCCTTCCTTGCCTCTTCCTAGCTTCCGGAGGTTGCCAGCAGTCCTTGGCATTCCTGGGCTTATAACTGCATCCGTCTAATTTCTGCCTCCATCTTCATGTAGCTGGCTTCCTTCTGTGTGTCTCTGTATCCTGTATCTCTGTGTCTCCAAATCTCCCTCTCCATATAAAGACACCAGTTTTTATAAGGTGGGTTAAGGGTCCACTCTAATTCAGTATGGCCTCTTTTTTTTGAGATGGAATATCGCTCTTGTTTCCCAGGCTTGGAGTGCAATGGCATGAGCTCAGCTCACTGCAACCTCCGCCTTCCAGGTTCAAGTGATTCTCCTGCCTCAGCCTCCTGAGTAGCTGGGATTACAGGCACGTGCCACTATGCCCAGCTAATTTGTTTTTGTATTTTTATTAGAGACGGGGTTTCACTATGTTGGCCAGGCTGGCTCGAACTCCTGACCTCAGGCAATCCACCCACCTCGGCCTCCCAAAGTGCTGGGATTACAGGAATGAGATACCATGGCTGGCCTCTTCTTAGTTTGATTACATTTGCAGGGATCCTGTTTCCAAATAAGATCACATTCACAGGTTCAGGGTAGACATGAGTTTTGGTGGGATACTATTCAACCCAGTACACCGTCTCACCTTATGATTGCTGTCTGTATCCCACTTTCTTACTGTCTCTCCTCTTTTGGTGTCTCTCTGTCCCTTCCCCCTTTAACATCATGCCCACCCCACCATGCCAGGACAACAGCCGCCGGGTAGACAATGTGCTAAAGCTGTGGATCATAGAGGCCCGGGAGCTGCCCCCCAAGAAGCGGTACTACTGTGAGCTCTGCCTGGATGACATGCTGTATGCACGCACCACCTCCAAGCCCCGCTCTGCCTCTGGGGACACCGTCTTCTGGGGCGAGCACTTCGAGTTTAACAACCTGCCGGCTGTCCGTGCCCTGCGGCTGCATCTGTACCGTGACTCAGACAAAAAGCGCAAGAAGGACAAGGCAGGCTATGTCGGCCTGGTGACTGTGCCAGTGGCCACCCTGGCTGGGCGCCACTTCACAGAGCAGTGGTACCCTGTAACCCTGCCAACAGGCAGTGGGGGATCTGGGGGCATGGGTTCGGGAGGGGGAGGGGGCTCGGGGGGTGGCTCAGGGGGCAAGGGCAAAGGAGGTTGCCCGGCTGTGCGGCTGAAAGCACGTTACCAGACAATGAGCATCTTGCCCATGGAGCTATATAAAGAGTTTGCAGAGTATGTCACCAACCATTATCGGATGCTGTGTGCAGTCTTGGAGCCCGCCCTGAATGTCAAAGGCAAGGAGGAGGTTGCCAGTGCACTAGTTCACATCCTGCAGAGTACAGGCAAGGCCAAGGTGAGTGTTGTGCCCTCAGGGAAAGGTGACTTGGGAATGGGCACTTGCTTGGGGGTTAGTGAGGACAGGGCAAATTCACGAGATTGGGTTGTGCAGAGGCTGACACTTGGATTTTCCTGGGCCTCAGGACTTCCTTTCAGACATGGCCATGTCTGAGGTAGACCGGTTCATGGAACGGGAGCACCTCATATTCCGCGAGAACACGCTTGCCACTAAAGCCATAGAAGAGTATATGAGACTGATTGGTCAGAAATACCTCAAGGATGCCATTGGTATGGCCCACACTCAGGCCCTCTTCTTCCCAAACCTGCCAGATGTCCACCCCAGACCCCAAGTCCACCCTTCCACAGCTTGATACTTCCTAACCCAGAGTCCTAGGACTCCAGCCTCCAACACCTGATTCTGAAATTTCCCCAACCCTGGCCACCCCCTTCCCTGCCCTTGGAAAGTGTGACCACACCCTCTTGTGCCCCCACCCCCCAGGAGAATTCATCCGTGCTCTGTATGAATCTGAGGAAAACTGCGAGGTAGACCCTATCAAGTGCACAGCATCCAGTTTGGCAGAGCACCAGGCCAACCTGCGAATGTGCTGTGAGTTGGCCCTGTGCAAGGTGGTCAACTCCCACTGGTGAGACTGGGAACGCTGGGCTGGGGGGCCAGGGTCGGGGGAATTATGTGTTCATCTGTTCATCTATCTGTCCATCCTCAAAGAGGACTGAGCACCATTTATGGGCAAAGCATTGTTCTAGGCGCTATAGAGCAAACAGGTGAAAGAGGCCTGGTCCCTGCCCTCAGAGGGCCTCCACCAGAATGGGGACAAATTAGAAGAAAAAAAAAAAAAGCCACAGAGCCATAATGGTGTGTAAGTGCTGAGTAAGGGTCCCCCCAACCTCTGTGTGACATAAGGTCAGAGAGAAGGCAGAGCTTTGAGATAAGTGGGGAAGAGGTGCCCCCTTGGGTAGGCTTTGAAGACTGGTTTAGGTTCTGATATATGGACATAGTTGGCAAGAAAGACATTTCAGAAGAAGGCTGTGAGAAAGGCACATGTGTGATGGTGAAAAGGCCCAGGAGTTTTCAGGGGACATTAAAGTAGGTTAGTAGCAATTACATCAGGTTTAGTGGAGCATGTGCCTCATAATGGGGAGTGGCGGGAGAGATGTCTGGGCAGGAAGATTAGCTTTAGAAACTGGAAGGCCTCAAGGAGTCTGAGGTCATTGGTAGGCCTTGGGATGCCATTAAAGGTGTCAGAAATATTGTGATTTAGAAGATTAATCCATAGGCTGGGCACGGTGGCTCACACCTGTAATACCAGCACTTTGGGAGGCTGAGGCGGGCAGACCACCTGAGGTCAGGAGTTTGAGACCAGGCTGACCAACATGGAGAAACCCTGTCTCTACTAAAAATACAAAATTAGCCAGATGTGGTGGCACATGCCTGTAATCCCAGCTATTCGGGAGGCTAAGGCAGGAGAATCACTTGAATCTGGGAGGTGGAGGTTGTAGTGAGCCGAGATCACACGATTGCACTCTAGCCTGGGCAACAAGAGTGAAACTCCATCTCAAAAAAAAAAAATTAATCCATAAGTAGAGTGTATGTAGTAGAGTAGAGGGATGTATGTTGGGGGATGACTGGAATAGAGCCAGCTGGGGGCTCGGAGGCATGAAAGTCAGATCCTGAATCAGAACAGTGACAGAAGTTAGGAAGGAGCTACTGGAAGGACCCTCTCGGGAAAGGATCAGTAGGAATTGTCAGCTTATTGGAAAGGAGGGAGCATGTCTGTGGGGAGTCACGGATGACTCAAGAGGCCATGAGGCTGGTGGTTGGGAGACCGGTGGCCTCATTGA
Source organism: Homo sapiens (assembly GCF_000001405.40). Classification (NCBI taxonomy): domain Eukaryota; kingdom Metazoa; phylum Chordata; class Mammalia; order Primates; family Hominidae; genus Homo; species Homo sapiens. Next base: position 33,440,136 of record NC_000006.12, read on the forward strand.
CAACCAGGAAAGTCAGGAGGAGGAGCCAGTTGGAGGTGTGGGGGCGATGGTGAGCTCTGCTTTACACCAGCCGAGTTTAAGGTGTCAGTGGGACATTGAAGTGGAACTGGGAGGTGCGGGGAGTGAGCTCTGAGCCATTCCAGGGACTGGGGATCATGCCTGGGGCACCTCCATCCCCATTTCCCTGGAATCCAGAAGAGTTGGGGGGTCCGAGCTCCCTGTACCTCAAGTGACCCTCCATCTCTCTCCCATCTCTGTCTCTCCCTGGTGTCTGTTTTTCTTCTCCTCCTCTCCTTGTCTCTCTCCCACACCCCTCCATCTCTCTCCCACGTGTCTCTCCCCTCACCTTCTCTCCCCCTCCATTTCTCTCTCCCTAATCTGTCTGTTCCCTCTGCCATGGCCCCCTTCTTCAAGCAGCCTCCCATCTTGCTCCTGCGGTCCCTCCTTCCCTGTCTCTCTCACCCCTGTTTCCACACCCTCACCTCCTACCACCCCCCTCAGCATGTTCCCTGGAAGCTGAGGGTCTCTGGGGCTCAGTCCCGGTCTCTCTCTTTCTCTCTCTCTCTCTCTGTCTCCCCGACCCTTCCCCCCAGCGTGTTCCCGAGGGAGCTGAAGGAGGTGTTTGCTTCGTGGCGGCTGCGCTGCGCAGAGCGAGGCCGGGAGGACATCGCAGACAGGCTTATCAGCGCCTCACTCTTCCTGCGCTTCCTCTGCCCAGCGATTATGTCGCCCAGTCTCTTTGGGCTTATGCAGGAGTACCCAGATGAGCAGACCTCACGAACCCTCACCCTCATTGCCAAGGTCATCCAGAACCTGGCCAACTTTTCCAAGTGAGGGAAGCTTCAGGAGTGGGCAGGGCAGGGAGTGGCAGGGCAGGGAGTGGCAGGGCTGGGGGTCGGCAAGAAGGGTCTCCTGAGTCCCCAGAGATCCTGAGATGGGGAGGCTATGATACCTTGTGTGTGTGTGTATGTGTGTGTATGTGTGTGTGTGTGTGTGTGTGTGTGTATGTGACCTTTATCTTCTGCATTCTTGGCTAGGTTTACCTCAAAGGAGGACTTTCTGGGCTTCATGAATGAGTTTCTGGAGCTGGAATGGGGTTCCATGCAGCAGTTTTTGTATGAGATCTCCAATCTGGACACGCTAACCAACAGCAGTAGCTTTGAGGGTTACATCGACTTGGGCCGAGAGCTCTCCACACTGCATGCCCTACTCTGGGAGGTGCTGCCCCAGCTCAGCAAGGTCAGCAGATCCCCTCTTTGCCCTATCCCCAGATGGCTCCAGAGGTTCCTGGAGCCTGAGAAACTACCCTTTGAAGATTTTTTTTCTCCCCTTGTTTCTCGAGGTGTCACCACTACTATCCCAACTCAGGCCCCCTCCACCTGCACCCTCAGAGGCCCTCTTAGAGCTGGGCACTGAGCCCCCAGGTAACAGCCTCACCCTTCCAGGAAGCCCTCCTGAAGCTGGGTCCACTGCCCCGGCTCCTCAACGACATCAGCACAGCTCTGAGGAACCCCAACATCCAAAGGCAGCCAAGCCGCCAGAGTGAGCGGCCCCGGCCTCAGCCTGTGGTACTGCGGGGGCCATCGGCTGAGATGCAGGGCTACATGATGCGGGACCTCAACAGGTGAGCACCCTGGGACAGCCAGGCCTGTGCCCTAGGAGCCCTTCTCCTATTCTAGATACTCCTCACTGGGCCCCACATGCATCTCTCTAGGGCTTGAAAGAAGGGAGGAAAAAGCACCAAGTTCTCAGGGGAGACGATAAGGAGACAGGTACAGTCAGTGGTAGGCTGAGAGCCCTTTACAGCCTGAGGGAGTGAGAGATTTGGAGCTCTAGGAATAGGGCTGAGGCTCCACCAACTCACGGCTTAGTTGTAAGCCTAGAGCATCCCTGCTGCAAGCTCTGATTTGCTGTCCCTCTGCCTGCCCATGCTAGTCCCCAGGCTGAGGTTCAGCCAGCATGTCATGTCAGCCATGTGTCAAAATGTTCAAACATCTCAGTAATAGCTAGTGAATAAGCACTTCCCCCAGCCCCCGACCACAACCCCACAGACCTCCCCATGATCCAGCACTTAGAGCAGTGACAGCAGAAGCCTAGCAGGGCCTGCAGCCTGCTCCAGAGTCCCAGCCTCCATTCTGATAGGTGGTGCCCGTGCTTCATTTGCTGCTCATTATTTTGATGATGGCCCTGCTTTTTCCTCTGCCCGTGTCTTCCTCCATGACACCATACCCATCCCACCATTCCCGCCTCTCCTTTCATTTGTCCACATCTCTCTCCTTCTCTGTCTGTGCTCGCCCCTCTTTCCATCTCTCTCCAGCTCCATCGACCTTCAGTCCTTCATGGCTCGAGGCCTCAACAGGTGAGGGGCTCTCCCCTCCCCCGCCCTCCTCTCCTCTCCTGTCTGTTCCCTCTCCCACTCCACTGGCCTTCGCCCTACTCCTCTCCTCTCCTCCTCCATGGACCTCATCTCCTCCATATGTGCCCAGCCCTGCCCCCATCCCTTCTCTTGCTGCCCCCATCTCCCCTCCTCTAGGCCTCACCCCCTTCCCGGAGGGGCCCTGTCCTTTCCCTTTACTCACCTGTCCCCTCCCATCCTCCCTGCCTGCCCTCTTCAGGGCTGCCACCGCTAGCTCTCAGCCCTTCCCTCTGGGTCCCACTTTTCACCCCAAGGCCTGTGCCAGACCACAGCAAGGTTCAATTGCTAGGAGCCCTGACCTTACCTTCTGCTTGTGTGCCCCCTTCCCTTCTGACAGCTCTATGGACATGGCTCGCCTCCCCTCCCCAACCAAGGAAAAGCCACCCCCACCACCGCCTGGTGGTGGTAAAGACCTGTTCTATGTAAGCCGTCCACCCCTGGCCCGTTCCTCACCAGCATACTGCACGAGCAGCTCGGACATCACAGAGCCAGAGCAGAAGATGCTGAGTGTCAACAAGAGTGTGTCCATGCTGGACTTACAGGGTGATGGGCCTGGTGGCCGCCTCAACAGCAGCAGTGTTTCGAACCTGGCGGCCGTAGGGGACCTGCTGCACTCAAGCCAGGCCTCGCTGACAGCAGCCTTGGGGCTACGGCCTGCGCCTGCCGGACGCCTCTCCCAGGGGAGTGGCTCATCCATCACGGCGGCTGGCATGCGCCTCAGCCAGATGGGTGTCACCACAGACGGTGTCCCTGCCCAGCAACTGCGAATCCCCCTCTCCTTCCAGAACCCTCTCTTCCACATGGCTGCTGATGGGCCAGGTCCCCCAGGCGGCCATGGAGGGGGCGGTGGCCATGGCCCACCTTCCTCCCATCACCACCACCACCACCATCACCACCACCGAGGTGGAGAGCCCCCTGGGGACACCTTTGCCCCATTCCATGGCTATAGCAAGAGTGAGGACCTCTCTTCCGGGGTCCCCAAGCCCCCTGCTGCCTCCATCCTTCATAGCCACAGCTACAGTGATGAGTTTGGACCCTCTGGCACTGACTTCACCCGTCGGCAGCTTTCACTCCAGGACAACCTGCAGCACATGCTGTCCCCTCCCCAGATCACCATTGGTCCCCAGAGGCCAGCCCCCTCAGGGCCTGGAGGTGGGAGCGGTGGGGGCAGCGGTGGGGGTGGCGGGGGCCAGCCGCCTCCATTGCAGAGGGGCAAGTCTCAGCAGTTGACAGTCAGCGCAGCCCAGAAACCCCGGCCATCCAGCGGGAATCTATTGCAGTCCCCAGAGCCAAGTTATGGCCCCGCCCGTCCACGGCAACAGAGCCTCAGCAAGGAGGGCAGCATTGGGGGCAGCGGGGGCAGCGGTGGCGGAGGGGGTGGGGGGCTGAAGCCCTCCATCACCAAGCAGGTAGGTGAAGGCAGGAGGAAGGCGGGCTGGGTCACAACAGGGAGGGAAGAAGGAGATGGGGGGTGGGGTTGAAACAGAGTCTGTGGCCTGAAGTTACAATCTTCTTGCCTCCTTTTGGCCATTAAACAAATGTGTATAGAGGGCCTGCTATGTGCCATGTGCTATGCCAGGCACTAAGGATACGGCACTGAACCCTCTTAGCACTCTCATTCCAGAGGGGATTAATCCATAAGTAGAATGGGGGTGACTGGAATAGGGCCAGCTGGGGGCTTGGAGGCATGAAGATCAGATCCTGAATCAGAACAACAGGAGAAATTCTCTGGCATTCAACTCACATCTCTGGCATTCAGAGGTGATAAAGGCTACAGCAGGGCAATAGGACTGGGACTGTCGTCTCCTTTGGCTGTGCTGTTGCCCTCTAAATGTACCCTGCTTTTTCCCACCTTTTCTTTCTCTGTTCGCCCTCACTGTGCCTTGTCCCAGCATTCTCAGACACCATCCACATTGAACCCCACAATGCCAGCCTCTGAGCGGACAGTGGCCTGGGTCTCCAACATGCCTCACCTGTCGGCTGACATCGAGAGTGCCCACATCGAGCGGGAAGAGTACAAGCTCAAGGAGTACTCAAAATCGATGGATGAGAGCCGGCTGGATAGGGTACGATGGGCTCTACCAGCTCCAAGCCCCAGTGTTTCCTTTTACCCACAGGGGAGATCTCTAGTCACTTCCAAGGGAAACCTCCAGGGTCAGTTATGGTGGTAAGAAAAGGCAAAGACCTGATCACCTCTTGAGAAGCCTTCCGTCCATCTGGGGAGACCAGATACACACAGTTGTTAAAAGTCACTTTCAACTCTATTTTGTAGGTTATATATATCATAGACTATCTGGGGATCATCTATTTTAGGCTTACCTCCATGTTCTTCCCCAGGAGGAACATAAGCCCTGGCTCCTGTGACTGCTTAGGAAAGGAAATGTTACTTTACTGGCAGTAGGAGCTAATAAATTGGATGGGGATGGAGGGGGTTGCAGCTATATTACAAGTGATGTCTGGCCTACCCAGTCACTGTCCCATGGGCATAAGTGACAGTCAGTGGGCAGGGAATGCATGTGGTAAAGTAGTATGTATCAGTCATGTGTGAAAAGACCATCCAGACCCTCACTTGGTGGAGGCTGAGGGCAAAGGGCACCAAGAGCTCTGGGGCTAACACAGATAACTTAGCAGAAAGTTACTTGAGGAAGCTGTTGTTCCTAGGGCCTGAGGAAGAGGGCGGCTGCAGGATTAGGTCATATATAAAGAACATATGATCCTAACACGGGGAAGTGGTCTTTGAGCATAGGAAATGTTGGGACTGACTCAGATGGGCTTGACCAGCAAATTTAATGAGAATTAAACCCTAATATTAGCCCCAAGGCAGCCACCGTAGGAAGTTAATTCACATCTCTCCTCTGCATGTAGAAGGGTTGGTGATATATGTATGTATCCTCTTCAGAGAATGAGGAAATAGTCTTTTGAATCATTTTTTTTTCTGTGCTTCAGATGAGGAAACCTTGTTGAGAAAGGCTGTAGACTAGCACTATCCAATATAACTTTCTGCAGTGATGAAATGTTCTGTAATCTGTAGTGTTCACATGTGTCTAGTTGTGATTCAGGAACTGAATTTTTAGATCTATTTAATTTTAATTTTGTAATTTTTTTGAGACAGGGTCTTGCTCTGTCACCCAGGCTGGAGTGCAGTGGTGCAAACATGGCTCGAGGCAACCTCCGCCTCCTGGGCTCAAGACATCCTCCCACCTCAGCCCCCTGAGTAGCTAGGACTACAGGGTCGTGCTACCATGCCTGGCTAGTTTTTTTTCTTTTCTTTTTTTTTTTTTTTTTTTTTTGTAGAGACGGGGTTTTGCCATGTTGCCCAGGCTGGTCTAGAACTTGTGAGCTCAAGTGATCTACCTGCCTCAGCCTTCCAAAGTGCTGGGATTACAGGTGTTGAGCCACTGTGCCTGGCCTAAATTTTAAATAGCTACATGTGGGCTGGTGGCTACCATATTAGACAGCACAGCTGTAGACTCTAGAGCCAATAGGGCAGATAAAATGACTCTTCTGAGCTCTTCCAGCTCTGGAATTCCTAGATTCTCAGCCTAGAATTCACTTGTAGACCTCCTATCCTTGGCACCTTGACAGAGCCAAGGAGAGGGTCACATGGAGGACAGCACCTGCCTTTCCCCCGTCAATTGCCTTTTCTTCCTATGTCTCCAGCATGTGTTCTGGGGCCTGGCTTAGGGCTGAAGAGTCACCCTATTTTTAATTTCTGAGCACAGTTACTCAAGGTGTGTTTGTGAGTGTAGGTTTCTGTGTGGGTCTTCATGAGGGGCCATACATAGACCTCAGGGTGTGGGAGTCTGTGACCTTGCTCCATTTTGAGGGAACCTCAGCACCATGGCAGGGTCTTCTCAAAAGCAGGTGTGTGGATATGATCCACAGGCAGGGAAGGGGTTGGGGAAGGCAGCTGGATGTCCCTCAACATGCAGTGGCTGTGCTTGGCAGACAGGGATGGAGGCTGGGTGGTGGGCTTGGGGTGGGGCGCCCCTCATAGTGCGGGGTCGTGTGCCCGGCGGGCAGGTGAAGGAGTACGAGGAGGAGATTCACTCACTGAAAGAGCGGCTGCACATGTCCAACCGGAAGCTGGAAGAGTATGAGCGGAGGCTGCTGTCCCAGGAAGAACAAACCAGCAAAATCCTGATGCAGTATCAGGCCCGACTGGAGCAGAGTGAGAAGAGGCTAAGGCAGCAGCAGGCAGAGAAGGATTCCCAGATCAAGAGCATCATTGGCAGGTGAGGGGCGGCCTGGGGAGGGGGTTGTGAGGGAGAGCCTGAGGCTGGAGAGAGCAAGTGGGTGAGCTACTCCGCTGACTCCCATCCCCAAACTCAGGAGCCCACCAGGAGAGCCCACCACTCTCCTCCCCAGGAAGCCACCCACTCACTCATCACCAGATGGAGAGAAACCCCAACCTGCTTAGTGCATTAAATATCTCTTTACCAAACCCTGACCTCTCTTCTGATAGAGTAGCTTCGGAAGCCCTTGGAAAATGTACCTGTTCCTGTCCAACCATCACTGCATTTGCATTTACCCTAGGCCAGAGCTCCCCACTAGTTATTCTCAACTTAACCTGTGATGTTCACTCCAAACCTAAGCAGGGCTCCCTAGCCAGAGTAGGCCCTGCCCTTCCTGGGTGGACCCTCCCTCTCTAGCCTTGGAAAGGTGTTCTGTTAGAAAGGGTCTTTTAGCCTGTGTATGTTTTCAGCTGCTCCAGCAAGTCCTGGGCTCCAAAGAGGGTATCCTCAGCAAAGAGGTCAATTATCTTCAGAGTGGTGGGGTCGGGGTGGGGGGGACCCTGGGCGCACTCCAACCAGAGCCACCTCCATTTTGATCCATTCTAAATGTATTTTATGTAAGATTTAATTAGAAGAAAAGGGCTTCTTGAAATATTTTTTGAAAACCACTGCTCTAATTGATATCCTTTATGATAAATCACCTCGAGGATCTTCACAGTGAGGTGACATGGGGGATGCAGAAGCCAGGTCCTCAGCCATGGAAGGTCTGGGGAAGGGGCACTGCTGTCCTGATTGGGACGATGGAGGCCTGGAGGTGTCTGGATGGTAGAAGTCTTTGAGGCACAGAAAGCTGCCTTAGCAGGGAGGTGTAAGGGTTCCTGGGAGGAAGGTGGAGAGCATGATCCTGAGGAACAGGGAGTCTTGCATCACGGCAATGGAGGGACTCTGATTCTAAGGGATAAGGATGCCTGAGGTTTTTCCAGAGAGCTATGGGGTTCCATGGGCAGGCTCTGAGCCTGTGCCCGCCACTAACCCCACTGAAGCCCGTCCCTTCAGGCTGATGCTGGTGGAGGAGGAGCTGCGCCGGGACCACCCCGCCATGGCTGAGCCGCTGCCAGAACCCAAGAAGAGGCTGCTCGACGCTCAGGTGGAAATTACAATGTCATTTATCTTCTCCGTGTCCCATCCCCATCCATCCCACTGTCTTTCGTGCACTCACTACACCAGCCACCTAGCCCCATCACCATCTGTCTCTCATAGTCTGCTGTTTGTCCACTGGCTGCTCCTGGCAGCCCCCTAGTGACCCCATCTTCATCCCATCGTCTGTGCCTTTGTCACTCCTGGCAGCGTCAGCCCAACTCCTGTGCCTTCCCATCCAGTCTTCCCACTCCTCTCTGCATCTCAGGACCTTCTCTACCAGAACCTTGGTCTTTCTGCCCCTAGACCCCACCTAGTTCCAAGAACCCCTGCCCCTTCTTTGCTCACTCCTATTCAAGCCACGTTGTTCAGCTTCCTCTGCGCTCTTGGGCCAGAGGGCTAGAAGCTGCCGTTTTCTGGAATAGAGCACAGGGCAGTATGATCTGTAGTTTCTCCAGGCCCTGGCCGGTACCCTGAAAACTTGGGGACCCATCACCTCTGTTCTCTTGGCTCCCTAATTTTCCTGTCTCCTTGGCAGCTCCTGCATAGCTTCCTCTTCCTGACTCTTCAGATCTTGAAGGCCTTCCATCCTGTAACCTCCCTTTGCCCTCAGTATTTAAGTCCAGCCTCCCTCTGGCCTCCCTCCCACTCTGGCCCTCAGACCTTCCCAGCTGCCTGCTGCCCAGCCTCTCTTCTCACAAGCCAGCTTCTAGGACCTCCCTTCTGCACCCTTACCCCTTGCTTTCCCAAAATTCTGCTCATTTTCCTACCCATACTCCTCTTTGCTCTGACTGCTAGGCTCCCCCCGCCTGCCATCCCCCCACCAAGGCTCCTGACCCCATGACCCCACTCTCTCCCACTGCAGCTCCTCATCAGGTAATTCTCCTGGTTCCGCTTTGGCCACGGGCGGAGGACACAGGGGGAGGTGACTCCGGACCACTGCAGGTTGGTCGTGAAGCCCACTCCCTCCAACACCTCCGGAGCCTCTCCCCTCTCACTGCTGCCCTCCACACCCAGAGAACCTCCACAGACTCCAGCCCTCCGACACCTGCACAGATCCATCTCCCAAGACACCACCCAAAGAGAGCATTTGCTGCTGCTTCCCAGAACTGTCCAACAATACCTTAGCAACACCAAGAGTTGGGCCCTAGATGGGCCCAGCACATTCACAGGTCACACCCACTTCCCTGCAAAACCCACCCCCTCCCAGCCTCCTCCTGACTCTAAGCCCTCCTCTTCCTCTACCTCTCCAGTGTATGTCTGTCACCCCCCATTTCACCAGAGCGTCCTTAGGGGCTGGGGGTGGGTTTGTTAATGGGGTGGAGGCAATGATGGGTTGGAGGATCTTGGCTATAGGGGCTGTGCTGACTGCAGCAGGTAGGTTGGGTTTCCCTCTTCCTTCCCTAATCTTGGTTCTCTACCCTCCTTTCCACTCCTCACCTGATTCTCTCTCTTCCTCCTCCTTATATCTGTGAGGCAGAAGGCATCTGAAGCTCATATTAGCCCCCATTGGGTGGGAATTAGGAGTGGGTAGTTAACTCAGGGAGACTTGAGATACCCTGGAAAAAATGCTATTGAGATGTCCTGACATTAGGCAGGGTGGATGGAACAAGAAGGAGCAAGAAAGGAACCTCAGGCAGATGTTAGGACATGGACTTGATCATGTGGCCTGGGAGTTTAGAAATGGGGAGAGACATCCTCCTAGATCAGATCGTGGGCTCAGTAGGCATGTTGATTCCCAGGGAGAGGTGCCAGGAACAGCATGGTAAAGAATGTACTCTTCACAGCTCACATCCCCAGGTTGCTGATGCCACTCACTCCCCCTCTCCTGCCATCGAGTGGCCTTGCCGGACACATCACCCTACCTAAAAAGCCAGTAAATGAGAACCTGTCAGCTATAGCCATCATTTCTGAGATGCGATTTTCTTTGGGATTGAGCTGCAGTGGGCAGTGGCTCCTTACACTGTAATTTTAATTCTCTGCCTGCCCAGCCTCTCTGTCAAAGTAGCTGGTGATCTATAAAGATGCTAAAAGGCACCAGGGGACTTTGCCATTTAAAGGACTCCTGCAGTGAATTCTTTTGTAAAATGAATAATGGCACCCTAATTTATCCACTTTCTAAATTTGGGTCCATGGGGGTGTCCAGGGCATGCTTATGTGCTGTCACCAGCAGACAAACAGAGGGAATGGAATCTGGGGGTTCCTTCCCTGCTCTCCCGCCATACTCAGGATACCCTACCATAAGTGATTTCCTCTCACTGACTTGCAGAAAATGTGTGAGATACCCAGCAAGCTAAGAAGGCAGTTTTGCTGGGTATCTCATACCCAAGGCTGGGGTTTGGGTGATCTGAGAGGTTAGCTCCTTGATCCTAGGATGGAAGGGAGAGCTTATATAGAAGCTTTTACTTGGAAGGTTTTGTATCCTAAGGTCAGACATAGCTATATTACCAAGCCTAAATGCCATGTGGCCCAGGAAATAATTTGGACATTTGTTCTAAACCACTTGTGGTAGGTATTGGTCTCTCTGCAACTCAGCCATTAATTAGAAATTAGTTTTGAGCCTGAATTTTAAAAAGCCAAGTGTTGCCCCCAGCCCACACACACACACACGGACATGTACAGTACAAACCCCAGATAATTACAACAGCCAAAGAGAGAAGGAAGTGAATTTCCCAACCAGAAGCGTAGGGAAATTCAGATGGCTTTCTTTTCTCCCAGCAGAGGAACAGAAGGCGGAGCTAAGGGCAGGAACCAGGAGTTGGTCAAGGAGCTATAGGAGGTGATGAGAGTAGAACCAGGGGTAGGAGCTGGTCTGGTACCCCTCACCCTCTAATTGGGAGCCCAGGGAGAAGGACTGAAAAGAAGATGGGAGTGGAAAAGAATAAAGCCAGTTTCTGCTTCCCAGGGATGCAGAGATTGGGGCATGCTGTGTCTGCAGAAGCTCCTAGTCATTTCCGCCATAATTGTGAGAGAGAGGGGCAGCCCTCCCACAAGATTTTTCCCTTCCCATATCACTTCCCTGAATCCCCTTCCTTTCCCCCCAGTACAGTTAAACCTCTCTCTAATTTGGAATGTTATATTTGAGAAGATGGCCACTGTGAATAAGTGACAAACGGAATGACAGTGTCTATTTAATGAAATGCATGTCTTCAAAATATATACAGAACTCGATGAACAAGGCTTTTTCCACTCCTCAGGGAGCATGCATTAATGAATAGATAGGATTCAAAAGTCTGTTTTCTGGTATGGGTTAAATATCCCCTCCTACAGACATATTTCCACCACTAATTTGCTTAGTACACCTTTTCTTCACAGATAAAGGAAAATGCAAGCTCAGTTTTTCTTCAGATTATGAAGAAATTCCAAATCCACAGGGGTTTGGATTAATGAGGTTTTGCTGTACTGCCTCCCCTTATTCCTCAACATGAAGTTCCCACCTCGGATTGGGGATGGGTGGGAGGGGGTTTCAAGAGGAGGAGGGTGGGATGGGCAAGGAATATACACAGGTGAAGCCAGAGAAGGGTTAGGTTGGGGGTGCGGTGGGAACTTGCTGTTTTGATCTGGTTTCCTGGTGTGACACTCTGGGTTAAAGGCTTGAAGGCCCCTGTTAGGAGTCTAGGGGTGAGATTCTCTTCTCTCTGATCCCAGAGGACGTTAACTTCTACTGCAGGTGAGAAACAAAATAGGAGGATGGTGGGGACTGTCCTGGGAGGAGGGGGTGGTCCATGGCTTGTGGTGTGGGCTGGCTATAGGGGAGGCCACTGCTAGGGGACTGGCATCCAGGCCCCCTTGAAGCGTCTCAATAAGTCCGCGCTCTCCTTTTTGGTGTCTTGCAGGAGAGGCAGCTTCCCCCCTTGGGTCCAACAAACCCGCGTGTGACGCTGGCCCCACCGTGGAATGGCCTGGCCCCCCCAGCCCCACCACCCCCACCCCGGCTGCAGATTACGGAGAACGGCGAGTTCCGAAACACCGCAGACCACTAGCCCACCCAGCATCAGAGACCTTCTCTTCCTTTCCTGTGCACCCCACCCTGTAACAGCACCAACCACCAGGATTGGACATCACCGAGGAACAGCGGGATTGCCTCCCCGAATGCCTCCCTGGGAGGCACACTGATTGCCCACCCCCACCACTGCACCATTTCCAGGAGGGAGAGTGGGGACCCTCAGCCGCCCCCTTTTCCTTCCCATTGGGGTGCTGCCCTCTCTTTGACCCCCAGGGACCCTTGCCCCAGGACACCGCCTACCCCGTACAGACCCCTTCACTCCGGGGTGCTATCCCCATCCTCTGCCTCATCGTTCCCCTGAGCACTGGGGGACAGACCCTCACCCCCACCCTGGGGGTGTGGCACCTCCAAACTTTCAACTTCAGGGTGATTTTTTTAGCAGTAACCAGAGCTGACAATCTAACTCCCCTCCACCGCCCCATTTTGGCCTCCCCTGCCCCCCTTGTTATGGGGAGGGGACCCCGGGTGAGGGGGCCCTATTACCCCTTGATTTCTCAGGAGCGTCTGGGGGGGCTCAGCACGCACAAACTCCTTCTCCTTCTACCACTCTTAAATTTACTCCCTCCCCACCCAGAACCCAGATGGGGTGGAGGGGGCCACCGGGGCAGGGAGGGGGCGGCAAGGGGGGAATGGGAGTTGTCTCCCCTTCTCCCCACACCTGATCTGCTCTCGGCTGGTCCCAGAGCGGGGTGAGGGGGCTTATGCCCCCCCCTCCCCCAGTGTGTTGGGTGGGGTGGAATTGAGGTTAGGGTGAGGGGTCAGGGTTTAGGAGGGTGTGTATGTTGGGAGGACAGGCTAGTTGATCTGTCCTACTCTGACACACAGTCCCCTCTGCCCCTTCCTTCTCTCTTCTTGGTCTCTACTCCCAGGGGGAGGGGGGAACTTACTCTAGGAAAAGCCATGTCTCTCTCCCCCAGGGTGGGGGGACCTGTGTTGGAGGAGGGGTGTTGGGGGGCCCCCTTCCATGACTCTGTCCCCTGGGGGAGGTAGGACAGGGCTGGGCTTCCCTCTCATCCTCCCCCTCCCAATCTCCTTCCACCTCCCTCCCTCCCGCCAGCTCCACGATTTTTCGGTGTTTCTCTGTACATAGTTTTCTGGCGGGATAGGGGAGGTAGGATGGATGGGGTTTGGGGTGGGTAGGCCATGGGAGGGGAGAAGCCCCTCCTTGGCACCCCCTCTTCCCTGACTGCTGTCCCCTACCCAGCCTTGCCCCCTTCATCCTTTTGCGTTTGGTATTGAGACTCTCCTAGACTCTACTCCTCTTTCTTTTGTATGGACAGTTCCCCTTCAGTCCCATCCCCCTACACATACACCCAGCCGGGGCCAAATTTATACTTATATAAAAGTTGTAAATATGTGAAATTTTATCCCTGTGCCCTTTCCCCACCTCAGGCCCTACCCCTGGACCCTCCCCAACCTTCCTTCTCTCTTCTTTGGCTGTTGTAATTATCTGGGGTTTGTACTGTACATATCCGGGGTGTGTGTGTGTGGGCTGGGGGCAACCCTTCTGTACAGAGCTTCCTGGCCCCCTCCCCCCCCGCCCCTCTGCTTCCCTCCCCACCCACCACCTCAAGGGTAGGGAGTTGCTCTTCCTACCTGTTTTATTTTGTTTTCTCGTTCTCCCTCCCCACCCCACTCCCAGCCTTATCTATCCCCCCTCACTGTCCCCTTTTCTCCACTCCCAGCCCCATTTCCTTTTTTTCTGGAGTGTGTGGTGAAACAGAAAAAAACATGTTTAATAAACGGAGATTGTTCTTTTATCGCTGTGCCGACTTTCTTAGGCAGGGCTCTCCAGACCTGTACGGTGGTAAGATCTGCTTTCTGAAAGGAAGCTGACAGCCTGAGAGGAAAACCGTATATCCCCACCTGATGCCACACTCTCCTCATAGAATGTCACTCTCCCCTCCCAATGAGATTTTTTATATTTTAGAGCAGGAGTTTTGCACCGGCCAAACTTCTCCAATCTAACTCTCCCCTCACCACTGTGTCACTTAGTCCGAGGCCAGGAACAGCGGCGTTATCTGATAAAAGAGTTCATGTATATATCCACATTTATCTCTTTTAAAAATTACCTAGAAATAAGGTTTCTTTAATTGCTGGTTAAAATGCTCCCGTGCAGAAAACAGGAAAGAACCTGCCTGGTTCCTTAGCAAATCTGAGTTCCAGTCCCAGGTCCACTACTATTAGCTGAGTGACGCTTCCAGCCCGTTTCCCCCGCCTGGAAACTGAGGACGGCAACCCCCACCCTCGCAGGGCCGGTGGGAAGACACAAAGTGATGTGGGCAAGTGCCAGGCCCACATGGTAAGTACCCAACTAATCTCGCCCCTCTCAGGACCTACCGGGGGCGGGTGCTACACTTAATCACCGGGAAACGCAGCTTTCCGGGGCGGCTGACGGCCCACCCCCTCCGACCGGGCTGTTCTCTCCCGGGCCCTGCCTCTCGGTCCTCTGCAGCGGGGAGGACTTCAGCAGCTCCCCGGGACGCCCGTTGCGAGGACACCCTGGGCCTGTGCCCTCCTACTAGCACCGCCCTCCTCGTCTGCAGTAGCCAATCAACACGAGGCTTGTAGGCTGCCGTTCCTCGATTGGCTACGGCTCTAGCTCCGCCCGCCGCACTTGGCGACGGTGTCCGGCGGGGAGGCGGCGGCTTCCGGTCTGGGACGGAGCTGTAGCGGCACTGTAACTGCGAGGGCAGCGCCGCGTGTGTAACGGCGGGGGCGTGTCGGCGGGAAGGACAATCGGGCCGGGACTCGCGGTGTCCGGGTGACCGCGGCTTCCCGGGAGCAGACCTCTGTGGGCACTGTGAGGCGGAACGGAGCGGCGGGGCAGGAGCTGTTCTGGGCAGGTGAAGGCAGGCTGGTGGCTGAAGGACCTCCTTCTTATCTTCCACAGGGGCTGGAAGTTAAAACCCCTGTTGGTGTTTAGTGGTGGTGGTTGTTGTTGTTGTTTGTTTTTGCTTTCTTGGTGTGCGGGACTGATTTGCAGAAACCGCCACTGACTTAAAAGTTTCCAGTTATTGCTCGTGGGGAGGGGGTTGTTTGAGAAGATGTGGCTCCCTTTATCCAGGGCTTCTGTGACCTCCATCTTTTTCCTCTGCAGCCTTCATCCCGCGTGGAGTCTACCCCCAAGCCCTTCTCCTCTTCCCAATTCTTGTCACCTTCGAGGAGGCCATGGAAACCCCAACACCTTTGCCGCCTGTACCCGCCTCCCCGACCTGCAACCCAGCCCCACGGACAATCCAGATCGAGTTCCCACAGCATAGCTCGTCTCTGCTGGAATCTCTGAACCGCCACAGGCTAGAGGGAAAGTTCTGTGATGTGTCCCTCCTGGTGCAGGGCCGGGAACTTAGGGCTCATAAAGCAGTGTTAGCTGCTGCCTCTCCTTACTTCCATGACAAGCTGCTTCTGGGGGATGCGCCTCGTCTCACTCTACCGAGTGTCATTGAAGCCGATGCCTTCGAGGGGCTGCTCCAGCTCATTTATTCAGGGCGTCTCCGCCTGCCACTGGATGCTCTTCCTGCTCATCTCCTTGTGGCCAGTGGCCTTCAAATGTGGCAGGTAGTAGATCAGTGCTCAGAAATTCTTAGAGAATTAGAAACTTCAGGTGGTGGAATTTCAGCCCGTGGAGGAAACTCCTACCATGCCCTTCTTTCCACTACATCCTCTACAGGAGGCTGGTGCATTCGCTCTTCGCCTTTCCAGACCCCAGTACAGTCCTCTGCTTCTACTGAAAGCCCTGCTTCCACTGAGAGCCCTGTGGGAGGGGAGGGAAGTGAACTGGGAGAAGTGCTGCAAATTCAGGTGGAAGAAGAAGAGGAGGAGGAGGAAGATGATGATGATGAGGACCAGGGGTCAGCCACACTCTCTCAGACTCCTCAGCCCCAGAGAGTATCAGGGGTTTTTCCCCGTCCTCATGGACCCCACCCACTGCCCATGACTGCTACTCCCCGAAAGCTTCCAGAGGGTGAGAGTGCACCACTTGAGCTTCCTGCCCCTCCTGCACTGCCCCCCAAAATCTTCTACATTAAGCAGGAACCCTTCGAGCCTAAGGAGGAGATATCAGGAAGCGGAACTCAGCCTGGAGGAGCAAAGGAGGAAACCAAAGTGTTTTCTGGAGGGGACACTGAAGGGAATGGGGAGCTAGGGTTCTTGTTGCCTTCAGGGCCAGGGCCAACATCTGGGGGAGGGGGTCCATCCTGGAAACCAGTGGATCTTCATGGGAATGAAATCCTGTCAGGGGGTGGAGGACCTGGGGGAGCAGGCCAGGCCGTGCATGGGCCTGTGAAGCTAGGGGGGACACCCCCTGCAGATGGAAAACGCTTTGGTTGCCTGTGTGGGAAGCGGTTTGCAGTGAAGCCAAAGCGTGACCGGCACATCATGCTGACCTTCAGCCTTCGGCCTTTTGGCTGTGGCATCTGCAACAAGCGCTTCAAGCTGAAGCACCATCTGACAGAGCACATGAAGACCCATGCTGGAGCCCTGCATGCCTGTCCCCACTGTGGCCGTCGGTTCCGAGTCCATGCCTGTTTTCTCCGCCACCGGGACCTATGCAAGGGCCAGGGCTGGGCCACTGCCCACTGGACTTACAAGTGACTGCTGAGGCTATACACTAGCTTCTAGAACAAGATAACCACTGCTGCTGATGGATACTTTTCCCTCACTGCCATGGCACACCAGTCATGGATCTTGTAATCATGCCAAGAGAATAGATACATTATGGACCTCTTGTTCTTAGATATGGGCCTCTCAGCCTGGCAGATGTGGAAACTCAAATTTCTCGTCCCACTCCAGGTTTTGGCTAGCCAACCCTGCAGGAAAGTGGTTTATAGGCCATTCATACTTAAGTTGATCACTTGCCCATGGTGGACATTTTTGTGGTGGTGATGTCCATTAAGGAAACCAGA
The DNA here is from genome assembly GCF_000001405.40 of Homo sapiens. Taxonomy (NCBI): domain Eukaryota; kingdom Metazoa; phylum Chordata; class Mammalia; order Primates; family Hominidae; genus Homo; species Homo sapiens. The sequence goes on from NC_000006.12 coordinate 33,456,834, forward strand.
TTTTCAATTATTTAGTGAGAGAAGAGTTAGAGCAAAAGACAGTGGTAAATGTTTTATTCCGTCTCCATGAGGAATTGAAGGAGTTGGTCTCCACCTAGAGATACATTTGATTTACAGCTTAAGTAATTCAGAGGCTAAGCTCTAAGCTTTTTTCTCTCATTGCTGGAATGATTTAAGCAGAAGTCCTTTTGTGTACTTTTAAAATTGTATCTTTCCAGGAGCCCCTCAGATTGTACCTTGCTTTCTCACCAATAGACACCTTCCCGACACTTTTTTAATGTTGTAGCTGAGCACTTTAACAAGTTGAGCATTCCATGTTTCATTCTTAGAACCTTCTTTAATAGAGGGTCTTCCCTCAACAGCCTGTGCCTCTGGTCTACCTTTGACCACCACTGATAACTAATATATTGGTCACAATGACTGGAATGTGACTAGTGATCTCAGGAGATGGCACTGTCCTAAAGTGCTGTCAGGGTGGCACCACTGCTCTCTGAACAACTTACCTTGGTCAGAGGGACTCAGGTTTGGGACAGCACAAGCTGAAGGCTGGAGAGTAACTTGCATAGTAGGACCATACCTCTTCCTTTCCCATCCCACCCACATATGATAGACAGCCCCTCTGTTGAGATATGGAGGGGACAGATACTGGAATCGGGGGTGGGACTTGCAGTTACTTAAAATTTTTTAATAAACTGTGCCCTGAAACCTAAACTGACAGTGGACTGGATTGAGTAATTTGTGTGGGAGAGAATGTGAGAATGGAGCTGCAGAGCCTTGGGTGTGTTCCTTAGGTGGCTAGGTTATGTTGATGGGGAAGGAATGGGATGGTATCACACCCATTCCTTGGATGGTGCCAAGAACACTCTTCTGGACTTAGGCCCTGACCTGCTACTTAATAACCTTCAGTAGGTTGCCTTACTGTTTTGTTTTGTTTTGTTTTTTTGAGATAGAGTGTCACTCTGTTGCCCAGGCTGGAGTGCAGTGGCACAATCGCATGCTCACTGCAACCTCTGCCTCCCGGGTCCAAGTGATTCTCCTGCCTCAGCCTCCTGAGTAGCTGGGGTTATCAGGCATCCGCCACCATGCCTGGCTAAGTTTTTTGTATTTTTAGTAGAGACGGGGTTTCACCGTGTTAGCCAGGATGGTCTGGATCTCCTGACCTCATGATCCGCCTGCCTCAGCCTTCCAAAGTGCTGGGATTACAGGCATGAGCCACTGCACCTGGCCTGCCTTACGTTTTAAAATCTGAACTAGTACTTTTTTTGGTAGAGTGGTGTGGAACACCTAACTGGTTCTGTTTTCCTTTTTAAAAGAGGTTGGTTCACTTATCTTTTTATTATTATTTATTTATTTTTTGAGACGGAGTCTTGCTCTGTCGCCTAGGCTGGTGTACAGTGACGTGATCTTGGCTCACTGCAACCTTCACCTCCTGGGTTCAAGCGATTCTCCTGCCTAAGCCTCCCAAGTAGCTGGGACTACAGGTGTGTGCCACCACGCCTGGCTAATTTTGTATTTTTAGGAGAGATGGGGTTTTAGCATGTTGGCCAGTCTGGTCTTGAACTCCTGACCTCAGGTGATCCACCCACCTGGGCCTCCCAAAGTGCTGGGATTACAGGCCTGAGCCACTGCACCCAGTCTATTATTATTTTAGAGACAAGGTCTCACTATGTTGCCCAGGCTGGTCTCGAACTCCCAAGCTCAAGTGATACTTCTGCCTCAGCCGCCCAAAGTGCTGGGATTCCAGGCATGAGCCACCGCACCTGGCTGGTTCACATGATCTTTATAATATTCCCCAACTTCCTGTGTTCTCTGTGTTTGGTTGGTTGTTCTACAAACATTCAGTGCAAAGCACTATGCTAGACCCTGATTAATACACTGCCCTTAAAGGGTTCACAGGTATTACCAAAGATAGACAAGCCATTACAACGTGATAGGATAAGTTGATGATAGTGGGCAGTACAAACCACTTGAATGGCACAAAGAAAGCTAAGTAAAGACCTTCTCTAGGTCAGCAGAGGTTTCACAAACACAGCTTCCATGTGCCACAGTGTGGTCATGGGTGTGGGTGGCTGAACTGACACGGAGATGGTAAACAGAGGAGTCGAACTGAGAAGTATAGGGCCAGGGGTGATAGCCTTCCCCAAAGTTTGTTTCTGAAAGTTATGAGGTATGGCACTCAGAAGGGTCTGAAAAATGTGACTGTGGCTAAGAAGGTAAATTCTAGCTGGGATTTGACAGTGTCTCAAAAGAGCCATGCCATGATCCCATCCCCATGATAAGGACTGTGAACTTATTGGGAAAGGGGATGAAGAGGGGTCAACCTGTCTTGGATCTGCTATAATCCCATCCATCAGCTATTCTTGACACATATTCTATGGGTGGCTATATCCATTGGCCAAGATCCTTTGGCTTCAAGCACTGGAAGCTGGCTCTGGCTAACCTCACCAGACAAGGAATTTATGGCAGGATGTGGGGTGGCTCTTGGAATTCAAAGAAGGGCCAAAGGACCAGCCATCAGAAGGATAAGACCTGGGTCAGCGTTGGGGGTCCATGGCGCAGGAACTCCAAGGCATACAGTTTGGGATGATGACTCATTCTTGTTTCTTGTGTCACTCATCTCAAGATAAAATTTCCCAGGGAAAGAACTCTAAGCCTCATGACCACCCTCTGGTCAGAGCACCTTGATCATATAGTCCATCAAGATGGCAACAAAGTGGGCATGGAATCCTCAAAAGCAATTGAAGTCCTAGGACAGAAGAGAATGGGTTCTGGCCAGCCCACAGCAACAGAGACACACACCGGACGATCTCCATATGTTACACATTTTGGGATCCCAAAGCCTCAGGTATACTTGCTACTTAGTGGGTGTTCAAGATACGCTGAAGCTGCCCAACTTCCACCTCTGCCCGCTGGACTTAAGGCAGAATTGTTTCTTCCCTCTCCTTAATCCCCATGACACTTTGTCCTTACTTGTATCAAAGCAATTAAAATAGCTTGTTAGAGTTTTTCTTCTTTTGTTTTTAGGTATTATACAGAAAACAAGTGCTGAAATTAAAGATTTTGGTTTAAACAAATAAACTTGTTACCTCTCTGCCTCTGTCCTTCAGAAGATGCAGTGGAGGAGATGTCCAATCTAGTGTCAAAGGATAGCCCCATTCCCAGAGCCTTTGCTCTTTTAATTATCACTTCTCTCCTTTATCTTTCCCCTCTCTGTCTCTGTAGTTCATTACATTTAACCATGCTCACAGGGTAGTGAGAATTAATTAATACATGTAAAATACTTAGAACCATGCCTTGCATGCAGTAGTCACTCAATAAGTGTTAGCTGTTATCATGAGTGAGACCAGTAGTCATCGGTTCCCCACCCCTTTACTGCGATCAGTTCTCCCAGAGAGAGATCACACTCATAATAAAGGAAATTGCCCCATCAAAAAGTGGGCAAAGGACATGAACAGACACTTCTCAAAAGAAGACATTTATGCAGCCAAAAAACACATGAAAAAATGCTCACCATCACTGGCCATCAGAGAAATGCAAATCAAAACCACAATGAGATACCATCTCACACCAGTTAGAATGGCAATCATTAAAAAGTCAGGAAACAACAGGTGCTGGAGAGGATGTGGAGAAATAGGAACACTTTTACACTGTTGGTGGGACTGTAAACTAGTTCAACCATTGTGGAAGTCAGTGTGGCGATTCCTCAGGGATCTAGAACTAGAAATACCATTTGACCCAGCCATCCCATTACTGGGTATATACCCAAAGGACTATTAAGTCATGCTGCTATAAAGACACATGCACACGTATGTTTATTGCGGCACTATTCACGATAGCAAAGACTTGGAACCAATCCAAATGTCCAACAACTGTAGATTGGATTAAGAAAATGTGGCACATATACACCATGGAACACTATGCAGTCATAAAAAATGATGAGTTCATGTCCTTTGTAGGGACATGGATGAAATTGGAAATCATCATTCTCAGTAAACTATTGCAAGAACAAAAAACCATACACCACATATTCTCACTCATAGGTGGGAATTGAACAATGAGAACACATGGACACAGGAAGGGGAAAATCACACTCTGGGGACTGTTGTGGGGTGGGGGGACGGGGGAGGGATAGCATTAGGAGATATATCTAATGCTAAATGACGAGTTAATGGGTGCAGCACACCAGCATGGCACATGTATACATATGTAACTAACCTGCACATTGTGCACATGTACCCTAAAACTTAAAGTATAATAATAATAAAATTTTTAAAAAAAAGGAAATTGCAAGATAGGGGGAAATAAGAGCTATCAGAGCACATAGCAGAGGTCTTAGCCTGGCCTAATAATTGGGAGATTTCTAGATGAAATGGAAAAATTTCTAGTGAAGGGGCAAAATATTTTCAACAAAATTGGAAATGAGGCACATAGTACTTAGTAAGGATTACATGTTGTCATTATCATTACCCATCTCATACATGCTACAGTTCTTCAGGGCCCTTTATGCCCTCTTCCAAATTTACACACTCCGGGGTGATTTTTTTTCCCCACGCAGAACTCATGTTAAAATTCCTGGGTGACTTTATCCACTCTTCTGAGTTGAACCATTTAAATAGTGATGACCTTTAATTTAATGTATTTCTTTAAATTTTATTATTATTATTTTTTTTTGAGATGGAGTCTTGCTCTGTCGCCCAGGCTGGAGTGCAATGGCGCGATCTCACCTCACTGTAACTTCCACCTCCTGGATTCAAGTGATTCTCCTGCCTCAGCCTCCCGAATAGCTGGGATTATAGGCACTTGCCACCATGCCCAGCTAATTTTTGTATTTTTAGTAGAGACAGAGTTTCACCATGTTGGCCAGGCTGGTCTCGAACTCCTGACCTCAGGTGATCCACCTGCCTCGTCCTCCCAAAGTGCTGGGATTACAGGCATGAGCCACTACACCCAGCCAACCTTTAATTTTATACCTCTAGTTTTACTGGGCCCCAAACCCACTTGGATTTTTTCCTTCTTTCCTTTCTTTTTCAACAAGTGCCTGCTGTATACCAGACACTGAAGAAAAAAGCAGAAGGCATCATAGGGGCTTGGACTCTGGATGATCTCTTTAAGAGACGAGACGTTTAAACCAGCCATATGCTGTAGACATCTCAAGCTCAACATGTCTAAAATACTCCACCCCACCTCTAGCCAGCTCTCCTCTGTTGTTTCCAGGTTTGGTAATGGTTCCATCATCAACCCAAATGCCCAAGGTTGAAACCTGGGAGGGTTCCTTGCCAGCAGCTCTCTCACCTCCCATACCTGTCCTACCAAAGCTATCTCCTAAATATTTCACATTGATACACTCCTTACCCACTTCTGCCACTGCTACCTCCTAACTGGTTCTTTGTCTCCTGTCTTGCTTCCCTCCATATTTCACCCTATGCACTATGACCAGAGTAATCTTTCTAAAGCAAAAATTAATGTTTCACCACTCTCCAGCTTAAACCTTTCATTGGCTTCCTCTTGCTCTTTCATGAGGTCCAAGTGATCTGGTCCCAGTTACTGGTCCCAGGCCTTTGCTTTTGCTGCTTCTCATGCTCATCTCTACCTAGTATAGTTTCCCGTCAGTGGAATAATTTCTGCTCTTCAGATATTAGTTTAAACATTACTTCATCTAGAAATCTTGACCATGGGGCCAGGGTAGGACCTCTGCTATGTGCTCTGATAGCTCTTAATTCCCCATATTTTTCAATTTCCTTTATTCAATAAGTACTTGCATTTGGAAGGGGGCGTGAGTCGAAAGCCTATCTATTGGGTACTCCACTGACTATCTGAGTGCCATATACCCATGTAACAAACATGCACATGTACCCCCTCTATCTAAAATAAAAGTTGAGGCTGTTCTGCCTATGGGATAGCCCTGCTCTGTCTATGGAGCAGCCATTAAAGTAAAAAATAAAAGTTGAGAAAAAAACATACTTGCCAACTACCTACTGTTACTCATGTGTGGGCACTGCTCTAGGCACAATGATCAGTCCCTGTTCTTCTTATTAATTTATTATTATTATTATTATTATTTGAGACAGAGTCTCGCTTTTTTATACAGGCTGGAGTGCAATGGCGCCATCTCGGCTCACTGCAACCTCCGCCTCCCAGGTTCAAGTGATTCTTCTGCCTCAGCCTCCTGAGTAGCTGGGATTACAGGCATGTGCCACCATGCCCAGCTAATTTTCGTATTTTTAGTAGAGACAGGGTTTCACCATTTTGGCCAGGCTGGACTCGAACTCCTGACCTCAAGTGATCCACCTGCCTCAGCCTTCCAAAGTGCTGGGATTACAGGCATGAGCTACCACACTCAGCCATATTTATTATTTTTTAATTGAAACGGGGTCCTGCCATGCTCCCCAGGCTGTTCTCGAACTCCTGGGCTCCTCAGGCAATCTGCCTGCTTTGGCATCCCAAAGTGCTGGGATTATAAACGTGAGCCACTATGCCTGGGCAGTGCCTATTCTCATAAGCTTACACTCCAGTGCTGTAAATGAAATAAACTAGGTAAGGAGGAGAGTAACAGAAAAGGAGGGCATACTGTATACATTAATCTAATATTCAAGGGGGAAATAAAGGCCCAGACATGCAAAGAAAAAGGAGAAGATGGTTTACTGAAGTGTTTAACAGATGCCCAAGCCAAGAAAGAGAAAAAGAATGGTTTGCTTAACAAGGAGACCAGTGGACCTAGAGCTACAGGGAAAGAGAGAAAAGATGTGGTTGAAGAGGTAGGATGCAGCTGGGTCATATAGAGCCTTTGACATCATGATAAAGAATTTAGATTTGGAAGTGCAATGGGAAGGCAATAAAAAGTTTTAAGTAGGGAATTAATAATCTTTTAACATTTTAGAGAGATTCCTTCTAGCTAGAGTGAATATTGGCTCATTAGGGGGCAAGAGTGGAAGTGGGGAGACCAATCAGACCATTTTAGTAGTGCAGACAAGAGATGGGTAAAGGCAGCAGATAGGCAGAGGACTAGATGAATTAAAGCTACTGTATTTGGGGGCAGAACTGACAGGATATTCTGTTGGATTAATACAGAGACTGTGGGAAAGTAAAAAAAAAATCAAAAAAGATCTGTAAAGTTTTGGCTTGAGGAATTGAATTAGAGGTCATTTAATGAGTGGAAGACAGGAATAAAAGAACTTGGGAATGGATCAAGAGTTTTGTATAGGCTAGGCACAGTGGCTCATGCCTGTAATCCCAGCACTTTGGGAGGCCAAAGTGGTAGACAACTTGAGGTCAGGAGTTCAAGACCAGCCTGTCCAACATGGTGAAACCTTGTCTCTACTAAAAATACAAAAATTAGCTGGGTGTGGTGGTGGGTGCCTGTAATCCCAGCTACTCGGGAGGCTGAGGCAGGAGAATCACTTGAACCCAGGAGGTGGGGGTTGCAGTGAGCCACGCACCACTGCACTCCAGCCTGGGTGACAGAGTGTCTCAAAAAAAAAAAAAAAAAAAGTTTTGTAGAAATCATTATAAGCTATCCAAGATGTATTTATCAGGTGTTCTTCTAGATTGGGGGTTGGCAAACTCATTCTATGAAGGATCAAATAGTAAAGTTTAGGCTTTGCATGCCAAGAAACAAAATTAAGGATATTATATAAGTACTTTAAAAATAAAACAAATTTGCATAAATTGTCATTGACAAATTTGTTTTATAAAGAAACAAAATTTATTTCTTACATTTCTGGAGGCTGGAAGTCCAAGGTCAAGAGGGTGCATCTAGTGAGAGCATTCTTGCTGATGGGGACTCTGCAGAGTCCCAAGGTGATGCAGGGCATCACATGGTGAGAAGGGTGAGTATGCTTTGGCAAAATAAAAAATAATAATAATTGAATGCAATTTTTTTGTAATACAGATTTGCTGATTAATTGGGGTTCAAATTTAGTGTTCCCCATCATCAAAGTCAATTGCAAATGTTCGTCTGTTTTTTTTTTTTTTTTTGGAGACAGAGTTTCCGTCTGTCACCCAGGCTGGAGTGCAGTGGCATGATCTCGGCTCACTGCAACCTCTGCCTCCCAGGTTCAAGAGATTCTCCTGTCTCAGCCTCCTGAGTAGCTGGGACTACAGGCGCATGCCACCACGCCTGGCTAATTTTTGTATTTATATTAGAGATGGGGTTTTGCCATTTTGGCCAGGCTGGTCTTGAACTCCTGACCTCAAGAGATCCACACACCTGGGCCTCCCAAAGTGCTGGGATTTCAGGCATGAGCCACTGCGTCCGGCCCTAAATATTCATCTGTTAATGCTGATCTACAATGAGATTTTACATATTTTGTCTTTGAAAATGTCTTTACAAAGGCAGGTATTGCCAAATACTGATATCAATCCAAGACCATCTGGTTTTGATTGGGTATATTCATTACTTGGAAGGCTTTATATAATTTTATTATATGCTTATATGGTTTGGCTGTGTCCCCATTCAAATCTCAACTTGAATTGTATCTCCCAGAATTCCCCTGTATTGTGGTAGGGATCTAGGGGGTGGTAATTGAATCATGGTGGCCAGTCTTTCCCGTGCTATTCTCATGATAGTGAATAAGTCTCACAAGATCTGATGGGTTTATCAGGGGTTTCTGCTTTTGCTTATTCCTCATTTTCTCTTGCCACCACCATGTAAGAAGTGCCTTTCACCTCCTGCCGTGATTCTGAGGCCTTCCCAGCCATGTGGAACTGTAAGTCCAATTAAACCTTTTTTTCTTCTCAGTCTTGGATATGTTTTTATCAGCAGCATGAAAACAGACTAATATAGTAAATCGGTAACAGTAGAGTGAGATGCTGCTGAAAAGATACCCGAAAATGTGGAAGTGACTTTGGAACTGGATAACAGGCAGAGGTTGGAACAGTTTGGAGGGCTCAGAAGAAGACAGGAAAATGTGGGAAAGTTTGCAACTTCCTAGAGACTTGTTGAATGGCTTTGCCCAAAATGCTGATAGCAATATGGGCAATAAGATCCAGGCTGAGGTGGTCTCAGATGGAGATGAGGAACTTGTTGGGAACTGGAGCAAAGGTTATTCTTGTTATGTTTTAGCAAAGAGACTGGTGGCATTTTGCCCCTGCCCCAGAGATTTGTGGAACTTTAAACTTGAGAGAGATGATTTAGGGTGTCTGGCGGAAGAAATTTCTAAGCAGCAAAGCATGCAAGAGGTGACTTGGGTACTGATAAAGGCATTCAGTTCTATAAGGGAAGCAGAGCATAAAAGTTTGGAAAACCTTCAGCCTGACAATGTGATAGAAAAGAAAAACCCATTTTCTCAAGAGAAATTCAAGCCTGCTGCAGAAATTTGCATAAGTAGCAAGGAGCCTAATGTTAATCCCAAGACTGTGGGGAAACTATCTCCAGGCCATGTCAGACACCTTCACAGCAGCCCCTCCCATCACAGTCCTGGAGGCCCAGAAGGAAAAAGTGGTTCATGGGCTGGGCTCAGGATCCCCATGCTGTGTGCAGCCTAGGGGCCTGGTGTCCTGTGTCCCAGCAACTCCAGCCATGACTGAAAGGGGCCAATGTACAGCTTGGGCTGTGGCTTCAGAGGGTGGAAGCCCCAAGCCTTGGTAGCTTCCATGTGGTGTTGAGCCTGCAGATACACAGAAGTCAAAAACTGAGGTTTGCGAACCTCGACCTAAATTTCAGAAGGTGTGTGGAAATGCCTGGATGTCCAGGCATAAGTTTTCTGCAGGGTCAGGGCCCTCATGGAGAACCTCTGCTAGGGTAATGCGGAAGGGAAATGTGGGGTCAGAGCCCCCACACAAAGTCCCTAGTGGGGCATTGCCTAGTGGAGCTGTGAGAAGAGGGCACTGTCCTCCAAACTCCAGAATGGTAGATTCACTGACAGCCTGCACTGTGTGCCCGGAGAAGCCACAGACACTCAACTCCAGCCTCTGAAAGCAGCAGGAGGGAAGCTGTACCATGCAAAGGCACAGGGCCAGAGCTGCCCAAGACCATGGGAACCCACCTCATGCATCAGCGTGACCTGGATGTGAGACCTGGAGTCAAAGGAGATCATTTTGGAGCTTTAAAATTTCACTGTCCTGCTGGATTTCTGACTTGCATGGGCCCTGTAACCGCTTTGTTTTGGCCAATTTCTTCCATCTGGAATGGCTGTATTTACCTAATAGCTGTACCCCAATTGTATCTAGGAAGTAACTAGCTTGCTTTTGATTTTACAGGCTCATAGGCGGAAGGGACTTGCCTTGTCTCAGATGAGACTTTGGACTGTGGACTTATGGGTTAATGCTAAAATGAGTTAAGACTGGGGGACTGTTGGGAAGGCATAATTGGTTTTGAAATACGAGGACATGAGATTTGGAGGGACCAAGGGTAGAATGGTATGGTTTGGCCGTGTCCCCATTCAAATCTCAATTTGAATTATATTTCCCAGAATTTCCACATGTTGTGGGAGGGACTTAGGAAGAGGTAATCGAATCATGGGGGCTGGTCTTTCCTGTCCTATTCTTGTGATAGTGAATAAGTCTCACAAGATCTGATGGGTTTATCAGGGGTTTCCGCTTTTGCATCTTCCTCATTTTCTCTTGCCACCGCCATGTAAGAAGTGCGTTTCGCTTCCCACCATGATTCTGAGGCCTCCTCAACCATGTGGAAATGTAAGTCCAATTAAACTTTTTTTCTTAGTCTCAGGTATGAAACTTAGTCTTATCAGCAGCATGAAAACAGACTAATACACATACTTTTCTTGATCTTTGCCTTTTAGCATGTCATTACATTGTAGGTTAATCACCTCCAATTGAAGGTTAGGTAGAAGTTCCTCAATTGCACAGTTAAATGAAATATAGAATTTTTCTTTTTTTGAAACAGGGTCTCACTTTGTCATCCAGGCTGGAGTGCAGTGGTTTGATCTCGGCTGACTGCAGCCTCGACCACCTGAGTTCAAGGAATCCTCTTGCCTCAGCCTCCCAAGTAGCTGGGACTGTAGGTATGTGCCACCACCCACAGCTAAGTTTTGTATTTTTTGTAGAGACAGGGTTTCTACAAAAACCCTGGCCAGGCTGGTCTCAAACTCCTGGGCTCAAGTGATCTGCTCGCCTGGGCCTCCCAAAGTCCTAGGATTATAGGCATGAGCCCCCAAGCACTGCCTGAAATATAGAAATTTCCTTGCACTTGCACTGAGGACCAAAAAACCTGCTAGAACTGTAGTTTGAGCTCAGAAAATATAACTGCTGCAAATTTTGTATGGGAATGGAGATTTTGGTTCTTGTTTTAGCTTTTGATGACAGGAAATATGTAAAGTAGCTTAACCTTACCTGTGATTCAAACAACTTTAATAAATTTACTGTAGTAAAAGTTTCACAATAAGCACCTTTTTACCTTGTAATTTTAGATTAAATTCATCAAGGCCAGGGGCAGCAGCTCACTCCTGTAATCCTAGGATTTTGGGAGGCCAAGGCAGGCAGATTGTCTGAGCTCAGGAGTTTGAGACCAGCCTGGGTAACACAGTGAAACCCCTTCTCTACTAAAGTGCAAAAATTTAGCCAGGAGTGGTTGTGCATGCCTGTTGTCCCAGCTACTTGGGAGGCTGAGGCATGAGAATTTCATGAACCTGGGAGGTGGAGGTTGTAGTGAGCTGAGATTGCACCACTGTACTCCAGCGTGGGCAACAGAGAGAGACACCGTCTGCCAAAAAAAAAAAAAAAAGATCCATGCAGCAACATGGATGGATTTGGAGGCTATTATCCTAAGCAAGCTAATGCAGGAACAGAAAACCAAATACCACATGTTCTCACTTGTAAGTGGGAGCTAAACAATGAGAACACATATACCAAGAGGGGAACAACAGACACTGAGGCCTACTTGAATGTGGAGGGTGGGAGGAAGGAGAGGATCAGAAAAAATACCTAGCAGGTACTACGCTTATTGCCTGGGTGAGTAAATAATCTGTACACCAAACCCCTGGTGACACACAGTTTACCTATATAACAAATCTGCCCATGTACCCCTAAACCTAAAATAAAAGTTTTTAAAAAAGATTTATTTTAAGGAATTGGCTCACACAACTGTGGGGGCTGACAAGTCTGAAATTTGTAGGGCAGGTCAGCAGGATGGAAACTCAGGCAGAATTTCAATGTTACAGTTTTGAGGCAGAGTACTTTCTTTTCCAGGAAACCTCAGTCTTTGCTCTTAAGGCTTTTGACTAATTGGATGAGTCCTACCCATATAATCAAGGATAATCTACTTTACTTAGAGTCAGTTGATTATAAGTGTTAATTATATCTACAAGATACCCTTACAGCAATGTCTAGACTAGTGTTTGAACAAAGAACCGGACACCATAGCCTATCCAAGATGACACAGAAAGTTTAACCATTACATGTGTTTGAAGGCATGTTCAGAAAATTTTCTACCTCAGCCCTGAGCTCGAGAAAATCTCAACACCTCTTTGCCACCACTATGTCAATGAACTGCTGTATGGTAGGACAAGTCAGGATATTCAACTTCTATTTGTAACAAAAACTGTTTTAGTTCAGTCAGCTACAACAAATTAACACAGACTGGTAGGTTAAACAACAAACACGTATTTTTCACAGTTCTGGAGACTGGAAAGCCCAAGATGTAGATGGCTATCTTCTCATATTTTCACATGGCAGAGAGCAGAGAGAAGCAAGCTTTCTTGTGTCTCTTCTTATAATGATACTAATCTCATTCGCAAAGCTCCACCCTCATGACCTAATTACTTCCCAAAGGCCACACCACCAAATACCATCATATTGGGATTAGGGGTTAGCATATGAATTTTGGGGGTACACAAACATTCAGTTCAAAGCATTGACAATGTTAAGACCATGAGATGCAAATGAAGTTCACTGTTGACACACTGGTTCAATAACACATGATAAATTCAAATATTCTTCACAGTGTACCTACTGATGGTTAATACAGTGAATAACCACAGGCTTTAAACACCTTACATTTTCATATGCTTTGTGAATATGCCTCACTACACCGTTTCCTTTACCACCATCAGTTGTAGTACATCTTAGTAGGTTCTACTTCAGGCTGTACGGAAGTAGTGTTTTCTCAACCTTTTTGAAAATATTATCCTATGTAATTGTTCCAAACATACTATTGATAGCGGCTTATTCTGCATTCACTCCAAACTTCACATCAACTCCTTGAATAAATAACAGCTAAGCAGTGTCAGTAGCATCTGTCCCCTCATCAAGAGCCAAGGGAAAATCACATTTAATCATTGGCCTTGTTTTTTAGTTGATTATTGATGTTTATCCCAGTGTCCTCAACTCTTCAAGCAGCTGTTCTTGATGAATAAGAGTCTTAAACAAATTTATTTTCTCTGGACACATTTCTTTGGCTTCTGCATCACATGATTTAATTAACTCATTATTGATAAATGGCTTTCCTTGCTTGGCTACAAATGAACTATGTGGAAACTTACTCTCTGATTGTAGCTTTATTTTAATTTTGTGTGTGTGAAGAATTTCTGCTGTGATTAACTTTTTTTTAAAAAACTTTCTAATTTTTCTGACTGTTGCTTTCTTGTGAATTGGGAATATTGCAATGACTACTCAGTCTGTAATGTCAATGTATATATTCTATTTTTTTTTGAGACGGAGTCTCGCTCTGTCGCCTAGGCTGGAGTACAGTGATGCTATCTCAGCTCACTGCAAGCTCTGCCTCCTGGGTTCACGCCATTCTCCTGCTTCAGCCTCTGGTGTAGCTGGGACTATAGGCGCCCGCCACCACGCCCGGCTAATTTTTTTGTATTTTTAGTAGAGACGGGGTTTCACCGTGTTAGCCAGGATGGTCTCGATCTCCTGACCTCATGATCTGCCTAAGTCAGCCTCCCAAAGTGCTGGGATTACAGGTGTGAGCCACCGCGCCCAGCCATGTCAATGTATATATTCTTATTCTTTTAGCACAACTATAGTTTCATCTCTCTTTTTTTTTTTTTGGAGACAGTCTCGCTCTATCCTCCAGGCCTGCATGCTGGAGTGCAGTGGTGTGATCTTGCCTCACTGCAACATCCGCCTCCCGGGTTCAAGTGATTCTCCTGCCTCAGCCTCCCAAGTAGCTGGGATTACAGGCACATGCCACCGCACCTGGCTAATTTTTGTATTTTTAGTAGAGACAAGGTTTCACCATGTTGGCCAGGCTGGTCTCAAACTCCTGACCTCAGGTGATTTGCCCGCCTCGGCCTCCCAAAGTGCTGGGATTACAGGCATGAGCAACCAAGCCTGTCCAAGTCTCATTTCTTAATAAACAAAATATAGGTTGGGTGCAGTGGCTCATGCCTGTAATTCCAGCACTTTGGGAGACCGAGGTAGGAAGATAGCTTGAGCCCAGTAGTTCGAGACCAGGCTGGGCAACATGGCAGAAACCCATCTCTATAAAAAATACAAAAATTAGCCATGCATGCTGATGCACAACTATAGTCCCAGCTACTTGGGAGGCTGAAGTGAAAGGATTACCTGAGCCCAGGAGGTGGAGGCTGCAGTGAGTTGTGATCAGGCCACTGCACTGCAGCCTGGGCAGAGAGAGAATCCGTCTCAAAAAACAAAAACAAACCAATAAAAAAACCACTAAAGAAACCAATAAAAAAACCACTAAAGAACTTACTCATGTAACCAAATACCACCTGTTCCCCAAAAACCTATGGAAATAAATAAATAAATTTATTTCTGTAGAAATTTAAAAAAAAGATCTAATTATCAATTTACAGAAAATGACGCAGAGGGCAGGGAAACACATTAAATCACACCAAAGTGGTACAATCAACAAAATCGAGACTGTAAGAAACTCTAAAGGACAAACAACCATTTCTTCACACACACACAAAAAATTGCAAGGGAAAAAAGAGATGGATTGGAACCTATAGTTTAAAAGAGTTTAAAAGAGGCCTGGCATCGCTTCTTGGCCTTTTGGCTAAGATCAAGTGTAAAAGAGGCCTGGCACAGTGGCTCACTCTTGTAATCCCAACACTTTAGGAGGATAAGCAAGAGGATGACTTGAGCCCAGGAGTTCGAGGCTACAGTGAGTTATGATAGCACCACTGCACTCTGCCTGGGTGACAGAGCAAGACCTTGTCTCTAAGAAAAATGAAAGACACATTAACCAATCATAATATGTGGACCTTACTTGGATCATAGTGTTAAAAAAAAATGGTCTCGATCTCTTTTTAACATGACATTTATGAGACAACTGTAGACTCAACCACTGACTGAACATTTGATGATATTAGGGAGTTCTTATTTTTATTTTTTATTTTTTTGAGATGGAGTTTCGCTCTTGCTGCCCAGGCTGGAGTGCAATGGCACGATCTCGGCTCACTGCAACCTCCGCCTCCTGGGTTCAAGTGATTCTCCTGCCTCAGCTTCCCGAGTAGCTGGGATTATAGGCATGCACCACCATGCCCGGCCAATTTTTATATTTTTAGTAGAGATGGGGTTTCTGCATGTTGGTCAGGCTGGTTTCGAACTCCCGACCTCAGGTGATCCGACCTCAGGTGATCCGCCCGCCTCGCCTGGGCCTCCCAAAGTGTTAGGATTACAGGGTGAGCCACCGCGCCCAGCCAGGGAGTTACTCTTAAAAATTTCAGTTGTTGGCCGGGTGCGGTGGCTCACGCCTGTAATCCCAGCACTTTGGGAGGCTGAGGCGGGCGGATCACAAGGTCAGGAGATCGAGACCATCCTGGCTAACACAGTGAAACCCCGTCTCTACTAAAAATACAAAAATTAGCCGGACGTGGTGGCGGGTGCCTCTAGTCCCAGCTGCTGGGGAGGCTGAGGCAGGAGAATGGCATGAACCTGGGAGGCGGAGCTTGCAGTGAGCCGAGATCCCACCACTGCACTCCAGTCTGGGTGACAGAGCGAGACTCCGTCTCAAAAAAAAAAAAAAAAATTTCAGTTGTGGGCTGGGCGCGGCAGCTCACGCCTGTAATCCCAGCACTTTGGGAGGCTGAGGCGGGAGGATCACGAGGTCAAGAGATGGAGACCATCCTGGCTAACACGGTGAAACCCTGTCTTTACTAAAAGTACAAAAAAAAAAATTAGCCGGGTGTAGTAGCGGGCACCTGTAGTCCCAGCTACTCGGGAGGCCGAGGCAGGAGAATGACGTGAACCCGGGAGGCGGAGCTTGCAGTGAGCTGAGATCCCGCCACTGCACTCCAGCCTGGGTGACAGAAGAAGACTCCGTCTCAAAAAAAAAAGGCCTATACCTGGGCATGGTAAGGCATATCTGTAAATCCCAGCTACTTGGGAGGCTGAAGTGGGATGATCCCTGCAGCCTAGGATTTCAAAGCCAGACTGGGCAACATAGTGAGACTCCATCACTAAAAAAAAAGGCGGGGGGTGGGCTTGTCTTTTGACGGCATTGGCTATTTATAGATAATAAAAAATTCATGGTTATGGGTTGAATAAAATGTTAAATGCATACATATACATGCTCTAGATAAGTGTATAAATTAAAATTTGTGTATATAGTCAATGTAAAGAAAGATTGGGAAATAAATTTGGAAATAGCTATTTATACACTTTAAGAATGTCTGATCAAAAATTTTATATTATAAGCACATAGTTCTGGTCCAAGTTAATAAATAAAACTATTCTTATTTGCTTAACCTTAAAATAATCAGAGGCTCCACATATTGATGTAAAGGATCTCCAGTATATATTGTTGAGTGAAAAAAGTAAAGTGCAGAACAGGATATATAGCATGCTATGTTTTATATGAGAAAGGGTGGAAGTGGCAAAGAAATAAGAAAGGTCTAATATTATATTTGTAAAAACAAGCACTGCTGGAATAAACAAGAAACAATAAAAACGGGAGAGGAGTTGAGGAGGTAAAAACAGAAGCAAGACTCCATGTGCTTTGAGACTGCTCCTTGTATACTTTGAGTCAGGTAATGCCATTACCTAACCCCAAAATAAAAGAGGCCAGGAGTTCGAGACCAGCCTGGACAAGATAGTGAGACTGCAGTCTCTACCAAAAACAACCAACCAACCAAACAACCTCCCACCCCCCACCACCCCCCACACACATCTAGCTGGTTCTGGTGGTGCGCCCCTGTGGCCCCAGCTACTCAGGAGGTGAGAGGATCACTTGAGTCCAGGAGGTGAAAGCTGCAGTGAGCCATGATTGTGCCACTGCACTCCACCCTGGGCAACAGAGCAAGACCCTGTCTCAAAAAAAAAGAGAGAGAGAGACAGAGAGAGAGAGACTTTACGTCATTAATAGGATGCTTTTTTTTTTTTTTTTTTGAGACGGAGTCTTACTCTGTCGCCAGGCTGGAGTGCAGTGGCGCAATCTCGGCTCACTATAACCTCTGCCTCCCATGTTCAAGCAATTCTCCTGCCTCAGCCTCCTGAGTAGCTGGGACTACAGGCATGTGCCACCACACCTAGCTAATACTTGTATTTTTAGTAGAGACAGCGTTTCACCATGTTAGCCAGGATGGTCTCAATCTCTTGACCTCATGATCCACCCGCCTCGGCCTCTCAAAGTGCTGGGATTACAGGCATGAGCCACCTCTCCCAGCCAATAGGATGCATTTTAAGGATAAAAAAGCTGAAACTAAAATTTTAAACTTTAGACCCTTACATATTAAACTCTCCTAAATTTTAAACTCTCTCAGAAGTAATATTGTTTGTAGTATTATCAGTACTGGAATTTTGAAAATATATAATTTTCTCATAAGAGACATAAATAGTTATAATAATGTAAGGAACCAGGTTTTTTGTTTGTTTGTTTTTTGTTTTTGTTTTGTTTTGTTTTTTGAGACGGAGTCTCCTTGTCACCCAGGCTGGAGTGCAGTGGTGCGATCTTGGCTCACTGCAAACTCCGCCTTCTGGGTTCAAGCAATTCTCCTGCCTCAGCTTCCTGAGTAGCTGGAATTACAGGCACCCGCCACCATGCCTGACTAATTTTTATATTTTTAGTAGAGACAGGGTTTCGCCATGTTGGCCAGGCTGGTCTTGAACTCCTGACCTCAGGTGATCCACCTGCCTCAGCCTCCCAAAATGCTGGGATTTCAGGCATGAGCCACTGCAGCCGGCCAGGAACCAGTATTTTTAGTACAAGAGAAATGATACAATTATATAATCAAAGAAACTAAGTGAAAACACAATAATGCTAAAATTGAATTGAAAAATCAATATTAACTCATTGTTTTTAAAAATATATTTTCTGGGCCAGGCATGGTGGCTCACGTCTGTAATCCCAGCATTTTGGGAGGCCGAGGTGGGCAGATCATGAGGTCAGGAAATCAAGACCATCCTGGCTAACATGGTGAAACCCTATCTCTACTAAAAATACAAAAACAAAATTAGCCGGGTGTGGTGGCGGGTGCCTGTAGTCCCAGCTACTCGTGAGGCTGAGGTGGGAGAATGGTGTGAACCCGGGAGGAGGAGCTTGCAGTGAGCCAAGATGACGCCACTGCACTCCAGCCTGGGCCACAGAGCGAGACTCTGTCTCAAAAACACAGCAACAACAACAACAAAATATATATATATATTTTTTCTGGCCAGGAGCTGTGGCTCACGCCTATAATTCCAGCACTTTGGGAGGCTAAGCGAGGCAGATCGCTTGAGCCCAGGAGTTTGAGACCAGCCTGGACAACATGGCGAAACCCTGCCTTTACAAAAAAATACAAAATTAAATTAGCCAGGCATGGTGGTGCATGCCCGTAGTCCTAGCCACCTGGGAGGCTGAGGTAGGAGGCGTGAACCCAGGAAGTTGAGGCTGCAGTGAACCAAGATCACACTACCACACTCCAGCCTAGGAGACAGAGTGAGACCTTGTCTCAAAAAATATATAAAAATTATATATCTCTATTTTTAAAATATACATAATATACACACACACACACACACACACACATATATGTATAATTTTTTTTCTGGTCCTGTCCACTGAAATGGACCAGAAGAAATGAGCATTCCTAATGTCCATGCTGTGCTCTCTAATACCATTCCACATTAAAACAAGATGTGGCTCATTGGGAAACTGTTGATTTCAGGTCTAGTGCAGGCACTTTTCAAGGTGAGCCTGGGACTCCTTTTCATGTTAACACGCATGAAAGCAGGGCTGGGCACGGTGGCTCACGCCTGTAATCCTAGCACTTTGGGAGGCCAAGGCGGGCGGGTCACATGAGATCAGGAGTTTGAGACCAGCCTGGCCAACATGGTGAAACCCCATCTCTACTAAAAATTCAAAAAACCTAGCCAGGTGTGGTGGTGCGCACCTGTAGTCCCCAGCTACTCGGAAGGCTGAGGCAGGAGAATCGCTTGGACCCGGGAGGCGGAGGTTAGTTGAGATTGCATGCTTCACTCCAGCCTGGGTGACAGAGAAAGACTCTGTCTCAAAAAAAAAAAAAAAGAAAAGAAAAGAAAAAAAAAAGAAGAATGAAAGCTTTAGAAGATAATGTCACGTCAAAACGACTCAGGAGCATATGTGAAGGTGTCCCCACTGAACAATGTTGTGACAATTGGACAACTAAAAGTATAATGATAATTTTGGATTGAATATACTGAATCAATGAAAATTCATTAGTTCATAAAGATACAATAAGAAGTCAAGAAGTCGCATTCATTACCATTTGAGACAACTATTAAAACAACTCCTTACTTTGAAAATTGGTAATTAAAAAAAAATTAAAATTTTAGGCCGGGTGCAGTGACTCATGCCTGTAATCGCAGCACTTTGCGAGCCCTAGACAGGCAGATTGCTTGAGCTCAGGAGTTCGAGACCAGACTGGGCAACATGGCTAAACCCCATGTGTACACACACAAAAAAAAATACAAAAATTAAACAGGCATGTTGGTGCATACCTGTGGTCCCAGTTACTCAGGAGGCTGAGGTAGGAGGATTGCTTGAGCCGAGGAGGTTGAGGCTGCAGTGAGCCGAGATCGCCCCATTGCATTCCAGCCTGGGTGACAGAGCCAGAACCTGTCTCAACAAGAAAAAAAAAAAGCATTTATTTTGCTCTTTCAGTAAAAATTTATTTTAGGATAACCAAATAGCCCTAGTTGATGAATAAAGCCTTCACAGAATTCTAGTTAATATCTTTTGTTTTAAATGTTATTAACTTTTTTTTTTTTGAGACAGAGCTCTGTCACCCAGGTTGCAGTGCAGTGGCATGATCTCAGCTCACTGCAACCTCCGCCTCCCAGGCTCAAGTGATTCTTGTGCCTCAACTTCCTGAGTAGCTGGGATTACAGAAGTGCGCCACCACACCTGGCCAATCTGTTTTGTATTTTTAGTAGAGACAGGGTTTTGCCACGTTGGCCAGGCTGGTCTTGAACTCCTGGCCTCAAGTGATCTGCCCGCCTTGGCCTCCCAAACTGCTGGGATTACAGGGGTGAGCCACCACTCCCAGTCTTTTTTACTTTTTTAAACTTAAGTGGATGTGTACACATCTAGTTAATACATGTGAATGAAATAAAAGAAATATAATTTTACAAACTCCAATAAATTCGTGATTCAGGTAAGGATTATCATTTGGCATTGAAAACAATAGATGATTGATTGTTGTAGACATTCATATAGGACCAAAGTAACACCACACAGATTACTTCTAGTCCCAAAAGGAAAACATTAACTATAAATGGAGTGATCAGAATGTCACCACCCTAATCTAGGTAGGGGTCAACTTTAGCATAACTAATGGTCGATCATATTTGCCTTCTAATGGAATATAACCTAAAATACACATCAATATGGTGACTGTATGACTTCATCCTTTCTAATATCTCGAATCCTAGTTCAGACATCCCTCAGAAATTCTAATCCATTCCTAAAAACACGCTGGATAGTGAATTTTCGATAGTGGGAGTCTGTATGTCATTATTTTAAATGGGAAAAAAATGATAATGTATTCCCAGCACATCTAAAAACCCCAACCATTTTCTATATATACGTATATATATAAGATTTTTCTGCTTAATATAAAGCCTTTAAAACACCAATAGCATAATTGTTTAACACTAAATTAACTCATTAGTTTATTTGTGTAGTAACAAGATACAAATTATGTTTTCCTTTAACTGCAACAAATGTGAACAGTGAAATAATGTGTGAAAGACACATAATGAAGGTAAATAACACTTAGCAATAATAAAATGAAGCAAGTTTTTTGACTTGCTTTTAAAAGCAAGTTGGTTAGTGAAGAGTGAAGTGAGTGAGGTTTAGAGATGAGAAGGGATATGTAGATATGGAGGCTGTGGTCCCTGTTGCTGTTAGCGGAAGATAAAAGCGAACAAAATGAGCTGTGGAAGGAGTGAGTGAAACAGTGAATGCCTGGGGTTCATCCATATTCAGATCCAAGAAGCTGACGGACAGTCTGTTTTTCTTTCTTGGCAATGGAGTCTTCAGAAGTGGATGATTGTTAATTATCTTCTGAAAGTATTGACAAAGCATCACAAGAAACTCAAAATGGACAAGTGTCCCATTCCTTTTGCTTGTGTCATGCAGCTTCTGATAACCCTAGACTGTGCCATAATGCATTTTTGAATGTGATTTTTGTCCTCTTGCTGTGATCATAATCTCTCTCTCTCTCTTTTTTTCTTTTTTGAGGCAGAGTCTAGCTCTGTCACCCAGGCTGGAGTGCAGTGGCATCAGCTCGGCTCACTGCAACCTCCACCTCCCTGGTTCAAGCAATTCTCCTGTCTCAGCCTCCCCAGTTGGGAGTAGTTGGGATTACAGGTGCGCGCCACCTCGGCCAGCTGATTTTTGTGTCTTTAGTAGAGACGGGGTTTCACTGTGTTGGCCAGGCTGGTCTTGAACTCCTGACCTCGTGATCTGCCTGCCTCAGCCTCCCAAAGTGCTGGGATTACAAGCGTGAGCCACCACACCCAGCTGATCATAATCTCTTATAAGCAAACAGCGATCATTCTGTCTTCATGATTAAAATTTCCTTTAAAAATTTGTCATCAGTTATTAGTGTCTCCTTGTATTAGTTTGCTAGGGCTGTCATAACAAAATGCCCCAGACTGTGGGTCTTAAACAGCAGAGATTTATTTTCCCACAGTCCTGGAGGCCGGACGTTCAGTATTGAGGTCCCAGCAGGTTTGGCTTCTTCTGAGGTCTCTCTCCTTGGCTTGTTGACTGCCTTTTCACTGTGTCTTCTCATGGTCTTTCCCCAGTGTGTGCACATCACTGGTGTCTTTTATTCTAGATTTTTTTTTTCTTTTTTGAGATGAAGTCTTACTCTGTTGCCAGGCTGGAGTGCAGTGGTGTGATCTCGGCTGACTGCAACCTCGGTGTTCAAGCGATTCTCCTGCCTCAGCCTCCTGAGTAGCTGGGAATACAGGCTCCCGCCACCACGCCCAGCTAATTTTTTGTATTTAGTAGAGATAGGGTTTCTCCATATTGGTCAGGCTGGTCTCGAACTCCCGACCTCAGGTGATCCACCCGCCTTGGCCTCCCAAAGTGCTGGGATTACAGGCGTGAACCACTGCACCCAGCTTATTCTTTCTTATAAGGACTCCGGTTCTATTGCATTAGGGTCTGTCTCATCCTTATGTCCTCATTTAACCTGAGTCACCTTTTTAAAGGTTGTACCTCTAAAATCAGTCACATTGAGGGTGAGGGCTTCAATATAAAAATTTGAGAGGGTCGAGGGACACAGTTCCATCCATAACTCTCCTCTTCCTCCAGCTTAGCTCCTTCCAGCATTATTCCTTCTAAATCAATGCATTTTTTGAAAGGAACACAGTAAGCTAGAAGGTGGTGATGATTGCACAGCTTTCCAGATCCACAATTATTTTAATAATTTGTCTTTATTTTCTCACACGCAGAAAATAAGGTATGCACAGGAGATGGAACATGTGCATGGCCAAGTATATATCTTTTTATGCCTTCACCTCCTAATATAATTTATCTTTTCCAATATACATGATTCTTTAGTGTTTTCAGTTCACCTGCTTTCCTCACAGTGTTCACTTCAGTTGTTTCATTTTGTAATGTGGCGAACTGACACAGAAAATGCATAACATTAGTCTGTCTATCTTTTCACCCATACCACACTGTCTTAAATATTATAGCTTTATGATATCTATTAGTGTAGGACCTCCAAATTTGTTCTTTTACTTCAAGATTGTGTTTGCCATTCCTTGCTCTTTGTAATTCCATATACATTTTTGAATCAATTCCATTTGTTTGTTTATATTTATTTTTAGAGATTTCAGAAGTGATATCTTTATAATATTGCATTTTCCCATTCATGTGGTATAGCCTTTCATTTATTTAAGTCCTTACTATTTTTTAACTATTATTATTATTATTATTATTATTATTATTATTATTATTATTATTTTGAGACAGAGTCTCTTTCTGTCGCCCAGGCTGGAGTGCAGTGGTGCGATCTTGGCTCACTGCAACTTTCGCCTCCTGAGTTCAAGTGATTCTCCTGCCTCAGCCTCCTGAGTAGCTGGGATTACAGGCACGTGCCACCATGCGTGGCTAATAGCAATTATTTTTAAAAATAAATTTTATTGTGTATATTTCAGATTTACTACATGATGTTGTGGGATACACATGGATAGTAAAATGATTACAATAATGAAGCAAGTTAACATGTCTGTCCTCTCATGTGGTTACTTTTTCTTGTGACAAAAGCAGCTGAGATCTATTTATTTAACAAATAATAAATTCTTAGCCGGGTGTGGTGGCTCACACCTGTAATCCCAGCACTTTGGGAGGCCAAGGAGGGTGGATCACCTGAGGTCAGGAGTTTGAGACCAGCCTGGCCAACATGGTGAAACCCCATATCTACTAAAAATACACAAAAATTAGCTGGGCGTGGTGCCGGGCGCCTGTAATCTCAGCTACTCTGGAGGTTGAGGCAGGAGAATTGCTGGAACCCAGCAGGTGGAGGTTGCAGTGAGCCGAGATCGTGCCATTGCACTCCAGCCCGGGCTGACAACGAGACTCTGTCTCAAAACAAAATAATAATAAATTCTTAGTAATAATTAATTTTATGAACTTTAGTCTTCATGCTGTACATTAGCTGTCTACACTTGTTTATCTTACGTATCTGCTACTTTGTATCCTTTGACTTATATCTTCCCATTTCCTCCCCCTCCCTGAACCACTCTCTCATTCTCTATGTCTGTAGTTGAGCTCTTTTTAAAAATATTCCACATATAAGTGAGCTCATGCAATATTTTCTTTCTCTGTCTGGCTTATTTCGCTTAGCATAATGTCCTTCAGGTCCATCCATGTTGTGGCAAATGGCAGGATCTCCTTTTTAAAGGCCAAATAATATTCCATTATATATATTTGTGACATACACATACACACACCCCCCCCCACACACACATTTTCTTTATCCGTTCATCCATAAGGGAAGTGCAAGTTAAAACCACTATGAGATACCACCTTACACCCATAAGGATGGCTATTATCAGGAAGACAGGAGATAATAAATGTTGGTGAGGGTATGGAGAAAAGGGAACCTGGCACACTGTTGTTGGGAATGTAGATTGGTACAACCACTATGGGAAACAGTGCAGAGACTCCTAAAGAAGTTGAAAATAGAACTACCTTATGACCCAGCAACCCCCTCTGCTGGGTATACGCCCAGAGATGAAATCACCACCTTGTAAAATATCTGCACTCCCATGTTCACTCCAGCATTATTCACATTAATAATTAGTTTGTGGCCAGGCACAGTGGCTCACACCTGTAATCTCAACACTTTGGGAGGCTGAGGCAGGAGGATCACTTGAGGCCAGGAGTTCAAGACCACTCCAGACAACATAGATAGACTCTGTCTCTACATAAAAAAAAAAAAAAAAAAGGTGTTTTTTGTTTGTTTGTTTTTTTAGACAGTGTCTTGCTCTGTCACCCAGGCTGGAGTGCAGTGGCACAATCTCTGCTTACTGCAACCTCTGCCTCCCAGGTTCAAGCAATTCTCCTGCCTCAGCCTCCCAAGTAGTTGGGATTACAGGTGTGCATCACCATGCCTGGCTCATTTTTATAGTTTTAGTAGAGATGGGGTTTCACCATGTTGGCTAGGCTGGTCTTGAACTCCTGGCCTCAAGAGATCCACCCGCCTTGGCCTCCCAAAGTGCTGGGATTATAGGTGTGAGCACCTGGCCTTCCACAAAACATTTAAAAATAAGCCAGGCGCAGTGGCTGGCACCTCTGGTCCAAGCTACTCAGGAGGCTGAGGCAGGAGTATTGCTTGAGTCCAGGAGGTCGAGGCAGCAGTGAGCAATCATCGTGCCACTGCACTCCAGCCTGGGCAACAAAGCAGGACCCTGTGTCTTAAAAAAAGAAGAAAAAAACAGTTAGTTTTAAATTGTGGTAAAATACATACAACAAAATTTACCATTTTAACAATTTTAAAGTGATATAGTGGTGTTAAATACATTCAGAATGCTACACAACCATCACCACTATCTAGTTCCAGAAATTTTTCATTACTCAACAGAAACCCTGTACTCATGAAGCAGTCGCCCCTCATTTCCCCCATGCATCCAGCTTCTGCAATCGGCTTCTGTCTCTGTGGCTTTGCCTATTCTGGACATTTCATATAAATAGAATCACATAATATGTGGCCTGTTGTGATTGGTTTCTTTCATTTTGCATGTTTTCAAGGTTCATCCATGTTGTAGATGGTATTTTTATGGATGAATAATATTCCATTGTATGTATATAACACATTTTGTTTATCTATTCATCTGTAGATGACATTTGGGTTGTTTTCACCTGTTGGCTTCTGTGAATAATGCCACTGTGAACATTGGTGTACAAATATCTATTCCAGGCTCTGCTTTCAATTCTTTTGGATATATACCCAGAAGTGGAATTACTGAACCATATGGTAGCTCTACATTTAATTTTTTGAGAAACTGCCATGCTGCTATCCACAGCAGCTGCATCGTTTTATGTCCCATTCCCACCAGCAATGCACTTTGGCCCATGTTTTAATTGGGTTGTTTGTCTTTTGGCTGTTGAATTGTGAGAGTTCTATTTTATCTATCTATCTATCTATCTATCTATCTATCTATCTATCTATCTATTTATCTATCTATCTATCTATCTATCTACCTACCTATCTATTTATTTATTTATTTTGAGAGACAGAGTTTCACTCTTGTTGCCCAGGCTGGAGTGCAATGGCGCGAACTTGGCTCACTGCAACCTCCGCCTCCTGGGTTCAAGCGATTCTCCTGCCTCAGCCTCCCAAGTAGTTGGGATTACAGGCATGAGCCACTGTGCCCGGCTGAGAGTTCTTTATATAGGCTGGATACTAGACCCTTATCAGATGTTTAATATGCAAATATTTTCTCCCCTTCTATTGCCACTTTCTGCCTCTTCTCTGTCTTGCATTCTCATTAGGCCTAAGTTGGTACGCTTAATGGTCTCACAAGTCTCGCAGGCTCTGTCTGGGAGAAAATATTATCTTTTCATTTTCTTTATAGTGTCTTTTGATGCAAACAGTTTTTAATTTTGATGAAGTCCAACTTACCTATTTTTTCTTTTGTTGCTTGTGCTTTTGGTGTCATATTTTAGAAACCATTGCCAAATCCAACGTCATGAAGATTTCTCCCTAAGTTTTCTTCTAATAATTGTATAGTGTTAGTTCTGACTTTCAGGTTTTTGACCGATTTTTAGTTAATTTTTATTTATGGTGTCCTTATGGAATAAGTGTCCAAATTCATTATTGTGTAGGTTCCTTTCCTTTTGCCCCAAGGAACTCCCAATAACTTTTTTTATAGGTCCAGACTAATGGTAATAAACTCTCAGCTTTTGTTTATCTGGGAGTGTCTTAATTTCTTCTAAATTCTTGAAGGATAGTTTGACTGGAATAGAATTCTTGGTAGACAGCTTTTTTTCTTTTAGTTCTTTAAATATGTCATTCCACTGCCTTCTGGCCTTAATCGTTTCTAATGAGAAACTGGCTGTTATACTTATTGATTATCCCTTGCACATTATGATTCACTTCTCTCTGCTTTCAAGTTTGTGTCTTTATATTTGGCTTTCAACAGTTTGATGATCTGTCTCAATGTGGATCTCTTTGAGTTTAGGAGTTTGTTGAGCTTCTTGGATGTGTAGATTCATGTCTTTTATCAAATTTTGGGGCATTAATTCTTCAAATATTCTTTTTTTTATTGTTATTATTATACTTTACGTTTTAGGGTACATATGCACAATGTGCAGGTTAGTTACATATGTATACATGTGCCATGCTGGTGTGCTGCACCCATTAACTCGTCATTTAGCATTAGGTTTACCTCCTAATGCTATCCCTCCCCCCTCCCCCCACCCCACAACAGTCCCCAGAGTGTGATGTTCCCCTTCCTGTGTCCATGTGTTCTCATTGTTCAATTCCCACCTATGAGTGAGAACATGCGGTGTTTGGTTTTTTGTCCTTGCGATAGTTTGCTGAGAATGATGATTTCCAGTTTCATCCATGTCCCTACAAAGGACATGAACTCATCATTTTTTATGGCTGCATAGTGTTC
This sequence comes from Homo sapiens, assembly GCF_000001405.40. Taxonomy (NCBI): domain Eukaryota; kingdom Metazoa; phylum Chordata; class Mammalia; order Primates; family Hominidae; genus Homo; species Homo sapiens. The sequence continues at coordinate 33,484,302 of NC_000006.12, forward strand.
CATGGTGTATATGTGCCACATTTTCTTAATCCAGTCTACAGTTGTTGGACATTTGGATTGGTTCCAAGTCTTTGCTATTGTGAATAATGCCTCAATAAACATACGTGTGCATGTGTCTTTATAGCAGCATGATTTATAGTCCTTTGGGTATATACCCAGTAATGGGATGGCTGGGTCAAATGGTATTTCTAGTTCTAGATCCCTGAGGAATCGCCACACTGACTTCCACAATGGTTGAACTAGTTTACAGTCCCACCAACAGTGTAAAAGTGTTCCTATTTCTCCACATCCTCTCCAGCACCTGTTGTTTCCTGACTTTTTAATGATTGCCATTCTAACTGGTGTGAGATGGTATCTCATTGTGGTTTTGATTTGCATTTCTCTGATGGCCAGTGATGGTGAGCATTTTTTCACGTGTTTTTTGGCTGCATAAATGTCTTCTTTTGAGAAGTGTCTGTTCATGTCCTTCGCCCACTTTTTGATGGGGTTGTTTGTTTTTTTCTTGTAAATTTGTTTGAGTTCATTGTAGATTCTGGATATTAGCCCTTTGTCAGATGAGTAGGTTGCGAAAATTTTCTCCTATTTTGTAGGTTGCCTGTTCACTCTGATGGTAGTTTCTTTTGCTGTGCAGAAGCTCTTTAGTTTAATTAGATCCCATTTGTCCATTTTAGCTCTTGTTGCCATTGCTTTTGGTGTTTTAGACATGAAGTCCTTGCCCATGCCTATGTCCTGAATGGTAATGCCTAGGTTAATTCTTCAAATATTCTTTTTTTATTTTTTTTTATTGATCATTCTTGGGTGTTTCTCGCAGAGGGGGATTTGGCAGGGTCATAGGACAATAGTGGAGGGAAGGTCAGCAGATAAACAAGTGAACAAAGGTCTCTGGTTTTCCTAGGCAGAGGACCCTGCGGCCTTCCGCAGTGTTTGTGTCCCTGGTTACTTGGGTTCAGGGAGTGGTGATGACTCTTATCGAGCATGCTGCCTTCAAGCATCTGTTTAACAAAGCACATCTTGCACCGCCCTTAATCCATTCAACCCTGAGTGGACACAGCACATGTTTCAGAGAGCACAGGGTTGGGGGTAAGGTCATAGATCAACAGGATCCCAAGGCAGAAGAATTTTTCTTAGTACAGAACAAAATGAAAAGTCTCCCATGTCTACTTCTTTCTACACAGACACAGCAACCATCTGATTTCTCAATCTTTTCCCCACCTTTCCCCCTTTTCTATCCCACAAAACCGCCATTGTCATCATGGCCCGTTCTCAATGAGCTGTTGGGTACACCTCCCAGATGGGGTGGTGGCCGGGCAGAGGGGCTCCTCACTTCTCAGTAGGGGCGGCCAGGCAGAGGCGCCCCTCACCTCCCGGACGGGGCAGCTGGCCGGGTGGGGGGCCGGCCCCCCCCCCGGACGGGGCGGCTGGCTGGGCGGGGGGCTGACCCCCCCACCTCCCTCCCAGACGGGGCGGCTGCCGGGCGGAGACGCTCCTCACTTCCCAGACGGGGTGGCTGCCAGGCAGAGGGTCTCCTCACTTCTCAGACGGGGCGGCAGGGCAGAGACACTCCTCACCTCCCAGACGGGGTCGCGGCCGGGCAGAGGTGCTCCTCACATCCCAGAAGGGGTGGCGGGCAGGGGCAGAGGCGCTCCCCACATCTCAGATGATGGGTGGCCGGGCAGAGACGCTCCTCACTTCCTTGATGGGATGGCAGCCAGGAAGAGGCGCTCCTCACTTCCTAGATGGGATGGCGGCCGGGCAGAGACACTCCTCACTTTCCAGACTGGGCAGCCAGGCAGAGGGGCTCCTCACATCCCAGACGATGGGCGGCCAGGCAGAGACGCTCCTCACTTCCCAGACGGGGTGGCGGCCAGGCAGAGGCTGCAATCTTGGCACTTTGGGGGGCCAAGGCAGGCGGCTGGGAGGTGGAGGTTGTAGCGAGCCGAGATCACGCCACTGCACTCCAGCCTGGGCACCATTGAGCACTGAGTGAAGGAGACTCCGTCTGCAATCCCGGCACCTCGGGGGGCCGAGGCTGGCGGATCACTCGCGGTTAGGAGCTGGAGACCTGCCTGGCCAACACAGCGAAACCCCGTCTCCACCAAAAAAATACGAAAACCAGTCAGGCGTGGCGGTGCGCTCCTGCAATCGCAGGCACTCGGCAGGCTGAGGCAGGAGAATCAGGCAGGGAGGTTGCAGTGAGCCAAGATGGCAGCAGCACAGTCCAGCTTCGGCTCGGCATCAGAGGGAGACCGTGGAAAGAGAGGGAGAGGGAGACTGTGGAAAGAGAGGGAGAGGGAGACCGTGGAAAGAGAGGGAGAGGGAGACCGTGGAAAGAGAGGAAGAGGGAGACCGTGGAAAGACAGGGAGAGGGAGACCGTGGAAAGACAGGGAGAGGGAGACCGTGGAAAGACAGGGAGAGGGAGAGGGAGAGCTCTTCAAATATTCTTTATGCCTCTTTCTATCTCTTCTGTTTCTTACATTCTCATTATGCCTAGATTGACATGTTTAATGGTGCCTCACAAGTCTCCTAGGCTCTGTTCATTTCTTTCTTTCTTTCTGTCTTTCTTTCTACCTTCCTTCCTTCCTTTCCTTCCTTCCTTCTCTCTTTCTCCCTTTCTATCTTTTTGGAGAAAGGGTCTCACTCTGTCACCCAGGCTACAGTACAGTGGCATGATCATGGCTCACTGCAGCAGGAGGCTCAAGTAATCCTCCTGCATCAGCCTCTCATCTCTACAAAAAATATAAAAATTAGCTGGGTGTGGTGTCATGCACCTGTAGTCCCAGCTACTCTGGAGACTGAGGTGGAGGATTGCTTGAGCTGGAGAGGCAGAGGTTGCAGTGAGCTGAGATCACATCACTGCACTCCAGCCTGGGCAACAGAGTGAGACCCTATCTAGAAAAAAAATTAAATAAAAAGAAAACTAGACACCATACATTTATTTATATATATATATGTATTTATATTTTGAGATGGAGTCTCACTCTTGTTGCCCAGGCTGGAGTGCAATGGCACAATCTTGGCTCACTGCAACCTCCACCTCCCAGGTTCAAGTGATTCTCCTGCCTCAGCCTCCTGAGTAGCTGGGATTACAGGTGCCTGCCACCATGCCTGGCTAATTTTTATATTTTTATTTTTTGTATTTTGTATTTTTTAAATTATTATTATTATTATTAGAGACACAGTCTCCCTCTATCACCCAGGCTGGAGTGCAGTGGTGCAATCTTGACTCACTGCAACCTCCACTTCCCAGGTTCAGGTGATTCTTCTGCTCCAGCCTCCCAAGTAGCTGGGATTACAGGCGCTTGCCATGACACCTGGCTAATTTTGCATTTTTAGTAGAGACAGGGTTTCACCGTGTTGCCCAGGCTGGTCTCTAACTCCTGACCTCTGGTGATCCACCTGCCTTGGCCTCCCAAAGTGCTGGGATTACAGGTGTGAACCACTGTGCCTGGCCGACACCTTTAATATTATGATATGACTAAAAAGGAAGGAAAGGGCGCCAGGTGTGGTGGCTCACACCTGTAATCTCAGCACTTTGGGAGGCCAAGGCGGGCAGACCACCTGATGTCAGGAGTTCGAGACCAGCCTGGACAACATGGTGAAACCCTGCCTCTACTAAAAATTAAAAAATTACCTGGGCATGGTGGTGGGTGCCTGTAACCCCAGCTACTTGGAAGGCTGAGGCAGGAGAATCGCTTGAACCCGGGAGGTAGAGAAAGAAAGAAAGAAAGAGAGGGAAAAAGAAAGAGAGAGAGAGAAAGAAAGAAGAGAGAGAGAAAGAAAGAAGGAAGGAAAGAAAGGCAGGCAAAGCAAAATTACTCTCTAGGTGTTTGCAGATTGGCTCTGTGTTGGGAGAACTTTTTCAATGCCTAACCTGGCCATTTACAACTCTTTCTTAGCCTTCACTTTCTGTTTCTTCTGAGCCTAAAGACCATTTGGAGGTGAATGCTTGTGCTCTTCTCAGGTCTTTTCTGGGCATGCATCCTGCCTTGGGCATGTGTGTGGATTTCTAGGTTCCCCAGTATACAGAGGAGATTTTCCAGACCTCCTATTTCCCCAAAATCTCACTCTCCAGCTTTTCCCCCCAGGCTTTCTTCATGTCTTCTTTGCCCCAATGTTACGTTTTGCCCTGGGTGGCAGCAGCTAGTTCATTTATCTTTCAGTTTTCAAAGAATGCCCTCTGCACAGCTGCTCCACCCTGATAGATTTCTGAGTTAGGCAAAACAAAGAGAAGCCTCTTATATCAATCCTTCAGGGAAACCCATCAGGTGAAAACAGATAAACACAACTTCTTGGGAACAAAGTCCACTCTGTTCCCTCTGGAACCAGTTATCAGGAACGCCAGCCGCCATCTTCCATGCCAAGGAGGGGTGTGGGGAAAGGCTCGTTTAAAACATCTCGAGGGGCCGGGCACAGTGGCTCACGCCTGTAATCCCAGCATTCTGGGAAGCCGAGGTGGGAGGATCACGAGGTTAGGAGATCGAGACCATCCTGGCTAACATGGTGAAACCCCATCTCTACTAAAAATACAAAAAGTTAGCCAGGCGTGGTGGCACGCACCTGTAGGCCACGCTACTCAGGAGGCTGAGGCAGGAGAATCACTTGAACCTGGGAGGCGGAGGCTGCAGTGAGCCGAGATCACGCCACTGCACTCCAGCCTGGGCGACAGAGCAAGACTCTGTCTCACAAACAAAACAAAACAAAACAAAACAAAACAAAACAAAACAAAACACAAAATAACACCTTGACACTCTCCTTCCCTTACAGTAGCTTTTCTGGTTAAGCATTTGCTTGGTTGCGGTAAACCTTTGACTATATTTTAGAGTTTGATAAGGTTGATTCTGACAATTCTTGATAGTTTTTTTGGGTGTCTCTGGGGAGGGGTGGCCTCCAGAGGTTCCCCCTCCACCATTTTTACTAGTGTCACTGTTAGTGATGTTTTGTAAAGATCTTGCATGTCTTTTGTTAGATATCGTTCTGGGTTAGATACTGTGTTAGATATTTTTCTTGGTATTTGATGCAATTGTAATTATTATTTTTTTCTTTTTAAGAGACAGTGTCTTGTTCTGTCACCCAGGCTGGAATGAAAAAGTGCGATCATAGCTCGCTACAGCCCAAACTCCTGGGCTCAAGTGATCCTCCTGCCTCAGCCTCCTGAGTAGCTGGGACCACAGGTACGTGCCATCATGCCTGACTAATTTTATTAATTTTTTGTAGAGATGAGATCTCACTATGTTGCTCAGGCTGGTCTTGAACTCCTGGCTTCAAGCAAACCTCCTGCTTCAGCCTCCAAAGCACTGGCATTATAAGCATCAGCCACTGTGCCTGGATTGTATTTTTTAAAAAATCTCATTTTCTAATTGACAGTTACTGGCATGTAAAAAGGTACTTGTAAAAAATATTGATGAGGCTGGGCGCAGTGGCTCACGCCTGTAATCCCAGCACTTTGGGAGGCTGAGGCGGGTGGATCACCTGAGGTCAGGAGTTCGAGACCAGCCTTGCCAACATGGCAAAACCCCATCTCTACTAAAAATACAAAAATTAGCCGGGCATCGTGGCAAGTGCCTGTAATTCCAGCTACTTGGGAGGCTGAGACAGGAGAATCACTTGAACCCAGGAGGTGGAGGCTGCAGTGAGCCGAGATCACACCACTGAACTCCAGCCTGGGCAACAAGAGCAAAATTCTGTCTCAAAAAAAAAAATTAAAAATTAAAAAATTGTTTTAAAGATTATGCTAAATTTACTTCTTAATTTTAACAGTTTTTGTGAACTCTTTTGGATTTTCTATGTCGTCTATGAATGATGTCAGTTTTATTTTTTCCTTTCTAATCTGTATATCTTATACCTTATTAGGTTGCTGTTAAGTGCCATTGATATGCTGAATGAAGAAAATGACAGATTGAAGCTAACCAGCCACAAACTCAGGAAAGATGTGACAGCCAGAATGCCACTACGACAGGATTTTTTTTTTTAGATGGGCTCTCACTATGTTGTCCAGGCTGGTGTTTAATTCCTGGGCTCAAGTGATCCTCCTGCCTCAGCCTCTGAAGCAGCTGGGACTACAGGTATGAGTCACTGCACCTGGCCCTATCAAAGCACTGTTAAAGACTGGACTATGTAAGCATTTCTCCTTTGCAAGGAGCGTGATGTTGAGCTTTTTCAGTAGAGGGCACAGGAGGGATACTGTAGAAGGAAGGGAGCTTCTCTTCCTAGTTCCAGTGTGCTGCATTTTGCTTTTATTGCTCCTCTTCCATTGTCTAACAGCAATGAGTGTATGCCGATGGTGGGGACTATCTACGAGTGCTCTGTTCAAGCTGTGTGCACCAAGAATGGGAATGCAGCCCCTCAGCTGCACACTATAAATAAGCTACCATGAGGCCCCAGTGTGGGCCCAGAGACCACCTTGCTGCTGCCAATGCAGATTTAGCACACTCCAGACCGCACAGCCGTAGTGGTGCCCTCACTGTCTCTGCATGCCTGTCCACTGGCCTCAGCTCACCTCGCAACCCTCCTGATGTGGACACCACGTGCTCCAAGCAGCCAAGCTCTCCATGCAGGCCTGTCCATCAGCCTCATTCCCCTGGCACCCTGGGGGTTGTTTCCTGCTTGCCTGCTGATTGCTGACTAGCTCTGGCCTGGGCATGTGGCAGACCTTTCCGCCATCCAGTGGACTGCAGCCGCAGCTTCTCCAATAAGGTCTCAACCAGGGCCTTGGTAGTATTCTCCCTCCACTCCACAATACCCTTTAGAGCTTTTTTCACATCTTTATAGTTACCATCCTGTCATCATTTAGTAATTCTTTATATTAAGCCACTCTGTTTAAGTTACTGGATGGTTTCTGTCTACTAATTGGACACAGACTGATAAAAAATCGGTCCTGGCCGGGTGCGGTGGCTCACACCTGTAATCCCAGCACTTTGGGAGGCCGAGGTGGGTGGATCACTGGAGGTCAGGAGTTCGACACTAGCCTGACCAACATGGCGAAACCCCATCTCTACTAAAAATATAAAAATTAGCAGGGCGTGGTGGCACACACCTGTAATCCCAGCTACTTGGGAGGCTGAGGCAGGAGAATCACTGGAACCTGGGAGGCGGAGGTTGCAGTGAGCCCAGATCGTGCCATTGCACTCTAGGCTGGGTGACAAAAAGCAAAAACTTCATAAAAAAAAAAAAAATTCAGTCCCAGGAGTGGTCCCAGGAATAGACTGATAAACGTGAGATGTGGGCATTGGTTTGTTTGTGTCCTTGGGCTTGAGCACAGTACTAACCTCCTTGTCCATGAGAAATGGGCGTGCAATGGCGTCACAACTAGTCAAGCCATCATCTGTGGTTGATTTTTATAGAGTGCCAACGGAAGGAAGCACATGCCTCAGGAGCCCATATGGCTGCTACCCTGCACCATTATGACAGTAATAATGACTATAAGCTCTAAGGTGTGGGACAGTTCTTTCCAGCGTACTTGGGAGCTCATAAGAGAAAAAATGACAAGCTCCTGTCTGTTACCTTTCAGTTCAAGTCTTGAAGTGAGAACCAGAAAGCTTCCATGATGACCCTAAAAAGAACCTTGCCGGGAACGTGACTCATGCCTATAATCCCAGCAACTCGGGAGGCTGAGGCAGGAGCATTGCTTGAGGCCAGGAGTTTAAGACCAGCTTGGGCAGCATAGCGAGATCTTGTCTCTAAAAAAAATTATTTTTAGGAATCTTTCTTGTAGATCCAGGGCTGATATTGCTGAAGACCAAAAATAAAATTTAATTGTGCAGGTTGCTGAATAATAATGACATTTCAGTTCACAGTCTTGCCAAGTTTTTAATGTGAAAGTTAGGGCACTGATAAGGAAAGAATGGGATCCTGAACCTTGTAATCAAGACATCTCAAATGAACTGAGACAACTCAAATGAATTGAGACATCCAAATGAAGCCCATAGTCTTGAGATCCAAGATTATCAGGGGGTCGTTCTGAGTCCCCTGACCAGCAGAAGTAGGTTGCCCTCTGGTGTCTGAGGACGTTACCTTTGTTCTGCTTGAAATCCTTGTGACAACCTTGCTTGAGGCAGACGCCTTGAATAGGGATGCTCATTCTCCACTAGACCCACCATAGCCATACCCTGTGGCCACCAGACCCACAAAGTCTTAGCATGCTCCAGAGGGACAGGAGGACTTAAGACCCAGGAGGAGACAGCTTAGGCACGAAAAGGATTGCAGGGCCTTGCTAACATATATTAGTAGTAATCTGGTGACTATACATAGGAATGGATTCTGAGGTTGGTAGATCAGAGGGCAAAATATAACACAATATCAGGCCAAATCCTTTTACGTGAGTGTGCTTACTAGAATTCTGAATGTAAAGTATTAGCTTGTGTAGATAAAGGTGAATCTAACTGCTTATTTTGTTGATTGACTGAAACTTGAACTCAAAATTCAAGTTTCATGAGGTCTAATTTAATGAGGTTAAGACGCCAGAGCTTTGCTGGTGTGTCGTGAAAGAAGAAATCCAAGAGCACCGGGAGATGGCAATGTTGGAGTGGATTGATCATGTGTGACTTATTCCCTAACTATATTCTATGTGAAGACCCAAGAAGATACTCCCTTTACCAAGGCATTAAAAAATACATTTGTCAGGGGAGCACCTGTGTCTTTGACAAGTTCTGTGGTTATTCCCTTTGTTAGGCCAGGCTGTAGGTGGTTCCAACTTTAAGATGGGCCCCCTAATTTCAGTGGGGATGACGGTATTGCATTGTAGCAGAGGCCAAGTTGAAGCACTTAACCAACAAAGACAAGGTGGGCACATCAACCATAAAGGGCATCAGAAATGTTTCAGCAATCAAAACACTTTGGCCTACAGAGATCTTAACTGATCTATATAATAGGAAAACTCTATGTCCAGCAGCCAAATACCTGATTTGAGTCAGGCATTGATTTGAGTCATAACAATGGTGAATGGTGGCCTCTCACTCAGTTTCCAGGCTTAAGTTGGTTCACTGATTCAGAGTGAAGTTGGTTCACTGATTCAGAACCTTTGCTTGAATAGGAGGCTAGGTTCCCTTGAAGATCTTGCAGGACCTCGTAACACTGCTATAAGAAAACACCTGAAGCCAGGCGCAGTGGCTCATGCCTATAATCCCAGCACTTTGTGAGGCCAAGGCAGGTGGATCACGATTTCAGGAGATCGAGACCATCCTGGCCAACATGGTGAAACCCCGTCTCTACTAAAATACAAAAATTAGCTGGGTGTGGTGGCATGCACCTGTAATCCCAGCTACTCAGGAGGCTGAGGCAGAAGGTCGCTTGAACCCGGGAGGCAGAGGTTGCAATGAGCCGAGATCGCACCACTGCACTCCAGCCTGGGTGAGAGAGCGAGATTCTGCCTCAAAAAGAAAGAAAGAAAGAAAGAAGGAAGGAGAGAAAGAAAGAAAGAAAGAAAGAAAGAAAGAAAGAAAGAAAGAAAGAAAGAAAGAAAGAAAGAAAGAAAGAAAGAAAGAAAGAGAAAGAAAGAAAGAAGGAAAAGAAAGAAAGAAGGAAAAGAAAGAAAAGAAAGAAAAGAAAGAAAGAAAAAGAAAAAGAAAGAAAGAAAAAGGAAAAAAAAAGAAAGGGAGGGAGGGAACACCTTCATCTTCTAAGCATTCTGGCTGGGCATAGTGGCTCACACCTGTAATCCCAGCATTTTGGGAGGCTGAGGCGGGAGGATCACTTGAACTCAGGAGTTCGGGACCAGCCTGGGCAAAATAGTGAGACCTCATCTCTACAAAAAATAAACAAAAAATTAGCAGGTGTGGTGGTGTGTGCCTGTAGTCCCAGCTACTTGAGAGCTGAGGTAGGAGGATAGCTTGACTGTAGGAGGTCGAGGTTGCAGTGAGCCGAGATTGCACCACTGCACTCCAGCCTGGGGAACAGAACAAGACCTTGTCTCAAAAACAAAACAAAACAAAACAAAGAACACCAACAACTACATAAAACATTTTCCAAGCATTCCCTAAAGGAATCTGCAGGCATTTCCTAGAGTGACTATGCCTTGCAAAAAAGGAAATACCCAGACCTTTTGGGGATTATTGGACACTGGCTCTGCATTAATGCCAATTCTGGGGATTCAAAATGCTATTCCAAGTAGGGATATATGGGAGCCAGCACAGTGGCTCACACCTGTAATCCCAGTGACTCAGAAGGCTGAGGCAGGAGATTCCTTGAGGTCAGGAGTTTGGGACTAGCCTGAGCAACATAGCAAAATCCCCAACTCTAAAAAAATTTAAGAACAGCTCCAGTGATGGCGCAAGCCTGTTGTCCCAGCTACTCAAGTGGCTGAGGTGAGAGGATTGCTTGAGTCCAGGAGATCAAGGCTGCAGTGAGCTATGATCGCACCACTGCACTTCATCCTGGGAGACAGAGTGAGATCCTGATTCTTAAAAACAAACAAACAAACAATAAAACAAATAGGGGTTATGGTGGTCAAGTGATGGATGGACTCTCAATTCCAGTCTGACTCAGAACAGGCAGGCCCGGTTGGGCCGTGAACTCACCATGTGGTTATTTCCCAGGTTCCTGAATGTGAAATTATAATAGACATATTTGCTAACAGCTCTGATCCACGGGATCGTGTGTGTGTGTGTGTGTGTGTTTGTGTGTGTGTGTCTGAGACAGAGTCTTGCTCTATCGCCCAGGCTGGAGTGCAGTGGCGCGATCTCGGCTCACTGCAACCTCTGCCTCCCAGGTTCAAGCAATTCTCCTGCCTCAGCCTCCCAAGTAGCTGGGATTTCAGGCGCCCGCCACCACGCCTGGCTAATTTTTTGTATTTTTAGTGGAGATGGGGTTTCACCATGTTGGCCAGGCTGGTCTCAAGCTCCTGACCTTGTGATCTGCCCACCTCGACCTCCCAAAGTGCTGGGATTACAGGCGTGAGCCACTGCTCCCACCCTAATAATCCTTTTGTTTGGTTAGCTCTTTGTCTACTATATCTTTTTCCATCCATTTATTTTCAAGTTTTCTGAAAATAGCTTCTTTGTTTTAAATGTGATCTAGTAAATAGCACATAGCTTGTTATTTAAAAATCATTCAACCCACTAATCCTTGGAATGATGGGAAAATTATACTTATTGGTGACTATTTGGATTTATTTATTTATTTATTTATTTATTTTTGAAACAGAGTCTTGCTCTGTCACCCAGGCTGGAGTGCTATGGCACGATCTTGGCTCACTGCAACCTCCGCCTCCTGGGTTCAAGCAATTCTCCTGCCTCAGCCTCCCGAGTAGCTGGGATTACAGGCTCCCGCCACCATGTCTGGCTAATTTTTGTATTTTTAGTAGAGACAAGGTTTCACCATGTTGGTCAGGCTGGTCTCAAACTCCTGACCTCATGATAATAATTTGGAATTACTATGTTTTATTTTTTTCCCTTATTTTCTCTCTACTGGTTTGAAGTTAACTTTCTGTTTCTATTCTCTTGGTAAATATCTTTTATATTTTATTTTATTATTATTATTATTATTTTTTGAGACAGAGTCTCCCTCTGTTGCCAGGCTGGAGGGCACTGGCATGATCTCAGCTCACTGCAACCTCCGCCTCCCAGGTTCAAGCTATTCCCCTGCCTCAGCCTCCCGAGTAGCTGGGACTACAGGTGTGCACCACTATGCCCAGATGATTTTTTTTTTTTTTTGTATTTTAGTAGAGACGGGGTTTCACCATGTTGGCCAGGATGATCTCGATCTCCTGACCTTGTGATCTGCCCGCCTCGGCCTCCCAAAGTGCTGGGATTACAGGCATGAGCCACTGCGCCTGACCTATCTTTAATATTTTAATATGCACACTTGACCAAGTGTAAAGTTGATCAACTTCAGTGCCTTCTTTCAGAAGAGTAAAGGGCCTCTGAACGCTACCACGCTGACCACCTCCCTTCCATCTGGTGTCCAGCGTTATCGCTGTATCTTATTTTTTATGCCCCAGATTGATGATATTATTATTCTTGCTTTGTACAGTCAGCTCCTCTTTAAACGTACTCAAGTTCTTACTGATTTATTCGTAGACTCCTCTCTCCTGCATCTTAACGTTCAGCTTTCTTCATCTTGAAATACATCTCTTAGAAATCCTTCACTGAGGCTGTGTAGGTGATAAACTGTTTTCTTTGAATAAAAATGACTCGACTTCACCTTCATTTAAAACATTTTTTAACTTGCTTTATATTTTAAAAATCCAGAATTTTAGATGACTTGATATTCCAACCTTAAGTATAATTTGTCTATATTAAAAAAGAACTTTTTCTTAGTCAAATAAACATAAACACATCTAACAAAATAAACAATTTCTTAGTATCATCTAATATCCATTCCATATTCAAAGATTCCCAATTATCCCAATAGTGTTTGCTTTTTCAGTTCAGATCCAATCCAGAACCACATACTGTCAGTTTATTTAGTATGCCTGTTAGTCTCTTTTAGTCTTGGACAGCCCTTTTTTCATAGTGCTCACTGGCTGAAGAGACAGGGTAGGCTGTTCTACAGAGTTTCCCACCTCCGGGGTCCGACTGCTTCCTGTGATAGTGGTTAGCACATTCCTCTTTCCTCTATATTTCCTATAAATTGTAAATTAGATCCAAAGTTTTCATTGGATTCATATCAAACATTATTGGCTGATCACATCATAGGTGGTGCAATATTCACATCAGAATAGTTCTTCTTGAGACAGAGTCTGGCTCTGTCGCCCAGGCTAGAGTGCAGCGGCGCCATCTTGGCTCACTGCAACCTCTGACTCCCGGGCTCAAGAGATCCTCCCAACTCAGCCTCCCTAGTAGCTGGGACTACAGGCGCCTGCCATTGAGAGGTGACAGCGTGCTGGCAGCCCTCACGGCCCTTGCTTGCTCCTCACCTGTAATCCCAGCTACGCGGGAGGCTGAGGCAGAAGAATCGCTTGAACCTGGGAGGCGGAAGTTGCGGTGAGCCAAGATCGCACCATTGTACTCCAGCCTGGGCAACAACAGTGAAACTCTGTCTAAAAAAAAAAAAAGCAAGAGACAAGGAAGAATGTTGGAAAATGCATGCTGGGGATAAAGGGCCATACACATACAACCTCTAGGCGGCACTCATTGGGACCACTTGGAAGATGCCTCTGTATATGCAGGAGAATTTTTCTAAGCTATAAACTTAAAGAGCAGAATTACTGAGTAGAAGGAGATTACATCTTCAACTTTACCACTTAGTCTCAAATTGCTCTCTAATTAGCCCATTTACACCTCCTCCAGTAGCATGTAAGGCATTTCTTTTCCCCAACACTTGGTATTTTCAGATTTTTTTACTTTAGCCAATATAATTATGTGAAACAATATCTCATTATGGTTTTAAAAAAATTATTTCACACGTGATTGATGGCAGTGGCTGCTGCCATCATGCCGGCTGCAGCGAGGAGGTCTGGCTGGGGCTGCCCACTCCATGAAGCCAGTGGGTGCCCTGCCCCTTCTGACCTGGGGCGCGAGCTTCCCTGGTGCCACTGCAGCCACCGAAACCCTGGCTGTGGACCTCGGCCTCCTGCTCTACGGAGCCCAAACTGTGGCTGTGGATCCCAGCCTCTCTGTGCTCTTGGAGGGGGCAAGAGCAGGCAGGATCAGCCCTTCGGGTTGCAGCTGCAGCCTCCTGACCCCCAGCTGCAGACCTGGGCCTCCTGCTCCATGGAACAGGCAGGAGCTGGGGACAATCAGGAAACCTGCCCCTTCCAAATTGGCAGGGTGGGAGCTCCCTGGTTGCAGCTGCAGCTGCCCTCCCAGGCGCAGGACCTGGGCATCTCTGCAGCCCGCCCCACCCCACTCAGCCTTCCCACTGCCTGGCCTCTCTCCTCTCCCCGGCAGCTCCAGTGGGAACCGGGTTGGGGCCAGTCCTAGGGCTTTGAATGGCAGTGGGAGGCACAGCCCTGGGTGGAAGGGGGTCCTCAGTAAGGCCCCACTTTCAGGCCAGGGAGGGCCTGAAGGCTGGGGGCCAGTCATTCAGTTCTGCCTACCAGAGTGAGCACTTGTGGTGCCTCCTCCAGGACCACCCATGGCTGCCCATGACCCACTGGCAGGCACTTTCTCCCCTCTCATTCCATAAAAGCCCTAGACTCAGCCAGAGCAGGGCAGAGGGCAGAGGACAGAGAGACGACAGGATGACCAGCTGCAGAGAGGAGCTACCCTCTCTGCTGAGACCTTCAGAGGCCTGTGGAGATGTCTGAATGACCTGTCTATGGACAGGAGCCACTCTGTCTAGGGCCTCCTCTCTGCTGAGGGCAGCAGATGACCATGGGCAGAGAGGAGCTACCCACTCCAGGGCCTTCTCTGCTGAGAGCTGAACACTCGACAGAACAACCTGTCTACAGAGAGGAGCTACCCACTGTGGGTCTCCTCTGACCTGTTCTAACACTAAATAAAGGTCCTCTTCATCTTCTTCACCCTTTGCTTCTCTGTGTACCTGGACACAGGACAAGAACATGGGCAAAGTCTCCAAAGACACCACCAGCCACAAAGGTTTCCGGGAAGAAAATCGACACCCCAAAGATGCTGTAACATTGTGACGTTTCACCTAATATTCTTGAGTGTTTGTCTTATGAAATTAAAGACATCTACTTAACCACAATATTATATCACTAAAAATAACAGTAATTCCTTAAACTATCTAATATAGTCTATATTCACATTCCTCCAGCTGTCCAAAAAGTTTGTAAGGATTTGGGTAAATCTAAACCAGAGTTGACTGTATACTGGTTATTAGTTCAAGTCACCTTCCATGTCAAAGGATGGATTAGTTGGGTTTTATGGTCTATGTTGCCAGATACTTTCTCTAAGAACTATGAAGACTGTATTCCCTTGTCTTCTAATTTCTATAGCAGCTGTTGAGAAGTTTGTCACCTGTCCAGGCATTGTTGCTTTGTAGGAAATGTGTTTGCTTTCTTGTTTTTTTTTTTTTTTTTTTTTTTTGAGATGGAGTCTCGCTCTGTCGCCCAGGCTGGAGTGCAGTGGCACAATCTCTGCTCACTGCAACCTCCGCCTGCCAGGTTCAAGTGATTCTTCTGCCTCAGCCTCCCAAGTAGCTGGGACTACAGGCGTACGCCACTGCTCCCAGCTAATTCTTGTATTTTTAGTAGTATTTTCACCATGTTGGCCAGGCTTGTCTTGAACTCCTGACTGCCTTGGCCTCCAAAAGTGCCGGGATTACAGGCGTGAGCCACAGAACCCATCCTGCTTTCTTATTTTTTAACCCCATCTCCATCTTTGAGTCCTTCAGTTTCTCTATGTGCCCAGGTGATAATCTAGTGTATCTTGGGACACATTTCCTGAAAGAGAATTATTGTCCAAAGTCAGTTCTGGAGGATGATCAGCTCTGATCTCTTCTTTTTATCTCCTTATATGTTCTAAGAGCCTAGAATAGTGCCTGGCACACATTAGATGCTTCTAAACAGCTGAATGATTTTGTAAATGAGCATTTTCTCCACTCATCTTCTCTCTATTCTCTCCTGCTCAAACGTTTTTCAGATATTTATTGGAATATCTCATGCTATCCACCATGCCTCTTCATCTCTTTCACACATTTTTCATCTCTGTATATTTCTATGCTACATTTTAGATAATTTTGTCAGATTTATCTTCTAGCATCCATCGCTGTCCTCAGTGACTTCTGTTCTTTTTTAAGAGACAGGAAGGGTCTCGCTGTGTAACCTAGGATGGAGTGCAGTGGCACAATCATGGCCCACCACAGTCTTGACCTCCCATGCTCAAGTGATCCTCCCACCTCAGCCTCCCAAGTAGCTGCCACTATAAGCATATGCCAGCACACCCACCTAATTTTAAAATTATCTGTAGAAACAAGGTATCGCTACATTACCCAGACTGGTCTCAAACTCCTGGGCTCAAGTGATCCTCCTGCCTCGGCCTCCCAAAGTGCTGGGATTACAGGAGTAAGCCACTGCACCTAGCCTCTCTGCTACTTCTAATCATCTGCTTAACCCATTCACTGTTTATAATAATAATTTTGAAAATGATACCTAATTTTCCAATAGCATTCTGTTTATTTCTCTTTTGATTCTTTGTTTTATAACCTCAATAATTTTTAACATACTTACAGGCTAAATCTTGTAATTTCATTATCTGAAGTGCTTATGGGTCTAATCCTGCACTGTTTGTGGTGTAAACAAAGTCTAATTTGTGGTGGATTATTTCTTTGTTAATTTTCTAGTTTTTAATTATAAGTTCATATTCATGGTCTTGAGAAAGACCTTCATAGACTATTATATAGATTAGATTAATTAATTCATATGAAAATGTTAGGTTCGGGGGAAATGAAGTCACACTGGAAAGAATTTACAGGCACGGTGGCTCATGCCTGTAATCCCAGCCACTCAGGAGGCTGAATAGTAGGAGGATTACTCGAGGCCAGGAGTTCGAGACAAACCCGGGCAACAAGCAAGACCCCATCTCTACAAAAATGAGAAATAAAAAATTAGCCTGGTGTAGTGGCACATGTCTGTAGTCCCAGCTACTCAGGAGGCTGAAGTGGGAGGAACGCTTGAGCCCAGGAGGTCAAAGCTGCAGTGAGCTGTGATGGCGCCACTGCACTCCAGCCTGGGCAACAGAGTGAGATCCTGTCTCTACAAAAAAAAAAAAACAAAAAAATTGTCTCTCATATGCCAGGCACTTTACTCATATTATCTTTTACCTTCATAACAACTGCAAGGGGAGTGATAGTCCCATTTCACAGAGCAGAAACTGCAAAAGGGTCATTAATTTATAGCTAATGGAGAAACCCCAGTTAAAACCCAGGTCTGAGTGATTGTAAAGTTCATACTCTTTCAAATGCATCCCATCGTATCTCAGAACTATTATGGGAAAAAACACCATCATTTGGATCTCATAAGTATTTTTTCTCAGTTTTAATTTTAAAGCAGGCCAATTACCCCCATGTATCATAAAATGTGTTAAATAATTAATGGAAAGGGGAAAATAATACATAAAACTATATAAATTGCCTTTAAAGTAGAGAAAGTTTAGTTCTCCATTTTCTTTTATTTTTCCAATTTGGGATTTTGTTTATGTACAAAAAAGGCAATTAACAAGCAGCTTACTTATGAGAAACCCCTAGGGCTTCCAGAATCCAATAAAAATGTATCTGAGCTTTGCATTCCAAATACAACAAAGCAAATCAGTGTAATTTTAATCCTTTAATAAGGAGTTTGCAAATGTAGCCTCAACATAAACAATTTTACAGCAACAAACCAAGAAATACGAAAGCTGATGGGTGGCAATACATTTCAGTAGTCAATCCTCTGTTATCCAGGCCCAGACAGGCTGCCAGATGTGCCCAGCCTGAATGTCAGGTTCTAGGCAGCCCCCACCTCCACCCATAGAACTTTCCCAAGGATCATCTTCCAGGGACCAGCCAGGGATGTTCAGGAATTGCAAACTGTTTTAAATATTATCAGCACAAATTGCATCTGGTATATGGAGTTAGGGGATCTGATTTTAATAAGATAGATTCAATTTACTGTTTTAAACATATGTTATGAATGTGTTTAAAGTACTGCTTTGGGTCTCTTAATCAACTTTCCACAAAATAGTGAGTGTTTGTTCATTATTCGATATAAATTTAACATATGGTCTTCACATCTCAGATTTGGCTTTAGGCTACATTTTATTATATGAACTTAAAAACATTTTTTTGAGACTTCGTCTCACTCTGTCACCCAGACTGAAGTACAGTGGCATGAACACATTTCACTGCAGCCTCAACTTCTTGGACTCAAGGGATCTTCCTGCCTCAGCCTCCCATGCACCACCATGCTCAGCTAATTTTTTTATTTTTATTTTTTGTAGAGACAGGGTCTCATGATGTTGTCCAGGCTGGTCTCAAACTCCTGGCCTCAAGTGATACTCCCACCTCAGCTTCCCAAACTGCTGAGATTAAAGGCATAAGCCACCATGTAGTATGTAACAGACAGTTGTAATATTTGATTTTATTTTTTGAGATGGAGTCTCACTCTGTCATCCAGGCTGGAATGCAGTGGCATAATCTCAGCTTACTGCAAACCTTTCCCTCCCAGATTCAAGTTATTCTCCTGCCTCAGCCTCCCAGGTAGCTGGGATTACAGGCATGCACCACCACACCTGGCTATTTGTGTGTGTGTGTGTGTGTGTGTGTGTCTGTGTGTATTTTTAGTAGAGAAGAGGTTTCACAATGCTGGACAGGCTGGTCTTGAGCTCCTGACCTCAGGTGATCCACCTGCCTTGGCTTCCCAAAGTGCTGGTGAGAGGTGACATCGTGCTGGCAGCCCTCGCTCGCTCTTGGTGTCTGCTCGGCCTCGACGCCCACTCTGACCGTGCTTGAAGAGCCCTTCAGCCCGCCGCCGCACTGTGGGAGCCCCTCTCTGGGCTGGCCGAGGTCGGAGCCGGCTCCCTCTGCTTGCAGGAAGATGTGGAGGGAGAGGCGTGGGAGACGATCACGGGCCAGCGCGAGTTCCAGGTGGGTGTGGCCCCACACTCGGAGTGGCCGGCCAGCGCCACTGGCCCTGGGGCAGTGAGGAGCTTAGCACCCAGGCCAGCAGCTGCAGAGGGTGCGCTGGGTCCCCCAGCAGTGCTGGCCCGCCAGCACGGCACTCGAATTCTAGCCCGGCCTCAGCTGCCTCCCTGAGGGGCAGGGTTTGGGACCTGCAACCTGCCATGCCCAAGCCTCCCCAACGAACACTGTCCCCTCCTCCGTGGCACCTGGTCCCATCGCCCACCCAAGAGCTGAGGAGTGTGGGTGCACGGCCGGGACTGGCAGGCAGTTCCGCCTGTGGCCCCCTGCAGGATCCATTAGGTGAAGCCAGCTGGGCTCCTGAGTCTAGTAGGGACTTGGAGAACCTTTATGTCTAGCTAAGGGATTGTAGATACACCAATCAACACTCTGTGTCTAGGTCAAGGTTTGTAAATGCACCAATCAGCACTCTGTGTCTAGCTCAAGGTTTGTAAATGCACCACTCAGCACTCTCTATCTGGCTAAGCTGGTGGGGACTTGGAGAACCTGTATGTCTAGCTAAGGAATTGTAAATACACCAATCAGCACTCTGTGTCTAGCTCAAGGTTTGTAAATACACCAATCAGCACCCTGTGTCTAGCTGAAGGTTTGTAAATGCACCAATCAGTGCTCTGTGTCTAGCTAATCTAGTGGGGACTTGGAGAACTTTTGTGTCTAGCTCAGGGATTGTAAATGCACCAATCAGCTCTCTGTAAAACAGACCAATCAGCTCTCTGTAAAATGGACCAATCAGCAGGATGTGGGTGGGGTCAGATAAGAAAATAAAAGCAGGCTGCCTGAGCCAGCAGTGGCAATCTGCTTGGGTCCTCTTTAATAATGGGGAAGCTTTGTTCTTTTGTGTTTTGCAATAAATCTTGCTGCTGCTCACTCTTTGGGTCTGCACTGCTTTTATGAGCTGTAATACTCAACATGAATGTTTGCAGCTTCACTCCTAAGGCCAGTGACATCATGAACCAATGAACCCACCATGAGAAATGAACAACTTCGGATGCACTGCCTTAAGACCTGTAACACTCACTGAGAAGGTCTGCAGCTTCAGTTTTGAAGCCAGTGAGACCACAAATCCACCAGAGGAAACTCCGAACATGTCCGAACATCAGAAGGAACAAACTCCAAACACCCCATCTTTAAGAACTGTAACACTCATTGCAAGGGTCCATGGCTTCATTCTTGAAGTCAGTGATACCAAAAACCCACCAATTCTGGACACACTGGGATTACAGGTGTGAACCACTGTGTCCAGCCAGATAGTTGTAATATTTAATGTATGTACATGGGGCTGCCACTAGGCCTTAGAGCACCTTCGCACCTTTACACAAATTACAACGTGGTGGTTTTTTTTTTTTTTGGAGATAGGGTCTCATTCTGTCTCCCAGGCTGGACTACAGTGGTGCAATCATGTCTTACTGCTGCCTTGACCTCCCTGGAGTCAAGCAATCCTCTTACCTCAGCCCTCCAAGTAGCTGGCACATACCACCACACCTGGCTAATTTTTTTTAATGTTTTTTGTAGAGACAGGGTCACTATGTTTCCCAGGCTGGTCTTGAACTCCTGGCTTCAAGTGATCCACCTCAGCCTCCCAAAGTGCTGGCATTATAGGCATAAGCTCTGGATCTCTGCAAAAGTTATATTATGCCACAAAACCATACCAGCTCTGCCAGGCAGAACTTTCCAGCATTGTGGCACACACATGTACCCACACTCTCTCTCACTCATGCAGTCTCTGGGTCCTGGGGCACATAGCTGTTGGTGGCCAGAGACTCTATGATATCCCTGCCCCCAGGTGTTAGATTTGGAGTCCCACAGCTGCAGAAATTGGACTTCTAGGGCAGTGACCTGAAGCTTAATTTCCTTGTGTCCCTAGTTATCTTTGACTGTATGCTAGTCATTATATTTGAAAAATTATTTGTGGGAATAATTTAAGGGCCAAGATGAAGGTGATTTCCTCTGCAGAGAATTTGTGTTTGCATCTGCTAGGAGCTTGGGAGCACTGTCAGTCTTGGGCTACCCAAAGTCAAGGCTTGGGGGTTCCCTGGATTATCCAGGCAAATAGAGCCAGGCTGTAATTCTGGCAGGTTGGTCCACTTTTAGTTCACTGGGGAAAAGGGGATGTCCTGATAGGTTTCCCACCTAGGATAGCGCTGGGCTGTGATACAGATCCTTTCATTGAAAGAGGCCATTGGGCTGGATGCAGTGGTTCTCAGCACTTTGGGAGGCCAAAGCAGGAGGATTGCTTGAGGCCAGGAGATCAAGACCAGCCTGGGCAACATAGTGAGGCTTCTCTACAAAAAGAAAAGAAAAGAAGAAAGAGAGAGGAAGAAAGAAAGAGGGAGGGAGGCAGGGAAAAATACATCATCAGCAGAAGCTCAACCCTCCACCCTCCCCTAATGGGTGAAGGTTCCTGGAGAAAGAACAGCTTCTGGACTCCTCTCTCCTTTGCCTACAGAGTGATGCTGTCCCACCTTGTCAATTCTTTACAGAAGATGTTTTCAGTATTTTTTTTTTTTTTTTTTTTGAGACAGAGTCTCACTCTGTTGCCCATGCTGGAGTGCAGTGGTGTGATCTTGGCTCACTGCAACCTCTGCCTCCCGGGTTCAAGCAATTCTCTTGTCTCAGCCTCCCGAGTAGCTGAGATTACAGGTGCCCGCCACCACGCCTGGCTGATTTTTTGAATTTTTAGTAGAGATAAGGCTTCACCATGTTGTCCAGGCTGGTCTCGAACTCCTGACCTCAGGTGATCCACCCGCCTTGGCCTCCCAAAGTGCTGGGAATATAGGCATGAGCCACCATGCCTAGCCTGTTTTCAGTATTTTATTCAACTATTTAGTTGTTTTCAGCTGGAGGGTTGCTTGAGAGAGTTATACTCCTATTACCAGAAAAAGGAAGTCCTGTTGTTTTCATTTAATTTATCTGATTAGTGGTGAATCCTAGTGTCTTTTCTTATATTGGTAACAGTTCAAGCTTCCTCTTCTGTGAAATGACTACTCATTCCCTGTGACCTTTACTCTTACAGGCTCCTGGCTTTCTCTTGTTGATTTGCGGACATTCCTTAAATACTCTAGATATTAATTATGTGTTAGTTTTACACGTTATATCTTTTCCTAGTTTGTTATTCATCCAATACCTTTATGGTGTCTTATACTTAACAGGAATTCTTAATTGTGCTGCAGACAAGTTCAACATATTGTTCTCTAAAAAGGTTTGCAATTTGTCGATGTCTTCCTTAATAATTGTCATTCAGACAAAGCCAGTTTTTCCAGTGTCATTTGACCCGCATAAAGTAGAGGGACTCTGGTCTCCCTCTTTTGTTCACTGAGTCTGTATTTGCAGTCTAAGTCTGCAGAGGTGGTGACCTTATCATACTGCTGCTTCATTCATTAGCTTGCAATAAAAACCACAAGTCCCTCACATGTATTGCTGTTAAATCATCTACCCCCTCATCGTGTGCTTATGAAGCTAAGTTTTAGACAGAAAGGCAAAATACAGATCTCTATTATTCTTTATCTTCGTTCAGCCCACCATTCCAGGCTGCTAAGTTATTTTTGGACCCTGATTCTGTCATCCAGTACTTTGGCTGCCCCAGTTTTTCGCCACCTGAAACTTTGATAAATATGTCATCCATTTCCATGTCCAAGTAGCTGAGAAAAATGCTGAACATAAGACGACTAAGGCTGAAGCCCTGGCCCATGCCCCCAGAGTCCTCTTTCAGGCAGATATTGATTAATTAATGATAGCATTCCTCCAAAATGTATTGAGGAGCATCTAAATGGCTGGCCCTAGGCTAAGTGCTGGAAATACAAGGTAGCGAATGAAAGAATTCTCCACTCTTGAAGGGTTCACATTCTAGTGGAGGGGACAGAGGCAATTATATATATGTGATATAGGCCAGGCGATATGGCTCACACCTGTAATCCCAGCACTTTGGGAGGCTAAGGCGGGTGGATCACTTGAGTTCAGGCGTTCAAGACCAGCCTGGCCAACATGGTGAAACCCCGTCTCTACTAAAAATATAAAAATTAGCAAGGTGTGGTGGCACGCATCTGTAATGCCAGCTACTTGGGAGGCTGAGGCAGGAGAATCACTTGAACCTGGGAGGTGGAAGTTGCAGTGAGCCGAGATCTCGCCACTGCACTCTAGCCTGGGCAACAGAACAGGACTCTGTCCCCCATAAAAAAATTATACATAAGATATAAATTACAACTTACACTTGTGAGTGCTTTTTTTACAAACCACTCTTTCATGGATTCTCTCTCTCTCTTTTTTTTTTTTTTTTTTGAGACAAAGTCTTACTCTGTTGCCCAGGCTGGAGTGCAATGGCACGATCTCAGCTCACTGCAACCTCTGCCTCCCAGGTTCCAGTGATTCTCCCACCTCAGCCTCCCGAGTAACTGGGACTACGGGTGTGCACCACCATGCCTGAATAATTTTTTTGTATTTTTAATAGAGATATGGTTTCATGATGTTGGTCAGCCTGGTCTCGAATTCCTGACCTCAAGTGATGGAAGAGCGTTTTTTTGTTTGCGTGTTTGTTTGTTTTTAGAAACAGGGTTTTACTATATTGCCCAGACTGGTCTCAAACTGCTGGGTTCAAGTGATCCTCCCACCTCAGCCTCCCAAAGTGCTGGATTGCAGGCATTAGTCACCACACCTAGCATGAATCATTATTTGCTCAAATAAACTCTGCTAAATTTTATTGACTAAGGTTCTTCTTTAAATAATAAGTAGTAAGGGTACATGCATTTTATAAAAATTTTCCTTTTAGTTATCAATTATATGTATGTGTGCTGGCTTAGAATCTAAAATATCTTTCCTTTTTTTTTTTGAGACAGAGTCTCACTCTGTCACCCACACTGGAGTGCAGTGGCGCGATCTTGGCTCACTGCAATCTCTGTCTCCCAGGTTCAAGCAATTCTCCTGCCTCAGCCTCCTGAATAGCTGGGATTACAGGCGTTCAACACCACGCCCAGTTAGTTTTTGTATTTTTAGGAGAGATGGGTTTTCGCCATGTTGGCCAGGCTGGTCTTGAACTCCTGACCCCAGGTGATCTGCCTGCTTCGGCCTCCCAAAGTGCTGGGATTACAGACGTGAGCCACTGGGCCCTGTCTAAAATATATTTCTTACTGTGGGTCCTAGTCAAAAAAGTTTGAAAGCAGGCCCAGTTAGTTTTTGTATTTTTAGGAGAGATGGGTTTTCGCCATGTTGGCCAGGCTGGTCTTGAACTCCTGACCCCAGGTGATCTGCCTGCTTCGGCCTCCCAAAGTGCTGGGATTACAGACGTGAGCCACTGGGCCCTGTCTAAAATATATTTCTTACTGTGGGTCCTAGTCAAAAAAGTTTGAAAGCAGGCCAGGCACGGCTCACGCCTGTAATCCCAGCACTTTGGGAGGCCCAAGGTGGGTGGATTACCTGAGGTCAGGAGTTCAGGACCAGCCTGACCAACATGGTGAAACCCCATCTTTACTAAGTACAAAAAATTAGCTGGGTGTGGTGGCACATGCCTGTAATCCCAGTTATTTAGGAGGCTGAGGCAGGAGAATCGCCTGAACCCGGGAGGCGGAGGGTGCAGTGAGCCGAGATTGCACCATTGCACTCCAGCCTAGGCAACAGGAGCAAAATCTGTCTCAAAAACAAACAAAGAAACAAAGTTTGAAATTAACCGACATAGTGACTAAATTCGTACCCTTTTGAGTCAGCTGGAACTGGGCTCAGCTATGTGGCTTCGGGCAAGTAACTTAACTTCTTTTTTTTTGAGACAGAGTTTCGCTCTTGTTGCCCAGGCTGGAGTGCAAGGGCGCGACCTCGGCTCACCACAACCTCCGCTTCCGGGGTTCAAGTGATTCTCCTGCCTCAGCCTCCCGAGTAGCTGGGATTACAGGCATGTGCCACCATGCTTGGCTAATTTTTCTATTTTTAGTAGTGACGGGGTTTCTCCATGTTGGTCAGGCTAGTCTCAAACTCCCGACCTCAGGTGATCTGCCCGTCTCGGCCTCCCAAAGTGCTGGGATTACAGGTGTGGTAACAACTTCTCTGAGAGAATTTCCTCACCAATAAAACAAGATTGTAATATCCGTCTTCTTAGATTGTTATATGAGGATTAAATAAGTGCAAATTGCTTAGTTCGGCATCGGGAATGTAATATGTTCAGAAGATGTGGTTATTATTTTCTAGCTTTAAAGATACGCACACATGGCCTTGTTTCTTTCTCATTCCCAGCTCTATTAATTTCACTTCCTACTTTCTATTTTCAGCCATTTAGAGAAGCAAGTCTGCGACTCTCTAGCAATCCTGGATTTTATGGAAATTATCTCTCCCATCTCAGAGGGTTTCAAGGCCCATAAACCTGCTCCTCCCACAGCTTGCTGTCTGCAGTTCGGGGGCGGATGAACCACTCTGTGTCCCAGCCCACTCTCCGCTGTTGAGGATCAGCGTCCCGGGATCTTTGGTAATAGAGGATGCAGCTGAGGGTTTTGTTTTTAAAACTGGGCTCTCCTTCCTTTTCCTCTGAGGAAAGGAAACTTTTTTCCTGCCTCTCCTCCCAACATTGCAAGCTCTTCCTCGCTTTCTCTCACAGGTCTGCGCTCTCCTGCTAAGCCCAGGACGTTTCCTTCCCTTTTTCCCTGTGCCCCTGTTCCTTGGCCACAGGGTGGAGGTGAGCTCACGCCCCTGCCCCTCCGTTCCCTTCACCTCCATTCTGGCATGTTGCCCCCACTGTTCTCAGACTGGGGTGCTCGAGCAATCTGCCCTCCTGTGTTTTGGGGGCTGTCCAGCTGTAACCCCTTCCCTGGGTTGGGCTGCTTTACACTTGGGCTCCCACCAGGGTCCAGGAAGGGGTGGGGGCTTGGGGGTGGAGACTATGGACCCCACCTCCTCCTGGGAATGGGCACCTGGATGGCTGCTTTATGGCCATGTGAAAGCAGAGCAGGCATCACTCATTCCATCCTCATTCATTCCTTCACTCACAACAAGTGCTGCAGATACCCAAGATGACTAAGAAATGGCCCCTGCTTTCAAAAAGCTCAGTCTAGTCCCATGATGTCCTTAATCACACCCCCTCAAAAAAGTCGTATTAAGCAGTAGGTAAGGGGAAGTGACCTCTAAGAAGGATCTAACAGTGGAAATTACCTATCTTAACGACACAGGTAAATTCAACTTTGTAAAAGAGTTTATGGAGTGAGAAAAAGCATCAGAATCAAGTAAGTTTGAGGGATGAAGCCAAGTGTGCTTTTAGAAAAGTCTATTCACATTGCAAAGGTTTCTCTCCTTTCGACAGTGGCTCATGCCTATAATCCCAGCACTTTGGGAGGCCAAGGTGGGAGGATCACTTGAGTTCAAGAGTTCAAGACCAGCCTGGGCAACATAGGGAGAACCTGTCTCCATAAAAAGGTTTAAAAATCAGCCAGGTGTGGTGGCATGTGCTTGCAGTCCTATTAGGGAGGCTGAGGTGAGAGAATCACTTGAGCCCAGGAGTTCAAGGTTGCAGTGAGCTATGATGGTGTCACTGCACTCCAGCCTGGGTGACAAAACGAGACCCTGTCTCTAAAAAAAATAAAGTTTAAATTTAAATCTAAAAATAAGAGATTCCCTCCTTTTAAGTAGTCTAGAAACAGGAGCCATTCTTGTTTCTATTTTCTGGTTACATATTTAGTGTCCTGTGTCGGGAGGGTGGCAGGGTGCTGGAGCTCACTTCTAGGCCACACTGACCGTAACATTATACCATGAGACACCCACTGCTCACAGATGTGGTTATTTCCAGGACTCCACTTCTGGAAACAAGGCCCCAAGTGACTGGCTGTGGGACATTCTCCTCCCTCCAAAAGTGTGAAATAAACATCACTTAGAAAAAACTTTGCAATTGGTAAAACAGTAAGCAATGAAACAGACACTTCTCAAATATTCCAAGATGATACACGCTTTTCAGTGTGTATGATCCAATAAAGCCATTGGAGCTAGGCTTTAATAGTCAAAAAAGACTATTCAGTTAGATAGGAACTATTTGCCTATAACTATTGGCCAAAAATAGGTTAAAAAATTGTTTTAAATTTGTGCTTTACAAAACATGTGGACTTTTTTAGAAAATGTGTCAAATTTCAAAAGAAATATAGACATTATGGAAAGGTCAGTTAAGCACAGCCCTAATCCTGAAAACATAACTATGAAAGATACTAGCTGTTACTTGTAACCAAAAGGAAAAAAAAGATATTAGTAACCAATAATTAGCAAACAATGCCCATATATTTCCTTTTTTTTTTTTTTTTTTTGAGACAGGGGCTTACTCAGGCTGGATGTGATCATGGCTTACAGGAGCAGCCTTGACCTCCTGGGCTCAGGTGATCCTCCCACCTTAGCTTCATGAATAGCTGCAACCAGAGGCATGAGCCACCATGCCCAGCTAATTTTCTTATTTTCTATAGAGACGGGATTTTGCCATATTGCCCAGGCTGGTCTCGAACTCCTGGACTCAGGGGATCTACCCGCTTTGGCCTCCCAAAGTGCTGGGATTACAGGTATGAGCCACACACCTGGCCATATTTTCCATATTTTATTTATTTTTATTCTGAAACAAAATGTTTATTTAAGAAAGGCCATCCAGCCTGGCCAACATGGTGAAACCCCGTCTCTACTAAAAATACAAAAATTAGCCAGGCATAGTGGTACACGCCTATAGTTCCAGCTACTTGGGAGGCTGAGGTGGGAGAATTTCTTGAGCCCAGAAGACACAGGTTGCAGTGAGCTGAGATCGCACCACTGCACTCCAGCCTGGTAGACAGAGAAAGACTCTGTTAAAAAAAAAAAAAAAAAAAAAAAAAAAGTCAAACCAGAGCAGTCCAGGACATAGAAAGTGGGCCTCTCTGGTAATCCCATCTCTGGAAACAAACCTCAGAAACAGCTGAGGCCTGGTCCATCCTCTAGAGAAACGCCAGTGCAGAAACCCTCTCCCAGATGTGTGTGTAACATGGGTAAGACTGTGTGCTTCCATGGCCTTGTGCGGTGGCTCACGCCTGTAATCCTAGCACTTTGAGAGGCCGAGGCGGGCGGATCATGAGGTCAGGAGATCGAGACCATCCTGACTAACATGGTGAAACCCTGTCTCTACCAAAAAAAAAAAAAAAAAAAAAAAAGCCAGGTGTGGTGGCGGGCGCCTATAGTCCCAGCTCCTCGGGAGGCTGAGGCAGGAGAATGGTGTGAACTGGGAGGCAGAGCTTGCAGTGAGCTGAGATCGCGCCACTGGAGGCTGAGGCAGAAGAATGGTGTGAACCCGGGAGGCGGAGCTTGCAGTGAGCTGAGATTGCGCCACTGCACTCCACCTTGGGCAACAGAGCAAGACTCTGTCTCAAGAAAAAAAAAAAAAAAAAGACTGTGTGCTTCCATCAGATGGTTTCAAATACATCCGACTGCTGGGAGGACAGGATGGAATGAGGTGTATGGTCCTATGCTGCCACTGGGGACAGCATGCTGCCGGCCCCTGCGGCATTCCTTCAGCTGGAGTCCGCTGATAAAGGGAAGGAACAGGGAAGAGGAAGAGCTGGGAGGTGGCAAGTGATAGCTGTGGTGACAACAGAGGAGGCCCTTGTGGCAAACTTATCAGCAGAAGTCATCACAGGGAGGGGGGCAGGGTGGCACTCACTCATCCTCCGTTACTCCAGGTGAGCATCCGAGGGTCGGCCCTTCTCCATCCCCCGCAGTGTTATGGGCTAGGGGGAGGGCAGGGCAGGGCAGGGCCAGGTGCTGACAGCTCCTGCAGGCAGACAGCATCAGCCATCCTTCTAGGGCACGGGCAGAGAGGGATGTCAGACAGCAACCACTCAGAGGAAAGCCCTCTCCCAGGGACCCAGGCCTGAGATACAGATAACATTGACTATTTCTCCCCACCCTTCTCCTCCAATTCACCCAGTGTCAGCCATGCATTAGGCAGACAGGCTGGGCCAGTCCCTGTCATGGCAGAGCTGCCCTCCTAGGGCGATGATGGACACTGAACAAGTGAAATGGAAGAACAGGGGACCCAACTTATTTAGGGAGGTCTGTTTCAAGGAAAGCCTTTTTGCAAGCCAAATGTAAACTAAGTTTCAAATACATCCCCCTTCCCTGACCAACATCTCCCCCAAGGTACTATCCCTTTCCAATAAGTAACTTCATCCTGGCATCACTTGGAAACTTGGCATTCTGGCCAAGGCCTCCTTCCTAAGACCTTCCTTTTAGTTCTCTTTTGTTCAAGGCTGAGTTTACAGCTCACTGTTCCCAAAGCACACCAACTATTTGTGTGCCTGTTTAAGAAATCCTATGCAAAACAGCTAGGGTGGGCTTTTGCCATGGGGGCATCTGGGCAGTGGCTTTGATGCCAAGCCTGATGTGGGTGCCCCACATTTAGCTGGAAGACAGCCTCTCCTTTACCCTGGAAGCTTGGGACAGAGGTTGGGTTTAGCTACAGGAGGACAAGTTTCCTGTGGAAAAAGTGGGGGTGGCTGTAGGGAGGTCACACAGTTTGTTTTATGGAGAGCCACCTCAGCACTGCAGGCAACCCAGTTTCTGCAAGTCCCCAGTGCAGCCTTAAGGAACAGGCAGCTGTGCCATAGGTTTGAGTGTGCAGCAGCCAGCAGCCCCAGAGGGCAGCTCAGGCCATTGCAAGTTTGTTCTTTTCTACCTCCTGTCCTGCAGCCTTCGTGATGCTAGCCCCATCCTAGTCCCAACCAAGCTCATGTGTCCTTTAAGCACCTAGAGACCCAGAAGCAAGGCACATACTGCAATTGCTAATTCCAGAAAGGCTGTTACAAAAGCTGTGTAACAGGAGTACTGCAATACAAGTCCCCCCCCCCCTCCACCTGCTGCCTTCTGAGCAAAGGTGTGTGTGTGCAGCGAGGGGCATGTCTAGGAGGCCGCTTGAGTTGGGTAGGATTGGATCCTGGCTTCTACCAGGCAGGTGTAGCACAGCCTCATCCTCTGGCTCTAGACAGGCTTGCTGTCTGCATCCCTCCACCCTATTCTCTCCAGAGTCCACCACGTGTTCCTCCACTGACACCATGTCTAGTGGGTTGAAAGATCCTTCCACCACTAAAAGATATGTTCACTTCGCAAATCTGGAACCTAGGAACATGAACTAATTTGGAAAAAGGGTGTTTACAGACACAATTAAGAATCTGAAGATCATATCATATCTGAACGAGCCCTAAATTCAATGACAAGTGTCACGAGAGACACACAGAGGAGAGACACAGACAGAGGAGATGGCCAGGTGAAGACAGAGGCAGAGGATGGAGTTCTGCAGCCACAAACCAAGGACCACCTGGAGCCACCAGAAACTGGAAGAGGCAAAGGAATCTCCCCTCAAGCATTTGGAGCGCAGCCTGCTGGCACCTTAACTTTGAACTTCCAGCCTCCAGAACCATGAGAGAATATAGTTCTGTTGTTTTAAGCCACCCAGTTTGTGGCCATTGGTTACAGCAGCCCTAGGAGACCAATGGAGTCCCTTTGACCAATCCGGTGGCAAATTCCCAAGCCTGCCCTTACCCACCCACTGGCAGAACTTGGAGGCGATGGCCATCCCAGCCCTCCTGAGACCCTTCCTTCACACTGCTCTGCCGACTCCACAGGGCGTCGTCACAACTTCCATGCTGGATCTGTCACTTCCCTCTTAAGTGTTAGGGTCTGCAGCTCAACCTTCGTGGGTCCCCTCGAAATCATCTAGTTTGTGGCTCTAGACACCATATGCATTCTGACACTCCTGAATTTACCTCTGGCAGGAAGGTGGCACAGAGCAGGGGCTCAACAACTATTTAGAGAAAGAGTGACTCTTTTCACATAAATCACCATTTTAGGTGTACTTACCATATTACTTCCAAAGCATGTGCCGGCCGGGCACATTGGCTCATGCCTGTAATCCCAGCATTTTGAGAGACCGAGGCGGGTGGATCACCTGAAGTCAGGAGTTCGAGACCAGCCTGACCAACATCGTGAAACCTGTCTCTACTAAAAATACAAAAATTAGCTGGGCATGGTGGCGGGTACCTGTAATCCCAGCTACTCCTGAGGCTGAGGAAGGAGAATCGCTTGAACCTGGAAGGTGGAAGTTGCAGTGAGCCGAGATTGCACCACTGCACTCCAGCCTGGGCGACAGAGCAAGACTGTCTCAAAAACAAACAAACAAACAAACAAATGCATGTGCAGATACATTATTTTGCTTCTCATAGAAGCCCCATGCTTTTGAGAGACGGGGGGCTAGTCCTTCAGCTATTTCATGGCAGAACTCAGGTCTCTGGACCGTCCATGTGTCTCCTGCTAGACCCCCCTGATAAGGCGGGCAGCCCTGCAGGTTCTGCTACACTAACCTTGCTCCTGTGAGATTTCTCTGCAGGAGCCCCCATCTAGTGTGACTCCTCCCCTCAAACCTCTAGAACAGGCGTTGGCAAAGTACACCCCTTGGCCAAACCTGAGTGGCCACTTGTTTTGGAAAAAAAGCTTCACTGAGGCCAGATGCGGTGGCTCACGCCTGTAATCCCAGCACTTTGGGAGGCTGAGTCGGGCAGATTCCTTGAGCTCAGGAGTTCGAGACCAGCCTGGGTGACATGGTGAAACCCTGTCTCTACTAAAAATACAAAAATTAGCTGGGCGGGGTGGCTGGTGCCTATAGTCCGAGCTACCCAGGAAGCTGAGGTGGGAGGATCACATGAGTCTGGGAGGTTGAGGCTGCAGTGAACCATGATGGCGCCACTGTACTCCAGCCTGGGCGACAAAGTGAGACCCTGTCTCAAAAAAAAAAAAAAAAAAAAAAAAAGAAAAGAAAAGAAAAGAAAGAAAGAAAGAAAAAAACAAGAAGAAAGCTAAGCTTTACCGGAACTCAACCATGCCCATTTGCACACATGCTATCTGTGGCCATCTTTGTGCTCCCAGTACAGCTAAGCAGTTACAGCAGAGACCACACGGCCCCCAAAGCCTAAACAGATTTACTCTCTGGTCCTTTACAAAAACAGCTTGCCAAGCCCTTCTCTGGAATGAATTAGCTACAAGTGAAGGCTTTTCTCTCTGTGGTTTGTTTGTACCATCTCTCTCCTACATGAATTCTAGGGTAGAGTAAGGTGTGATCTTTTTTCTGCTTTCCCACTCATTACACTCATGGGATTTGAAACTGTGTGAATTCTACTATGTTAATGAAGGTCCCCATGATTATCCACAGCCTTTCTTCCCTCCTCCCTCCCAGTCAATGTCTCTCCCCAGAGTGGAGTCTGATGATTTATAAGGCTGGTATTCCTTGTCCAGCCACACTGATGGCATTCCCAGGCTTCTCTCTTATGTGGACTCTGATGGGCCATGAGATTCTAGTTATGTCTGAACACTTGTCCACACCTCTGGCATTCTTTCTTTCTTATTTATTTATTTATTTTTTGAGACGCAGTCTCGCTCTGTCACCCAGGCTGGAGTGCAGTGGCATGATGACAGTTCACTGCAACCTCCACCTCCCAGGTTCAAGCAATTCTCCTGCCTCAGCCTCCTGAGTAGCTGGGATTACAGGCGTGTGACACCAAGCCCAGCTAATTTTTTTGTATTTTAGTAGAGACGGGGTTTCACCATGTTAGCCAGGCTGGTCTTGAACTCCTGACCTCAAGTGATCCACCCACCTCGGCCTCCCAAAGTGTTGGGATTACAGGCGTGAGCCGCGGCACCTGGCCTTTTTTTTTTTTTTTTTTTTTTTTTTGGAGACAGAGTCTTGCTCTGTCACCCAGACTGGAGTGCAATGGCACGATCTCGGCTCACCGCAACCTCTGCCTTCCGGGGTCAAGTGATTCTCCTGCCTCAGCCTCCCAAGTAGCTGGGATTACAGGAATGCGCCACCACGCCTGGCTAATTTCGTCTTTTTGGTAGAGACGAGGTTTCTCCATGTTGGTCAGGCTAGTCTCAAACTCCTGACCTCAGGTGATCCGTCCGCCTTGGCCTCTCAAAGTGCTGGGATTGCAGGCGTGTGCCACTGTGCCTGGTTGACCTCTGGCATTCTTAAGGCTCCTTCCTTAGCTGGGCATGGTGGTGTGTACCTGTAGTCCCAGCTACTCAGTAGGCTGAGGTGGGAGGATGACTTGAGCCCAGGAAGTCAAGACTGCAGTGAGCTGTGATTGCACAACTGCACTCCAGCCTGGTCGACAGAGTTACACTGTCTCAAAAAATAAAAATGTAAAGGCTTCTTCCCAAA
Source organism: Homo sapiens (assembly GCF_000001405.40). NCBI lineage: Eukaryota > Metazoa > Chordata > Mammalia > Primates > Hominidae > Homo > Homo sapiens. The sequence continues at coordinate 33,516,989 of NC_000006.12, forward strand.
ATGAAAACTCTGACAATGACGTGAGGCTGATCCCTGAAGGCCTCCCCACCTGTAAAAGGCTTTTCCCCTTGTGTGAATGCACTGATGAGCCAGGACTTGGGAGCTCTCCCTAAAGGCTTTGCCACTCAGGTACACTGATGGCGTCCCTCCAGTTCTGCAGTATAACACACACAAAAGCTCTTCCACACCTCCTGCACATATATGGCTCATTGGAGCCTGAACTCTCTGGCGTGCAGTGAGGTGTGATCCCTCTCTGAAATCATTCCTGCATTCTTTACATCCTAGACAGCTTCCAAAGTCTCCAGAGTGGACCGCCTGATCAACAACAATGGCCTTCTGAGAGAAGGTGCCTGCGCTCCATTCTCACACGTGCTCTGTGGTGGGAGGAAAGGGCCTCATCATCTGCTAGGCTCTTCCATGTGGGCTACATCTGTGGAGGCTTTCCACACACTCCTGGGCCTTCTCTGCAGCGGACGGCCACGTCGTCACACAGTGATGTTCCTGCGCTCACTGCAGGTGTGGGTTTTCCCTGGAGCAGTGCACGGCTGTGGGAGAACTTGTGGCTGTTCTTCAGGGCTTCTTCACACGTCTTTACTCTGCAAACAGCAAGATGTGACTTCCTACTAGATCCCTTACTGCACTCACCACACTTGAAGGATCCTTTTCTTCTAAGATCTCTTGTGATTTCTTGGGATTCATGCGATTCTACAAATTTGGATCTCTGGAGCCTGGCGTTTGGTGTCCTCCCAGTGGACTCAATGCTCAATACTCCGTGTCCTTGGAAATGCCCATCTTTAAAGTTGACCCCACCTTCTCAGTTCTGCTCTCACCACCTGGCAAGGAAAAACACAACATGACCTGATCCCCATTCTGCACAAAAATCAACTTGAGAAGAACAGAGTACTCCGGCTGGACGAAGTGGCTCAAGCCTGTAATCTCAGCACTTGGGAGGCTGAGGTGAGCAGATCACTTGAGCCCAGGAGTTCGAGACCAGCCTGGCTAACATGGTGAAACCCCATCTCTACAAAAAATTAAAAAAAAAAAATCAGCTGTGCATGGTGGCACATGTCTGTAGTGCCAGCTACCTGGGAGGCTGAGGTGGGAGAATCACCTGAGCCTGGGAAGTTGAGGTTGCAGTGAGCAGTGTTGCCTGGGCAACAGAGTGAAACCCTATCTCAAAATAAATTTAAAAAAATTTTTTTTCAAAGAACAGAATAATCAAGTACAGCAAAAAGAGGACAGTTATGGTATGGCACTTATCTTCACAACCCTTAATAGAGTAGGGATTGGCCCAGCACTTTGGGAGGCCGAGGCAGGCGGATCACCTGAGGTCAGGAGTTTGAGACCAGCCTCGTCAATGTGATGAAACCCCATCTCTACTAAAAATATAAAAATTATCTGGGCATGGTGGCAGGCGCCTGTAATTTCAGCTACTTGGGAGGCTGAGGCAGGAGAATCGCTTGAACCCAGGAGGCAGAGGTTGCAGTGAGCCGAGATCACGCCATTGCACTCCAACCTGGGTGACCAGAGCAAAACTCCGTCTCAAAAAAAAAAAAAAAAAAACACACAAAAACAAAAAACAGCTGGGCACGATGGCGCGCGCCTGTAATCCCAGCACTTCTTTGGGAGGCCAAGGTGGGCAGATCACTTGAGGTCAGGAGTTTGAAACCAACCTGGCCAACATGGTGAAACCCCGTCTGTATTAAAAATACAAAAAAATTAGCCAGGCGTGGTGGTGGGCGCCTGTAATCCCAGCTACTCGGGAGGCTGAGGCAGGAGAATCACTTGAACCCAGGAGTCGGCAGTGAGCTGAGATGGTGAGCCGAAGTGGCAGTGAGCCGAGACTGTGCCATTGCACTCTAGCCTGGACAACAAGAGCGAAAACACTCTAAAAAAAAAAAAAAAAAAAAAAAGAGTAGGGATTGGTGTCAGAAATGAAACCCTCCAAGGGCCAGCAGACAAGGGCGGCTGAGAATACTGGTAATGTATGAAGGAGAATGAGAGGGGGAACAGAGAGGCTAGGAGGCATTGGGGAGTAAGTGAGGCTGTCATCTCGTGTGTGAGACGAAGTCAACACCTAAATGGAAAGAGGCAAGAAAACCAAAAAGAGGAAAAGGGGAAGGGCCATGAGTGTGGAAGGCCTTGTGTCTTCACCACAGGCAGTGGACCAAGCAGAGGCCACCACGTCAGGCCACTGGCTAACCCAGAGGAAAGGAGCGTGCCTTCTTTAGGGTTGCAACTGGGTTTCTGCATGGCAGCTTAGAGACCAAGAGAGAAAACAAGGACTCGACAGCCTTTTTCCCTGAGCTCTTCAGCATTTTTAATGGTGCAGGGAAGGAGCTGCAACAAAGAGAGATGCTACAGCGTCTCACTCACCCATGCAAGTGAAGACTTCTGTCCCCAGCTGCCTGCAGATCTGGTACCATGATCTTTCCCTCAATCCATCCATCCCAATGCAGGATGATTGGTTTAGGTTGGAAAAAATAAAGTTCTGTTCATAACGCTGAAAAGAGGAAAGGGAAGATAATGAACCCAACGCAGTCTGAGCCATTCTGTCTCTGGGAAACAGACATGGCCAGGCAGACCACTAAAGAACTTGGTGGCAGGCCGGGTGCGGTGGTTCACGCCTGTAATCCCAGCATTTTGGGAGGCTGAGGCGGGTGGAACACCTGAGGCTGGGAGTTAGGGACCAGCCTGGCCAACATGGAGAAACCCCATCTCTACTAAAAATACAAAATTCGCCAGGCGTGGTGGCGCATGACTGTAATCCCAGCTACTTGGGAGGCTGAGGCAGGAGAATTGCTTGAACCTGGGAGACGGAGGTTGCAGTGAGCTGAGATTGCGCCATTGCGCTCCAGCCTGGGGAATGAGAGCAAAACTCCATCTCAAAAAAAAAAAAAAAAAAAAGAAAGAACTTGGTGGCAAAGCACAGACACAGCTACTCTGTAATAGGCCAGGAAGTAAAACTCCACAGGGCAGGGCTTCAATACCAGTGAAAATCACTGGGGTGCCGGGAGGTGACAGTCAAGACTCAGCACAAGAAAGTAAGAAAGCGTCCAATTTCCGGCAAGGGAAATAGCAGAACCCAGCATTAGCGGGAAGCAGGAATACTCCACTTTTCATGGAGAGGGACCACGCAGCTTGCACGGATTTAGAAACTAAAATCAACAAAACTGGAACCTTTAGACCAGACCACTACCAACAATGGGCAGCACCAATGATTTCTGAGACAGAGTCTCACCGTGTTGCCCAGGTTGGAATACCGTGGCACGATCTCGGCTCACTGCAACCTCTAGCCTTCTGGGTTCAAGCAATTCTCCTGCCTCAGCCTCCCAGTAGCTGGGATTACAGGTACGCCCCATCATGCCTGGCTAAATTTTGTATTTTTAGTAGAGATGGAGTTTCACCATGTTTGCCAGGCTGGTCTCGAACTCCTGACCTCAGGTGACCTGCCCACCTCAGCCTGCCAAAGTGATAGGATTACAGGCATGAGCCACCACACCTGGCAGCAGCAGTGATTTAGTTAGCAATACATGAATTTACAGTCAGAGAATTCCCAAGGCAGTCAGATCATACTGTGTCCAAAATTGGTGGGTTCTATGGTCTCACTGACTTAGAGAATGAAGCCACAGACCCTCACGGTTGAGTGTTACAATTCTTAAGGATGGTGTGTGCGGAGTTTGTTCCTTTTGATGTGCGGATGTCTTCACAGTTTCTTCCTTCTGGTGGCTTCATGGTCTTGCTAGGTTCAGGAGTGAAGCTGCAGACCTTCAGCTCTTAATGTAGCACAGCTGGAGTTGTTCATTTCTCCCAGTGGGTTCATGGTCTCACTGGCCTCAGGACTACAGCTGCAAATCTTCTCAATGTGTGTTATAGCTCATAAAGGCACTCTGGACCCAAAAAGTGACCAACAGTAAAATTTATTCCAAGCAACAAAACAACAAAGCTACCACAATGTTGAAAAGACCTGAGCAGATTGCAGCCTGCTTTTATTCCCTTATCCGACACCACCACCACCCCCCCCCCCCCCCCCCGCCCACACACACACATCCTGCTGATTGGCCCATTTTACAGAGAACTGATTGGTCTGTTTTGACAGGGTGCTGATTGGTGCGTTTACAATCCCTGAGCTAGACACAGAGTCCTGATTGGTGTATTTATAATCCTTTAGCTAGACACAAAAACTGTCCAAGTCCCCACTAGATTAGCTAGACACAGAGCACTGATTGGTGCGTTTACAAACCTTGAGCTAGACACAGAGTGCTGATTGGTGTGTTTACAAACCTTGAGCTAGACACAGAGTGCTGATTGGTGCATTTACAATCCTTTAGTTAGACATAAAAGTTCCCCAAGTCCCCACTAGATTAGCTAGACACAGAGTGCTGATTGGTGCATATACAATCCTCCAGCTAGACGTAAAAATTCTCCAAGTCCCCACCCGACTCAGGAGCCCAGCTGGCTTTGCCTAGTGGATCCCACGCCACAGCGGAGTTGCTTCCCAGTCCCACGCCTGGTGCCTACACTTCTCAATTCTTGGGCAGTCAATGGGACTGAGGGCCGCAGAGCAAGGGGCGGCGCCCGTCGGGGAGGCTCTGGCCTCACGGGAGCCCATCGCGTGGGAGGGGCTCGGGCATGGAGGGCTGCAGGTCCGGAGCCCTGCCCTGCGGGGAGACGGCTGAGGCCCAGCCAGAATTTGAGCGCGGCGCGGGCGGCCCGGCAGTGCTGGGGGACCCGGCGCCCCCTCCACAGCTGCTGGCCCGGGTGCTAAACCCCTCGCTGCCCGGGGCCAGCCGGCTGCTCCGAGTGTGGGGTCTGCCGAGCCCGCGCCCACCCGGAACTCGAGCTGGCGCGCAGCCCTGGTTCCCGCCTGCGCCTCTCCCTCCACACCTTCTCGCAAGCAGAGGGAGCCGGCTCTGGCCTCGGCCCGCCCAGAGAAGGGCTCCCACAGTGCAGTGGCGGGCTGAAGGGCTCCTCAAGCGTGGCCAGAGCAGATGCTGAGGCCGAGGAGGTGCTGAGCGCGAGCGAGGGCCGCCAGCACGCTGTCACCTCTCAATACCACCTTCCTGAAATTCTTTATCATCACATGCTGTGGAGATTCCTCTCGGAGGGGTGAGATGGTGCCATTCCCCATGAGTGAAGTACACGAGTACATCCTCACACACCTCAAAAATCACCCAATCCTGAGACACATGATTTCTGCAGCTGCCAGAGAAATAATCCCTGAGGAGCACAACCACCTTCCCCAGAGTAAAAGGGCGGGCTTCGAGTTAGTGTTGAGTGTCCAATGAGCAGGAAGAGCTGCAGAACAAGAGGCCAGCAACCAAGCCTAGGGAGACATCCCTCCAGCGGGAAGAGGACAGTCGGGGCTGCTGAGAGAAGCAAACAGGCTCCGCAAATGCCACTAAGTGCACATTTTGTGGCATTAAGTACACTGACCTGGTTGCACGATGGTCACTACCATACGTTTTCAGATGTTTTTTTTCCTTCCCAAACTGCAACTCTGTACCCATTAAACAGTAACTCCTGTTCAAAGAAAAACTTAAGACAAATTAAATTTAGCAGAGTCTAACTGAACAAAGGATGATTCCTGCATCACGGCAGCCCCCAGAACCACCAGATTTCAGAGGACTCCGTGCTGCCTCAGCGGCCAGAAAGGACTACGGTGCGTGAACAGAAAAAAGCAAGTAGCGTGCAGAAAGTGCAAGTGAGGCATAGAAACAGCTGGATTGGCTACAGCTTGGCATTGGCCTTGTTTGAACCATTTGAACAGCTGGCTGCTTCCTATTGGCTAAAACTCCATGATTGGTACAAAACTCCATGATTGGTACAGGCTGTTTACACATCCAGTTAGGTTACAGTTCACTATGTACAGAGAAACCTTTTTTTTTAAATTTTTATTTCTTTATTTTTTAGACGGAGTTTCGCTCTTCTTACCCAGGCTGGAGTGCAATGGTGCAATCTCGGCTCACTGCAACCTCCGCATCCCCGCTTCAAGCGATTCTCCTGCCTCAGCCTCCTGAGTAGCTGGGATTACAGGCATGTGCCACCGCGCATAGCTAATTTTGTACTTTTAATAGAGATGGGGTTTCTCCATGTTGGTTAGGCTGGTCTCAAACTCCCAACCTCAGGTGATGCGCCCACTTCGGCCTCCCAAAGTGCTGGGATTACAGGCATGAGCCACCATGCGCAGCCAGAGAAACCTTTATGCCAAGCTTATACTGTAAGGAGGCAGCTTTAGGCTAAACTGAATACTCTTCATTCCCTTCTCTCCAGCCCCTGGCGACCACCCTTGTACTTTGTGTGTCTATGAATGTGACTACTCTAAGTACCTCATATAAGTGGAATCATACAATAATTTTGTCACGGGCTTATATCACTTAGCATAGTGTCTTCAAGGTTCATCCATGTTGTAGCATGTGCCAGAACCGCCTTCCTTTTTAAGGCTGAGTAATATTCCATCGCATGCATATGCCACATTTTGTTTATCCATTCATCCATCGGTGGATGCTTGGGTTGCTTCCCTCTTTTGACTGTTGTGAATAATGCTGCTATAAACTTGAGTGTACCAATATCTGAGTCCCTGCTTTCATTTTTTTTTTTTTTTGAGACGGAGTTTCTCTCCTTTTGCCCAGACTGGAGTGCAGTGGCACAATCTCAGCTCACTGCAACCTCCGCCTCCCGGGTTCAAGTGATTCCTCAGTCTCCTGAGTAGCTGGGATGACAGGCGCCTGCCACCACGCGCGGCTAATTTTTTGTATTTTTAGTAGAGACGGGGTTTCACCATGTTGGCCAGGCTGGTCTCGAACTCCTAACCTCAGGTGATCCGCCTGCCTCAGCCTCCCAAAGTGCTGGGATTACAGGCGTGAGCCACCATGCCCGGCCTCAATTCTTTTGAATTCTTTTCAATTCTTCTGGGTACATACCCAGAAGTGGAATTGCTGGATCATGTTGTAATTCTATGTTCGATTTTTTGAGGAACCGCCATACTGTTTTACGCAGTGGCTTGTGATATTGTGAAATATATACTTGGTCTCCTTACATATAACTCCTAGAAACCTTGAAATCTTCAAAATACAAGTGTCTTTTTGTATGCTAATAAGTTGGCTGGTAGCTGGTAGCCCCTAGGTAGCTTCAGGATGGGGATTGGTCACCGGAAAGACCAAGGCATGGTTAGAAGTTTGAGACTTTTAGCACGACCCCAAACTTCCAGGGAGGGGAGAGGGCTGAAGGTTGAGTTGATCACCAAGGGCCAACGATTTAACCAATCATGCCTAAGTAATGAAGCCTCCATGCTGAACACCTGGAGGTTCCTGGAGGGGTGGGGCACCTGGAGAGGGCATGGAAGCTCCACACTCCTTCCCTCATAGATTACCCTATTCATCTCTTCATCTGGTGTTCATCAGTATCCTTAGTAATATCCTTTGTAAGTGAGAAAGAAACTTATGTGAGGAATGCCAGCCCCCTTTAAATGATCAGTCCCAGCCCCAGCACAGTAGCTCATGCCTTTAATCCTAGCACTTTGGCAGGCCCAGGTGGATGGATCGCTTAAGCCCAGGAGTTCGAGACAAGCCTGGGCAACATAGGGAGACCCCATCTCTACAAAAAATAGAAAAAAATTAGTCAGGCAGGGTGATGCACACCTGTAGTCCCAGTTACTCAGGAGGCTGAGGTGGGAGAATCACTTGAGCCTGGGAAGTAGAGGCTGCAGTGAGCAATGATCACACCACTGCATTCCAGCCTGGATGACAGAGTGAGACCCTGTCTCAAAACAAAACAAAAAATTAATTTAAAAAATTATCAGGCTGGGCGCGGTGGCTCACACCTGTAATCCCAACACTTTGGGAGGCTGACGCAGGTGGATCATGAAGTCAGGAGTTCGAGACTAGCCTGGCCAACATAGGGAAACCCTGTCTCTACTAAAAATACAAAAATTATCCAGGCGTGATGGTGGGCACCTGTAATCCCAGGTACTCAGGAGGCTGAGGCAGGAGAATCGCTTGAACCCGGGAGGCAGGGGTTGCAGTGAACCGAGATCGCGCCACTGCACTCCAGCCTGGGCAACAGAGCGAGACTGTCTCAACAAACAAACAAACAAACAAACAAACACCCTCTCCTTTGTTCTCTGGGCCACTTCCCAGTGTTTCCCAGGCTGCAGTCCTCAACCTTGGCCCAAATAAACTCTCTATATCTATTTTGCCTCAGTTTCTTTCCTTAGGTCAACATAATAAACTGGTAAACATAAGCACGTGTTTCCCTGAGTTCTGTGAGCCACTCCAGCAGATTAATAGAATGCAAGGAGAGGGTCATGGGAACTCTGATTTATAGCCCCTTGGTTGGAAGCACAGGCTAGACAACCTGGAGCTTACAATTGGCATCAGAAGCGGGGGGCGCGTCCGGGAGGTGAGGGGCGCCTCTGCCCGGCCGCCCCTACTGGGAAGTGAGGAGCCCCTCTGCCCGGCCAGCCGCCCCGTCCGGGAGGGAGGTGGGGGGGTCAGCCCCCCGCCCGGCCAGCTGCCCCGTCCGGGAGGGAGGTGGGGGGGGGTCAGCCCCCCCGCCCGGCCAGCCGCCCCGTCCGGGAGGTGAGGGGCGCCTCTGCCCGGCCGCCCCTACTGGGAAGTGAGGAGCCCCTCTGCCCGGCCACCACCCCGTCTGGGAGGTGTGCCCAACAGCTCATTGAGAACGGGCCAGGATGACAATGGCGACTTTGTGGAATAGAAAGGCGGGAAAGGTGGGGAAAAGATTGAGAAATCGGATGGTTGCCGTGTCTGTGTAGAAAGAAGTAGACATGGGAGACTTTTCATTTTGTTCTGCACTAAGAAAAATTCCTCTGCCTTGGGATCCTGTTGATCTGTGACCTTACCCCCAACCCTGTGCTCTCTGAAACATGTGCTGTGTCCACTCAGGGTTAAATGGATTAAGGGCGGTGCAAGATGTGCTTTGTTAAACAGATGCTTGAAGGCAGCATGCTCGTTAAGAGTCATCACGAATCCCTAATCTCAAGTAATCAGGGACACAAACACTGCGGAAGGCCAAAGGGTCCTCTGCCTAGGAAAACCAGAGACCTTTGTTCACTTGTTTATCTGCTGACCTTCCCTCCACTATTGTCCCATGACCCTGCCAAATCCCCCTCTGTGAGAAACACCCAAGAATTATCAATAAAAAAATAAATTAAAAAAAAAAAAAAAAAAGAAGCGGGGGGCGGTCTTGTGGGACTGAGCCCTCAACCTGTGGGATCTGTTGCTATCTCCACAAAGACAGTGTTGGAATTGATTTGGAGGACACCCAGCTGGTGTTTGCTATAGAATTGATTGATTGGTTACTAGTAGGGAGAACTCTGCATGCACTTCTTAGTGACCAGAGGCCACAGAAGTCTTCTGTGTTGATCGTCATGAGAGAATAGCAAAAACAGTTTGGTTTGGTTTCTGTACCTATATTCTCAGAGGCTGTGTCATTTTACAGTTCCTCTGCGAATGACCAGCAATGCACAAGAGTTCCAATCTATATCCTCACCACCTGTTATTTTCTGGGATTCTCTTTGTTTTATAATAGCCATCCTGGGCTGGAAGTGGTGGCTCACACCTGTAATCCCAACACTTCGGGAGGCCGAGGTGGGAGGATTGCTTAAGCCCAGGAGTTCAAGACCAGCCTGGGCAACATGGTGAAACACCGTCTCCACAAAAAATAAAAAAATAATTAGCCAGGTGTGGTGGCGCACCTGTAGTCCCAGTTACTTGGGAGGCTGAGCCAGGAGAATCACTTGAGCCCAGGAGCGCAAGGCTGCAGTGAGCTATCATTGCACCATGCACTACAGCCTGGGCAACAGAGCGAGATGCAGTCTCAAAAAAAAAAAAAATAGCCATCCTAACTGTTGTGCAGTTAGTATTTTAACCAGGTTGCTTTTTGTTGTTGTTGGATTGTAGGAATTCTTTATATATTCTGGATATCTTTGAATTTTTTTTCTTGAAAAATATTCAGATTCATAAAAGAGAGCAAACTGCACAGTCATAAACCTCCTGTCATTCTTGTTTCATCTGTTGCCCTTGATGATCACGAATGTCTCAATCTTTTTACTGTTGGATTAGGATCCTGAAGATTTTTTTTTTTTTTTGGAGATGGAGTTTCGCTGTTGTCCAGACTGGAGTGCAATGGCACAATCTCGGCTCACTGCAACCTCTGCCTCTGGGTTCAAGTGATCCTCCTGCCTCAGCCTCCCGAGTAGCTGGGATTACAGGCACGTGCCACCATGCCCGGCTAATTTTGTATTTTTAGTAAAGAGGGGGTTTCTCCATGTTAGTCAGGCTGGTCTCAAACTCTCGACCTCAGGTGATCCACCTGCCTCAGCCTCCCAAAGTGTGCTGAGATTACAGGCGTGAGCCACCGTGCCCGGCCTCCTGAAGATTTTTTTAAAGATTTCTTTCTTTCTATCTTTTTTTAAGACGGAATCTCTGTCTGTCACCCAGGCCGGAGTGCAGTGGCGCAATCTCGGCTCACTGAAACCTCCATCTCCTGGGTTCAAGCGATTCTCTTGCCTCGGCCTCCTGAGTAGCTGGGATTACAGGTGCCTGCCACCACACCCAGCTAGTTTTTGTATTTTTAGTAGAGACGGGGTTTCACCATGTTGGTCAGGTTGATCTCAAACTCCTGACCTCATGATCTGCCGCCTCAGCCTCCCGAAGTGCTGGGATTACAGGCATGAGCCACCGTGCCAGCCAAAGCTTTTCATATCGATATAGTTGTAGAGCTACAGGATCTTGGAGGTTTATATGTGGAGTTAAAAACCACCACAAGCTGAATATGAAGAATACATGCAAGACCAAGCCAGGGGACGAGTCTTTCTTAGCCCTTCAGAACATTACCCTAGCCCCTCTCACAGGCCACTGCGAGGGAAAAAGAGTTTTCAGTTTTCTTTTTTGAGATGGAGTCTCGCTCTGTTGCCCAGGCTGGAGTGCAGTGGCGCAATCTTGGCTCACCACAACCTTCGTCTCCCGGGTTCAAGCAATTCTCCTGCTTCAGCCTCCCAAGTAGCTGGGACTACAGGCACACACCACCATGCCCGACTAATTTTTGTATTTTTAGTAGAGATGGGGTTTCACTATCTTGGCCAGGCTGGTCTCAAACTCCTGACCTTGTGATCTGCCTGCCTTGGCCTCCCAAAGTGCTGGGATTACAGGGGTGAGCCACCGTGCCCAGCCGAGTTTTCAGTTTTCTTCTATACTCTCACTCGTGACACACAATACTTCCAAACCATGTCACTTTTTTTTTCTTTAAATTATTTTTTCCTCATCTTCTTTGTGGTGGTATCATTTCTGACACCAGATTTGGGAAGTGGAGTGGTCCCCACACCAAGCAGTTTTCCAATTTTCTGTGGGTACCAATGAATCTGGTTATATGATGCAGTTTTAGCCAGTGAAATGAGAGCAGAAGTCACTGAGCAGAGCTTCCAGAAAGTTCTTTAAAGCCTTGTTACTCCAAGTGTGGTACTTTGTTAGAAATGCAGAATCTTGGGCCCCAGCCCAGACCTACTGAATCTGAATCTATATTATAACAAGACCCCCTGTTGAGTTACACATGTTGAGCTAAAGTTGGAGAGTGATGCTTTAAGGGGAGCTGACTTGGCTTCCTCTTTCTTCCTGACTGGAATGTGGATGTGATGGCTGGAGCTAAAGGGGCCATCTTCCACATGTGGTGTGACCTTAAAGAAGCCACAGGCTGAGGATGGCAGTGGAAAAAAAACAGAAGGAGCCTGGGGCACTGATAGCCTCAGGGAGCCACCACACTGCCTGGAAATGAGCCTCCAGACTTCTTTAACACAAGAGAACAACCTCTACTGTGTACACTTACTACGAAGAAGGCCACTCCAGATGTACAGACTCAGAGAAAGCCCGAAGCAAGAGCAGACCACCCTGCAGGCTGGCTGTAGCTCTGCGCGCTTCTCAGCCTGCAGCTGGTGCCAAATCTGACCTTTCTTCACGCTCGTGTTTCAGATCAACAAGAATCCTAGGAAAGGGGAGTTCAGATACCACTTTACTATTGCTCTACGTGTTTTCTAGTATGAGAATTGGTAAATACGATATATTCTGTTTTTACATTAAGTATTTCCTGTTTTATGTAACGTATTATTCTTTTCTAATTTTAGGTAAACATGGACATGTTTTCCATCTATACAGAATATCAGCCATTTAAGATGTCCTAATGAGTCACACTCTGATATACTTTCTGGAGGCACTATGTTTTAAAATGTGTTTATTTCTTATAATACCTTATGTCCCATATTACAAACCATTCCCTTTTATGCCAAAACATATATATATATATTTAATCACCGTGTTGTTTTGGGAGTTAAGATATCTAAACCCTGGAAATAATCTGGAATAGGTCAAATCTCAGACATACTCAATAAACAATGTTCTGCTCTTTTCAGAAATGCTTCCAAAGATTTGTTGTATAAAGAATTTGAGACTAGGCACGGTGGCTCATGCCTATAATCCCAGCACTTTGGGAGGCAGAAGTGGGAGGATCACTTAAGCCCAGGAGTTCAAGATCAGCCTGGGCAACAGGGTGAGACCCCATCGCTACAAAAATTACAAAACTTAGCTGGGCACGGTGGTGTGTGCCTGTGGTCCCAGCTACTTGGAAGGCTGAGATGAGAGAATCAGTTGAGCCTAGGAGGCCAAGGCTGCAGTGACTCATGATTATGCCACTGTACTCCTGCCTGGGCAACAGAGTGAGACTCTGTCTCAAACAAACAAAACCAAGAGGCAAGGCCAGGTGCGGTGGCTCATGCCTATAATCCCAGCACTTTGGGAGGCCGAGGCGGGCAGATCACGAGGTCAAGAGATCAAGACCATTCTGGCCAACATGGTGTAACCCTGTCTCTACTAAAAATACAAAAATTAGCAGGGCGTGGTGGCACATGCCTGTAATCCCAGCTACTCGGGAGGCTGAGACAGGAGAATCACTTGAATCCAGGAGGCAGAGGTTGCAGCGAGTCAAGGTCGCGCCACTGCACTCCAGCCTGGTGACAGAGCGAGACTCCATTTCAAAAAAAAAAAAAAAAAAAAAGAGGCAAATTCATTATTTGCAGATATCTAATTATACAGAAAATCAACCAGAATTGGGCCAGGCGTGGTGGTTCATGCCTGTAATTCCAGCACTTTGGGAGGCTGAGGCGGGCAGATCACTTGAAATCAGCAGTTCGAGACCAGCCTGGGCAACACCATGAAACCCCATCTCTATTAAAAATCCAAAAATTAGCCAGGTGTGGTGGTGCCTGCCTGTAGTCCCAGCTACTTGGGAGGTGAAGATTGCAGTGAGCTGAGATCACATCACAGTGCTCCAGCCTGGGCAGCAGAGTGAAACTCCATCTCAACCAAAAAAAAAAGAAAGAAAGAAAGAAAGAAAATAGGCTAGGTGCAGTGGCTCACACCTTTGATTCCAGCACTCTGGGAGGCCAAGGTGGGTGGATCACTTGAGGCCAGGAGTTCAAGATCAGCCTGGCCAACATGGTGAAACCCCATCTCTACTAAAAATACAAAAATTAGCCAGGCATGATGGCAGGCACCTGCAATCCCAGCTACTTGGGAGGCTGAGGTGGAAGGATCACTTGAACCTGGGAGGCTGAGGCTGCAGTGAGCTGAGATTGCACCACTGCACTCCAGCCTGAGTGACAGGGTGAGACTCCATCTCAAAAAAATAAAGAAAAATAAAGAAAGAAAATAAACCAGAATCAACAACAATAAAAAAATGATTAGAGATAAATTATTATTGCTAATAAGAGAATTTAGCAAAGTAGCTGGATAAAAAAATCAAGCAATAACATTTATTTCCACATCAGCAAAAAATCAACTAGAAATATAACCCCCCCAAAAAAATATTCTATTCACACTAGCAAAACTAAAAAATATTGGCTGGGCATGGTGGCTCACCCCTGTAATCCCAGCACTTTGGGAGGCTGAGGGGGGTGGATCACCTGAGGTCAGGAGTTGGAGACCAGCCTGACCAACATGGTGAAACCCTGTTTCTACTAAATACAAAAAATTAGCCAGGCCTGATAGTGCATGCATGTAGTCCCAGCTACTTGGGAGGCTGAGGCAGGAGAATCACTTGAACCCAGGAGGTGGAGGTTGCAGTGAGCCAAGATTGCGCCACTGCACTCCAGCCTGGGCAACAGAGTAAGACTTCATCTAGAAAAAGAATAAAAGAAAAGAGAAGCTAGAGACACATATGTGGGAGCTTAATACAGAATAACAGTGGCAGCACAGATCACTGAGACAGGAACGGACTGTTCGGATATAGCGCTGGAAGATTAGCTCACTATCCAGAGGCACATAAAACTGGATCCTACCCAACACCATGTACAAGAGGAAACCAGATGGATTAAAAACTTAAGGGCCGGGCGCGGTGGCTCACGCCTGTAATCCCAGCACTTTGGGAGGCTGGGATCACGACGTCAGGAGATCAAGACCATCCTGGCTAAAACGGTGAAACCCCGTCTCTACTGAAAATACAAAAAATTAGCTGGATGGTGGCACGCGCTTGTAGTCCCAGCTACTCAGGAGGCTGAAGCAGGAGAATCGCTTGAACCCAGGAGGCAGAGGTTGCAGTGAGCTGAGATCGCACCACTGCACTCCAGCCTGGGTGACAGAGCAAGAATCCGTCTCAAGAAAAAAAAAAAAAAACTTAAATGTAAGAGAAAATAAAAAATAATATTTTGGGTTGTGTGGCTCACGCCTGTAATCCCAACACTTTGGGAGGCTAAGGCAGGTGGATCACTTGAGCTCAGGAGTTTGAGACCAGTCTGAGCAACATGGCAAAACCCCATCTCTATAAAAAATGCAAAACTTGGCTGGTTAGGTATAAGTTGACAGACAATAACAAAATTAAAAAAAAAAAAAAAAAAGGCCAGGCACAGTGGTTTGTGCCTGTAATCCCAGCATTTTGGGAGGCCAAGACAGGTGGATCACCTGAGGTCAAGAGTTCAAGCCCAGCCTGGCCAACATGGCGAAACCCCGTCTCTACTACAAATACAAAAAAAATTAGCCGGGCATGGTGGCAGGCGCCTGTAATCCCAGCTACTCAGGAGGCTGAGGTAGGAGAATTGCTAGAACCCTGGGGGCAGAGGTTGCAGTGAGCCGAGATTGCGCCACTGCATTCCAGCCTGGGTGACAGAGCGAGACTTGGTCTCAAAAAAAAAAAAAAAAAAATTAGCCAGGCATGGTGGTGAGAGGTGACAGCGTGCTGGCAGTCCTCAGAGCCCTCGCTTACTCTCGGCACCTCCCCTGCCTGGGCTCCCACTTTGGCGGCATTTGAGGAGCCCTTCAGCCCCCCACTGCACTGTGGGAGCCCCTTTCTGGGCTGGCCAAGGCTGGAGCCCACTCCCTCAGCTTGCAGGGAGGTATGGAGGGAGAGGCGCGAGCATGAACCAGGGCTTCCTGCGGCGCTGCCGGGCCAGCTGAAGTTCCAGGTGGGCGTGGGCTTGGTGGGCCCCGCACTCGGAGCAGCCAGCCAGCCCTGCTGGCCCCGGGCAATGAGGGACTTAGCACCCGGGCCAGTGGCTGCGGAGGGTGTACTGGGTCCCCCAGCAGTGCCGGCCCACCGGCGCTGTGCTCGATTTCTCGCTGGGCCTTAGCTGCCTTCCCGCGGGGCAGGGCTCAGGACCTGCAGCCCGCCATGCCTGAGCCTCCCACCCACTCCATGGGCTCCTGTGCCGCCCGAGCCTCCCGGACGAGCACCACCCCCTGCTCCAGGGCGGCCAGTCCCATTGACCACCCAAGGGCTGAGGAGTGCGAGCGCACGGCGCAGGACTGGCAGGCAGCTCCACCTGCAGCCCCAGTGCGGGATCCACTGGGTGAAGCCAGCTGGGCTCCTGAGTCTGGTGGGGACGTGGAGAGTCTTTATGTCTAGCTCAGGGATTGTAAATACACCAATCACCATCCTGTGTTTAGCTCAAGGTTTGTGAATGCACCAATCCACACTGTATCTAGCTGCATCTGGTGGGGTCTTGGAGAACCTTTATATCTAGCTCAGGGATTGTAAATACACCAATCAGCACCCTGTGTTTAGCTCAAGGTTTGTGAGTGCACCAATCGACACTCTGTATCTAGCTGCTCTGGTGGGGCCTTGGAGAACCCGTGTGTCAAAACTCTGTATCTAACTAATCTGATGGGGATGTGGAGAACCTTTGTATCTAGCTCAGGGATTGTAAACGCACCAATCAGCGCCCTGACAAAACAGGCCGCTCGGCTCTACCAATCAGCAGGATGTGGGTGGGGCCAGATAAGAGGATAAAAGCAGGCTGCCAGAGCCAGCAGTGACAACCTACTCGGGTTTTCTTCAACACTGTGGAAGGTTTCTTTGTTCTTTTGTTCTTTGCAATAAATCTTGCTACTGTTCACTCTTTGGGTCCACGTTGCTTTCATGAGCTGTAACATTGTCTGCGAAGATCTGTAGGTTCACTCTGTAGGTTCACTCCTGAGCCCGGCGAGACCACGAGGTCAGCGGGAGGAAAAACAACTCCAGACGCGCTGCCTTAAGAGCTGTAACACTCACCACGAAAGTCTACAGCTTCACTCCTGAGCCAGCGAGACCACAAACCCACCAGAAGAAAGAAACTCCGACCACATCTGAACATCAGAAGGAACAGACTCCAGACGTGCCACCTTAAGAGCTGTAACACTCACCATGAGGGTCCGCGGCTTCGTTCTTCAAGTCAGTCAGACCAAGAACCCACCAACTCCGGACACAGTGGCATGTGCCTGTAGTCCCACCTATGAAGGAGAATGAGGTGGGGGACTGTTTGAGCCCAGGAGGTTGAAGCTACAGTGAGCCATGATCGTGCCACTGAACTCCAGTCTGGGCAAAACAGTAAGTCTCTATTTTTGTCACCTAAGAGTAAAGAAGTTTTTTTTTGTTTGTTTCTTTGTTTTTTGAGATAGTCTTGCTCTGTTGCCCAGGCTGGAGTGCGGTGGCGTGATCTCGGGTCACTGAAAGCTCTGCCTCCTGGGTTCACACCATTCTCCTGCCTCAGCCTCCCTAGTAGCTGGGACTACAGGCACCCACCACTGCGCCCGGCTAATTTTTTGTGTTTTTTTAGTAGAGATGGGGTTTCATCCTGTTAGCCAGAATAGTCTTGATCTCCTGACCTGGTGATTGGCCCGCCTCGGCCTACCAAGGTGCTGGAATGACAGGCGTGAGCCACCGCGCCCGGCCTAAGAGTAAAGAAGTTCTTAACCAGAAATGCAAAAGTACAGATCCCAAGAAAAAGAAACATAACTGAATTTTATTTTATCAATATTAAGGATTTCTGTTCAATGTAGATATTGTGGACAAGATACTTGATGCTGGGGGGGGAAATGAAATGTTTAAAACTAATAAGGAACAGCTAGGCATGGTGATGCACACCTGTAACCCAGCCACTTGGAAGATTGAGGCAGGAGGATTGCTTGAACCCAGGAGTTCAAAGCTGCAGTGAGCCATGATCGTGCCACTGCACTCCAGCCTGGGTGAGAGAGCAAGACCCAAAAGGCCATATACTGTATGAGTCCATTTATATAAAATGTCTAGAATAGGCAAAATGGTAGAGACAGTAAATTAGTGGTTTCCAGAGTTTCTCTCCTGAGGCAGGAGAATCGCTTGAACCTGGGAGGCAGAGGTTGCAGTGAGCAGAGAGATCTTGCCATTGCACTCCAGCCTGGGCAACAGGCACAAAACTCCGTCTCAAAAAAGAAAAGGGGAGGAGAGGGAGCGGCTGCTAGTGGGTACATGACTTCTTTTGGAGATGATGAAAATGTTCTAAGATTATGATGATGGTTGCACAACTCTGTAAATAAACTTTAAAACCCTACTGAATTGTATATTTTAAAAGGGTGAAGGCCAGGCCCAGTGGCTCACACCTGTAATCCCAGCACTTCCGGAGGCTGAGGCAGGAGGATCGCTTGAGCCCAGGAGTTTGAAACCAGCCTAGGCAACATGGTGAGACTGCCTCTAAAAAAAATAAAACAAATTTTTAGAAAGGGTGAATGTTTTGGTATATGAATTATATCTCAATTAAAAAACTGACAAGAGGTTAATATCTGGAAGCTCTCACCAATTAACCAGACAAGAACAACTCCAATGGGAAAATTGGCAAAGGATATGAACAGGCAATCTACAGTCAAGGAAACCAAAAAAGTTAATCATCATATAGAAATACTCAAAATCATTAGATACTCAAAATGATTAGAGACATGCAAAATTAAAATGAGATCCACTTTATATCTATGAGACTGGCGAGTTAGAAAGTGGGATGGTGCCATACACTGGGGAGAATAGGGGAATGCAGGGCCCTTCCGTGCTCCAGTGGGAAGGGAGAGCTGACTCAATAACTAAAGTAAAATAAGTACCCACAGGCCCACAAGCCCTGTGACCCAGCAAGGCTGCACCCAGGGACAGGGCCTAAGGGCACATGTTGGGTTTTGTAGGGTTTTTTTTTTTTTTTTGAGGCAGGATCTCGCTGTTGCCAAAGCTGGATTGCAGTGGCTCAATCACTGCTCACTGCAGCCTCAATCTCCCTGGGCTGAAGTGATCCCTCCTCTTTAGCCTCCCAAGTAGCTGGGACTACAGGTGTACACCACTACACCCAGCTAATTTTTTTATTATTTATTTTTTGTAGAGATGAGGTCTTACTATGTTGCCTGGGCTGGTCTCAACCTCCCGGGCTCAAATGATCCCCTCGGCTCAGCCTCCCAAAGTGCTGGGATTACAGGCTGGGAACTTTTTTGAATAAGTTGTAGCTGTGGGACAGGGAGTTGGAACGATCTTGGCACCCTGTCTCTTGTCCTGGAAAGAAGATGGGTAAAGGAAGGAGGATGAAGGAGGATATTTGCTGTGAAACACTTTACAGCAGTTAGAAACATGGGAAGGATGAACACAGAGCAACAAGGATTTTTTTTTTTTAAACCACTTTCCCTCAAATTCTGTGGGATGGTTCTTTAAGATGCAGTACCTGGGCAGGTGCAGCAGCTCATGCCTGTAATCCAGCAAGTTGGGAGGCTGAGGCAGGAGGATCACTTGGGGCCAGGAGTTCAAGACCAGCTTGAGCAACAGAGGTAGACTTCTATCTCTAAAATAAAATTAAAAAAAAATTTTTTTTTAAATACAGTACTGAGTGAAAAAGATAAATGAGATTTATTTATTTATTTTTCAGAGACAAGGTGCCATTCTGTTGCCCAGGCTGGAGTGCAGTGGCTCAATCCTAGCTCACCTTAACCTCCAACTCCTGGGCTCAAGCCGTCCTTCAGCCTTAGCCTCCTGAGTAGCTGGGACTACAGGCGTGCCACTATGCCTGGCTAGTTTGTAAAATATTTTGTAGAGATGAAGTCTTGCTATGTTGCCAAGGTTTGCCTTGAACTTCTGGCCTCAAGTGATCTGCCTGCCTCCGCTTCCCAAAGTGTTGGGATTACAGCATAAGCCACTGCAACCAACATACTTAATATTTAAGAAAACTGTAGCGTCCTGTTGTGTACGTGTCCTTTTCTTCTTGTCTTCTTACTCTACTCTCCATGCTCTTCATACATAAGTAGAAAATTTTGGCCGGGTGCAGCGGCTCACGCCTGTAATCCCAGCACTTTGGGAGGCCGAGGCAGGCATATTGCCTGAGGTCAGGAGTTTGAGACCAGCCTGGCCAACATGGTGAAACACCGTTTCTACTAAAAATACAGACATTAGCTAGGTGTGGTGGTGGGCGCCTGTAACCCCAGCTACTTGGGAGACTGAGGCAGAAGAATTGCTTGAACTCGGGAGGCAGAGGTTGCAGTGAGCAGAGATCTCGCCATTGCACTCCAGCCTGGGCAACAAGAGCAAAACTCTGTCTCAAAAAAAAAAAAAATTTATGTATTGTTATTTTATTTTTGAGACAGGATCTTGCGAGGTTGCCCAGGCTGGAGTGCAGTGGTGTGATTATAGCTCAGTGCAGCCTCAATGTTCTGGGCTCAGGCAATGCCTTCGCCTCGGCCTCCTGAGTAGCTGGGACTACAGATATGTACCAACACTCCTGGGCTCAAGTGATCCTCCTGCCTCTCCTCCCCATGTGCTGGGATTACAGGCATGAGCCACCTTGCCCAGTCAGAAAATTTATTTAATTAAAAAAGCCACACTATTTAAGCTATCTTGTAAATATAGCTAAGTTAAAATGTCTATGCCACAATCCAAACTGGCAGAACTCACTGAAACTGGAATAAGAGTATGGCTAAGCAGATGCTAGTATATTGATACCACACAGTGAAATCCAACAGTACCCGCCCTCTAGAATTTAAACTCATGAGGGGAGGGATTTTTGTTTTTGTTTTTGTTTTTTGTTCACTGATGATCCCAAGCATCTTAGAACAGTATCTGGCACATATTAGGTGTGCAAGAAAAAAAAAGTCTGCTTAGATCTGCAAAGTCACCTTGATTTAAAAAGAAAGAAAGAAAGAAAAATACACAGGCCAGGTGCAGTGGCTCACGCCTGTAATCACAGGACTTTGGGAGGCCGAGGCGGGCGGATCACGAGGTCAGGAGTTCGAGACCAGCCTGGCCAAGAGACCAGCCTGGCCAATATGGTGAAACCCTGTCTCTACTAAAAATACAAAAATTAGCCAGGTGTGGTGGTGGGCACCTGTAATCCCAGCTACTCAGGAGGCTGAGGCAGGAGAATTGCTTGAACCTGGGAGGCAGAGGTTGCAGTGAGTCGAGATTGTGCCATTGCACTCCAGCCTGGGCGACAGAGCGAGACTCCAACTAAAACAAAACAAAACAAAACAAAAAACAAAAACAAAGACACGCGTTAAACCATTTTGTAAATGCTTCCAAGAGAAAAGGATAGTGAACAGGTTTCCACTAATCTATACATTCATCTAATAGTGTATAAAGCTGCTACAGTTTGTCAATTGAATACTGAAATGGTACAAAGATATGGATTCTTTCCACACAAAGAAATGAGATGTAAGTTATGCGGGAAAAGATTGCAAGGTAGTGTGTATACACAAAGGACAAGTATGTAAGATGTGTAGGTGTCAGTCCATGGGGATGATGGTGAAGGGCACTCAGGACCCTGAGAGTGGCAGGAGAGGTAAGATTAATCACCAGCAGAACCCATTCAGCTCCAGCTATCTCTAACGGTGTGGAGGAGAACTTGACATGATTAGGGCATTGTCTTTGATGTAATTTGGAAGGCTGCAATGTAGATAATGTTATCAGAATATATGTCCAAATACAATATTAACAGGCTATGACACAGCTTCCTGACTCCAGTTACTAGGATCAATCAATGCCTCTTTTTTGAATTCTGTGATACAGTTAGATTTTCCACATCCTTTCTCATAGGGAAAAGATGTGTGATCAACTTGCAGAATAGTCTTATTTACTTGCCAGATACATTTCTCATCGAAAATTGGCATGCTGGTTAATAATAACAGCTTGGAAGTTACATAAATGTCCAACAATAGGGAATCAGTTAAGAAGAAAATTCATCACAGTACATATATATATAATATAAGACTTTGCAACCATTTAAAAACGATATAAAAGAAGCTGGGTGGAGTGCTGCATGCCTGTAGTCACAGCTACTCGGGAGGCTGAGATGGCAGGATCACTTGAACCCAGGAGTTCAAGACCAGCCTGGGCAGAAACATAGCAAGACCATGTCTCTAATTTTAAAAATAATAACAGTAATGTAAAAGAGCAGAACATGCCATGGGAAAATAGAAGACATTTTAAAAATCAGGATGCAAAACAGATGTGTCAAATGATCCCAGCTGTGTTTAGAAATACATATACTCAGGAATAAAAAAAGGCCTGGAAGAACCCTTACTAAATATGGGATTATATTTCAGGGTGGAAATAGAGATAACTTGTTTTATTTTGTAATTTTGCAAATGTATGTCTTTATTTTTCTGTACTTTCCAATTTTTCTATAATGAACAATTACTTCTATAATCAGAAAATAAGGCGCTGTGGCTCATGCCTGTAATCCCAGCACTTTGGGAGGCCGAGGCGGGCAGATCACGAGGTCAGGAGATCAAGACCATCCTGCCTAACACGGTGAAACCCCGTCTCTACTAAAAATACAAAAAATTAGCCAGGTGCAGTGGCGGGCGCCTGTAGTCCCAGCTACTTAGGAGGCTGATGCAGGAGAATGGCATGAACCTGGGAGGCGGAGTTTGCGGTGAGCCGAGATCGCTCCACTGCACTCCAGCCTGGGCGACAGAGCCAGACTCCATCTCAAAAAAAAAAAAAAAAAAAAAATCAGAAAATAAAGAGCAATTTTTTTTTTGAGACAGAGTCTCGTTCTGTCACCCAGGCTGGAGTGCAGCGGCATGATCTTGGCTCGCTGCAACCTTTGCCTCCTGGGTTCAAGCAATTCTCCTGCCTCAGCCTCCGGAGTAGCTAGGACTACAGGCGTGTGCCACCATGCCAAGCTAATTTTTGTATTTTTAGTAGACAGGGGGTTTCATCATGTTGGCGAAGATAGTCTCGATCTCTGGACCTCGTGATCTGCCCGCCTCAGCCTCCCAAAGTGTTGGGATTATAGGCGTGAGCCACCGCGCCCAGCCAGCCACTTTCTTTACCTATAAAATGGGGATAATAAAATCACATTCCCCTTAAGGTTGTCAGCAGGAAAATGCCTAGAATAGTGACTGGCAAGTAGGAGTTACTTAGCAAAGGTTAGCTAATATCACTGACATCTTTGCGAATAGGGTGGTTTGAGTCTTAGGGTCAGGCCTGTCTTACCTGTGGTGATCCCCCTTGCAAAGTCAATCTGAGCGGCTGGCAGGCTTTCCTTCAAGCCTTTTCCATTCATTCCAGCGTGAACGATAGGTAACAAAGACAGGAAGGGAAATTTAGAGCTGAGTTCACAAACTCAGACTTTTTAGGCACCAGGCGGGAATGGTAAACTGAGTGAAGCAGCTGGGAAAGAAACGATGGGAGCTGTGGCTCCTGGAGAGGGAGGCCTCTCTGGAAGCACTGTCATCGCCCCATTATGACAGGGACATGTTCTGAGAAATACATTGTTGTGCAAACACCACAGGGTGTCTTTACTCACACCTAGCTGGTACAGCCTACAGCACACCTAGGCTAGATTGTCTAGCCTGTTGCTCCTAGGCTACAAACCTGTACAGCACTGTACTGAATACTGTAGACAGTTGTAACACAATGGTATTTGTGTATCTAAACATAGAAAAGGTACAGTAAAAATATGGCATAAAGGATTAAAAAATGGTACACCTATATAGGGCACTTAACATGAATGGAGCTTGCAGGACTGGAATTCGCTGTGGGTGAGTCATTCAGTGAGTAGTGAGGCCTGGGACATTACCGTACACTACTACAGACTTCATGAACACTGTACACTTAGGCTACACTAAATTTATAAAGAAATTAAGTGGCCAGGCACGGTGGCTCATGCCTGTAATCCCAGCACTTTGGGAGGCCGAGGTGGGTGGATCACGAGGTGAGGAGCTCGAGACCAGTCTAGCCAACATAGTGAAACCCTGTCTCTACTAAAAATACAAAAAATTAGCCGGGTGTGGTGGTGTGCACCTGTAATCCCAGCTACTCGGGAGGCTGAGGCAGGAGAATTGCGTGAACCCAGGAGGTGGAGGTTGCAGTGAGCCGAAATCAAGCCATTGCACTCCAGCCCAGGCGACAGTGTGAGACTCCATCTCAAAAAGAAAGAAAGAAATTAAGCAGTCAGGCGCCATGGCATGCACCTTGAGTCCCAGCTACTCTAGAGGCTGAGGGAGGCTGAGGCAGGAGGATTGCTTGAGCAAAGGATTTCTGGGCTGTAGTGAGCTATCCTGATCTGGTGTCAGCACTAAGTTCAACATTAATATAGTGACTTCCCTGGAGCTGGGGACCATTAGGTTGCCTAAGAAGGGGTGAACTGGCCCAGGTAGGAAACAGAGCTGGTCAGGACTCCCATGCTAATCAGTAGTGGGATAGCATTTGTGAACCACTGCACTCCAGCCTGGGCAACATAGCAAGACCCCCATCTCTTAAAAAAGAATAGGCTGGGCAAAGTGGTTCACTCTTGCCATCCCAGTGCTTTGGAAGGCTGAGGTGGGAGAATTACTTGAGGCCAGGACTTCAAGATCAGCCTGGGCAACATAGGGAGACCCCCATCTCTACAAAAAAATTAAAAATAAACTGGGCACGGTGGCTCACGCCTGTAATCGCAGAAATTTGGGTGGCCAAGGTGGGTGGATCACTTGAGGTCTGGAGTTTGAGACCAACCTGGCCAAAATGGTGAAACCCTGTCTCTACTAAAAATACAAAAATTAGGCCAGGCCTGGTGGCTTGCCTGTAATCTCAGCACTCTGGGAGGCCAAGGCAGGTGGATCACTTGAGGTCAGGAGTTTGAGACCAGCCTGGCCAACATGGTGAAACCCTGTCTCTACTAAAAATAAAAAATGTAGGCCAGTGCAGTGGCTCATGCCTATAATCTCAGCACTTTGGGAGGCCGAGGTGGGCAGAATGCCTGAGGTCAGGAGTTTGAGACCAACCTGGCCAACATGGCAAAATCCCCTCTACTTAAAATATAAAAACTAGCTGGGTGTGGTGGTGCGTGCCTGTAATCCCAGCTACTCGGGGGGCTGAGGCAGGAGAATTACTTGAACCCAGGAGGCGGAGGTTGCAGTGAGCTGAGATGGTGCCTCTGTACTCCAGCCTGGGTGATAGAGTGAGACTCTCTCCCCCAAAAAAAAAACTAAACAAAACAAAACAAAAACGGCCAGGAGCGGTGGCTCACGCCTGTAATCCCAACACTGTGAGAAGCCAAAGTGGGCAGATCACCTGAGGTCAAGAGTTCAAGATCAGCCTGGCCAACATGGTGAAATCCTGTCTCTACTAAAAATACAAAAAATTAGCCAGGCATGGTGTTGGGCACCTGTAAATACCATCTACTTGGGAGGCTAAGGCAGGAGAATTGCTTGAACCTGGGAAGTGGAGGCTGCAGTGAGCCGAGATCACACCATTGCACTCCAGCCTGGGTGACAGAGCAAGACTCCATCTCAAATATAAAAAAAAAAAAATTAGCCAGGCACAGTGGCACGTGCCTGTAGTCCTAGCTACCTCTGAGGCTGATGTGCGAGGATCACTTGAGCCCAGGAGTTCAAGGCTGCAGTGAGCTATGATAATGCCACTGAACTCCAGCCTGGGCGACAGAACAAGACCCCATCTCTAAAAAAAATAATAATAAAGGACCAGGCACAGTGGCTCACGCCTGTAATCCCAAGACTTTGGGAGGCCGAGGCAGGTCGATCACTGAGGCCAGGAGTTCAAGACCAGCCTAACCAACATGGTGAAACCCCATCTGTACAAAAAAAAAAAAAAAATAGCCAGGCATGGTGGTGTGCGCCTATAATCCCAGCCAGTCAGGAGCCTGAGGCATGAGAATCCCTTGAACCCGGGAAGCAGAGGTTGCAGTGAGCCGAGATCATACCACTATACTCCAGCCTGGGTAACAGAGTGAGACTCTGTCTCAAAAAATAATAGTAAATAACAATACTAAAATAATAAAATAAAATGGGCCGGGCACGGTGGCTCACCCCTGTAATCCCAGCACTTTGGGAGGCTGAGGCGGGTGGATCACCTGAGGTCAGGAGTTTGAGGCCAGCCTGGCCAACATGGTGAAACCCCATCTCTACTAAAAATACAAAAAAGAATTAGCCAGACGTGGTGGTGCGTGCCTGTAACCTCAGCTACTCGGGAGGCTGAGGCAGGAGAATCGCTTGAACCCAGGAGGCGGAGGTTGCAGTGAGCCGAGATCGCGCCACTGCACTCCAGCCTGGACGACAGAGTGAGACTCTGTCTCAAAATAATAATAAATAAAGTAAAACAGAAATAATAAAATTAAGTCATCATTCCATGGCATTACCACAGCCAAGACACCACTAGGCAACAGCAGTTTTTTCACTCCACTATAAGCTTATGAGACCACCATCGTATATGTGGTCTGTCATTGACCGAAACGCTGTTATTCAGCGCGTGACTGTACCTCAGTTGAACTTTCTTCAAGACCCTGGGCTGGCCTAACAACCCACATTGGCCCTGAAGCTGCCCTGAGTTTTGTCTTAACGTAGTCAGAAATAAAAAACAAGTTAAAGTGATGACAACTCTTCAGGAAGTTAGTTGCACAGGACAGCCACTCAGTGCTCCATCTTCCTCAGGGTGTTTACAACTGGGATTCATCTATTTTTCATGATTCCTTTAGGCAGGAGGTAATTAAAGTATATGGTTTTCATCCTCACATAGCATCACAGGCCACAGTAATGACAGAAGCCAATTACACAACCAACCTGTGGTGAAAAGGGCTTCCTGGGCTGCACAGTTGAGGGGCCCTGGAGGTAAATTAGCGGGACTGGTTAAGTCGGAGAGAGAATGACTGGGGAGGGGGTTCAGGGAGTAGGAACCGAGACCAGGGCAAATGAAATCTGTCCTAGAATTCCAGTGACCACATGGCTTACGGTTCCAATGGGCTACTTCTAAGAATGAAAGGGAGTAGTTTTAATAATTACACTTGGGTATGCATAGGCACAGAGAAAATAAAAATAATTATACTGGCACATTGGGTCTTAACCGGCATTGTCTCCAGACAAATTGGGACATATGGCCACCCTACTAAAATGAAAGTGTTCCCAAAGGCTAGTGTAAATTCCAGCGCTTCACCTGAAAACTATCTACTTACGTGGCAGAAATAAATCTTCAAACCACCATATGCTACTAAATAATCCAGAAGACCTATCACAAGGGCTTACTACACACAGGAGCTTAGAATTTTCCTCTCCGGAATCCTGAACAGAAAGCAGGAGAGCCTCTACAGCCAGGGCAAGGGCACTAGTTCCCAGAGACAGGGAAAAGCGTTTGAGAAGGAAATGGAGTAGAAATTAGTTCATCTTTGACACACAGCCCCTGGTTCCTCCCTACAAGAGTGATACCACGCCAGCCCCGAGCTCGGGGAGCTGTTGTCTGAACAGCTCCACTTGGAATGAACTGGGCCTGGGGCTGTCCCACCAGCCAGCTTCTGCTCTCCTTTCTTCATGGGACCCCAGGGGTTACTGTTTGGCCTTTGGCCCAGGAGCCACCTGTGTGGCAGTGACAGGAGAGGCTGTGATCACAGGCCTAAGGGCCACATGAGCAGCTGGGACCAGCTGAGACTCAACTTATATTTGATGTGTGTTCTACCTAACACGCATCCTGCAGATTCTACAGGCAGAAAACATGACTCCACTGTATTCCCGTGTTCTTGGGAATTGAGAATTTGTTTGAAGTAGGATAGGTAAACCTCAGCATATTATATAAAATGCACTCAGCTCAACTGCTGTGTTTAAAATACACATTTTAAATCCGTCTTTATAGACACTAATATAAAAGTATACCTTTCTGGGTTGTAAGCATGTGGTAGTATCAGAGTATTACATAGTCAATGTTAAATAAAAGCCAAAACTGGAGTGTACAGAAAAAATAAATCTATAAATATTCCTGTGTTCTGTTTGATAATTATCCCATCCAAGGCCAGGCGTGGTGGCTCAAGCCTATAACCCAGCATTTTGGGAGGCTGAGGCAGGCGGATCGCTTGAGGTCAGGAGTTCGAGAGCAGCCTCGCCAACGTGGTGAAACCCTGTCTCTACTAAAATTACTAAAATACAAAAAATCAGCCTGGTGTGGTGGCGTGTGCCTGGGAGGCTGAGGAAGGAGAATCGCTTGAACCCGGGAGGCAGAGGTTGCGGTGAGCCGAGATCATGCCACTGCACTCCAGCCTGGGTGACAGAGCAAGACTATGTCTCAAAAAAAAAAAAAAAAAGATAATTATCTCATCCAGACGTTTTCTCAAGTTATGAGACTTGAGCTTATCAGATTTGCCTCTCTTTTCCCTTCTCTGGTACTAATTAATGGAATTCCAAGCCAGGCTTTCGTAAATGCTAGTGAAAAATCTCATCAAGATTACAAGGGGAAAAATTCTCTCTTCTCCTACAATTGCAGAAAGCAAATATTCAATGTCATAAAACTGCTCTTGCTGAGGTTATTTTTAAAGAGTCTTTCAAGACTCTTAGACTTCAGAGATTGCTACTATGTCCAGGGAAAGTAACCTCTGACTTCTAAAAAGTCGGCAATGCTGATAGGTTTCTTAATGATTTGTAGTCCTGGAAATGCTATTTAAATAGATATGCTGCTTTCTGGAAGGTGTGGTTTTTCATTTAAACCAGGAGAGGCTCATTATTAGCAACCAACCTCTCTCCTCATAAGAGTATGGAGGTGAAAATGAATGGAAATAAGGATGGACTCTACTGGATTTGTTTTTTTCCTTGAGACAGGGTCTCGCTCTGTAGCCCAGGCTGGAGTGCAGTAGCGCAGTCTTGGCTCACTGCAACCTCCGTCTCCGGGGTTCAAGCGATTCTCCTGCCTCAGCCTGCTGAATAGTTGGGATTACAGGCGCCCGCCACCATGACTGGCTAATTTTTGTATTTTAGTAGAGCTGGGGTTTCACCATGTTGGCCAGGCTGGACTCCTGACCTCAAGTGATCCGCCCACCTCAGCCTCCCACAGTGCTGGGATTACAGGCATGAGCCACCGCATCCAGCCTGGATTTAGTTTTTAAACAGAATTTGACTGTCTAATGTTTAAGTTAACTTCATAAGCAATAAAGCCTCAACCGTTTACACGTCTGGTGGCTGAGGTTATTATGTTGCCTTTAGCAAACCCATGGAGAGAACTGACCCAAGAGGCCTGGATGGTAGGGTTCACATCAATACTGTACTGTATCAGGCCCCAACCTCGGCAAGCAGGAAAGTGTAGAAGAGTCCTGGGCTCCTGGCCCCCCAAACACAAGAGCCAGGGAAGGTCTTCATCTTCAAGAGGGCAAAACAGGCCAGGCGCGGTGGCTCATGCCTGTAATCCCGGCACTTTGGGAGACCGAGGCAGGCAGATCAATTGAAGCCAGGAGTTCAAGACCAGCCTGGCCAACATGGCGAAACCCCATCTCTACTAAAAATACAAAAATTAGCCGGGTGTGGTGTTGCACGCCTGTAATCCCAGCCTCTTAGCCTCTTGGGAGGCTGAGGCATGAGAATCGCTTGAACCCAGGAGACAGAGGTTGCAGTGAGCCGAGACCATGCCACTGCATTCCAGCCTGGGCGACAAAGCAAGGCTCTGTCTCAAAAAAAGAAAAAAGAAAAAAGAAAAAAGAAAAAAAAGGGCAAAACAGCTTTTTCTGTTAGGACGACTGCCTGGATTGTCTTCCCAGTCCCTAGGAATTCACTAAGGCACAGATGAGGAAGGAGGTTTGGAGGTCCTATTGCCATCACTCTGACACCCTTTTCTTAGTCTCAATGCCAGAAGAGGGGCCACTGGATTCAGAGCAGTGCTTACTGAACATGAGAGTTTTTGAGAATTTGGAGGTTCCAGATCCAAAGTCCCATTCTCTATGCTTCTTCCATTTCCAAAAAAACAAAGACACAGATACTAAACAACAAGAACCCTGAGAACGACCCTCTGCTCACTTCAAAATCCCAAGTCCACTGAGAACTGGGATTCCACCTGATGAAGGTGGAAAGAAACTCATCCTAAACATTTTTTTTTTTTTGAGACGGAGTCTCGCTCTGTCGCCCAGGCTGGAGTGCAATGGCGTGATCTCGGCTCACTGCAAGCTCCGCCCCCTGGGTTCACGCCATTCTCCTGCCTGTATCTGGGACTACAGGCGCCTGCCACAACGCCCGGCTAATTTTTTGTATATTTAGTAGAGACGGGGTTTCACCGTGTTAGCCAGGACATCCTAAACATTTTAATTTTATTTTATTTTTTTAGAGACAGGGTCTTGCTCTGTCGCCCAAGGCAGAGGTGCAGTGGTGCAATCATAGCTTACTGCAGCCTCAAAATCCTGGACTCAAACAATCCTCCTGCCTCCTCAGCTTCAGGAGTTGCTGGGACTATAGGCATGCACCACCACACCCAGCTAATTTTTAAAATTTTTTCTAGAAAAGGAGTTTCACCATGTTGTACAGACTAGCCTCGAGCTCTTGGTCTCAAGTGATCCTCCCACCTCAGCCTCCTAAAGTGCTGAGATTATAGGCGTAAGCTACCCCACCTGACCAAGAAACCCACGTTTTTTCTTTTTTGTTTTTTTTTTTTTTTTTTTGTGATGGTGTCTCACACTGTCGCCCAGGCTGGAGTGCAATGGCAAGATCTTGGCTCACTGCAAGCTCCACCTCCTGGGTTCACCCAATTCGCCTGCCTCAGCCTCCCGAGTAGCTGGGATTACTGGTACACACCACCATGCCTGGCTAACTTCTTGTATTTTTAGTAGAGATAGGGTTTCACTATGTTGGCCAGACTGGTCTCGAACTCCTGACCTCGTGATCCACCCACCTCGGCCTCCTAAAGTGCTGAGATTACAGGCGTGAGCCACTGCGCTCGGCCCAAGTAACCCATCTTAACCTTCCTTCATCGTAACCCTGAATCAGAGCACGGCCTGAAAGGATAATCACTGGTAATTGTAAAATCAATCAGGAAGATAAAACTAATTAAAATGAGCTTATACTCTTAGCAATAACTCAGAAGCCTTTACAACTATTTGTCTTGATTAGTACAAGTCGAGAGCAGAACAGACAGGGCCCCAGAGGCCTTCCTGCATTTTCCTGTCTGGCTATCTCTTGGCATCTGGTGTGGCTTTGTCGAGCCTGGATACACAAGACCTCTCCTTTCCAACTGGTTTATCACCTCAGGTTTATCAGCTGAAAATCCTGTTTGTGGACAAGGAAAAGGGTCTGAGTGTTAAGCACAGGCATCTCAGGCCAAATCTCTGCTGGTTAGCCCCTTCACTCCTGGCCCCACAAGAACTAGCTGTGATCTTTTCTGCTCCCACCCCTTAGCCCCTTCCCCCTGGTTCTAGATACTCCATTTGCTTCCTTAGGGGTGGAGCTACCCCAGCCAATTATTTCAGGATTCCTTCTCCCCATGATGAGCCAAAGACTCCCTACCTCTCCACTTTCTTCCAGTCTAAACTAGCCTAAAAGGACTTCTCGGATAAATGTTTTTCTAGCCTGGGCGCAGTGGCTTACGCCTGTAATCCCAGCACTTTGGGAGGCCGAGGTGGGAGAATCACTTGAGGTCAGGAGCTCGAGACCAGCCTGGCCAACATGGTGAAACCCTGTCTCTACTAAAAATACAAAACTGGGCATGGTGGCTTGTGCCTGTAACCCAGCTACTTGGGAGTCTGAGGCAGGAGAATTGTTTGAGCCCAGGAGGCGGAGGTTGCAGTGAGCCGAGATTGCACCACTGCACTCCAGCCTGGGTGACAAGTGAGTGAGACTCCGTCTCAAAAAAAAAAAAAAAGTTTTTCTCCTAGTGACCACAAAAATACTGACAATGGGTAGTTAAAGCTGAATCTGTTTCCTGCTTTCATTTTTAGATGATATCCTGAGAATCTCTTTTCTATCACATTCATATCAGGGGTGGAGTTAACCCCCACCCCGTCCTTTCATCCTTTCTCCAACAATAGGGAGACTTCTCTTTGAACTACAAAGTATGAGGGGCTGGCAAACTGTAGGTAGGAGTCTTCTACCTTAATGTCCCCCCAATTTTAATCTAATTAAATCATTTCAATACAAGAGTAGAGTGACAAAAAAGAGCTAAAAAATCATTTCATCTATTTGAGGAAGTTGGAGAAATAAGCTCTCTCAGGGGTCAGGCTATACTCTGAGGTGTGGAAAACAATATAGTCCTGCTGGGCACGTCCTTCTTGTGTGTCTAGGATGACCTGAAGGACAGTGGCGGTGAGCGGCCACCCTGGAAGCCTACAGTCAGTCCCAGGGCTGGGCTCCTGCTGTGCAGACAACCCACAGAGACTCCAGGTGTGAGAAAAGCAAGCAACATAGTCATGCACCCCATTACCGTTTTGGTCAATGACAGAAGGTGGTCTCATAAGATTATAATGTGGTATTTTTACTGTACCTTTTCCATGTTTAGATACACAAATACCTACCATGGTATTATTATATTCAGTATTTATTTTTATTTATTTATTTTCAAGACGGAATCTCCCTCTGTCACCCAGGCTGGAGTGCAGTGGCGCGATCTCAGCTCACTGCAGCCTCTGCCTCCCGGGTTCAAGGGATTCTCCTGCCTCAAGCCTCCCAAATAGTTGGGACTAAAGATGTGCGCCACCAGGCCTGGTTAATTTATGAGCCTCTATAGAGACGCCTCTTCCTATGTTGTAAGTCCTTCCTGTGGTCTTGAACTCCAGGGCTCAAGCAACACCTCCCGCCTTGGCCTCCCAAAGTCTTGGGATTAAATGCGTGAGCCACTGCACCTAGTGAGAATTATGGAGTAAGGACTTTCCTGTGACTCACAGCCTCTGACTGGAGGACTTACCTGCAGTTTCTTACCAGCTGTGGGCTCTTCCCCATTCTTCCTCCCGCACGTTGTAGGATGTGTCAAACTAGACCTCTTAGCTTGTTATCTTAGTAAGCAGTCTTATTTTTGTGTCAGACAAAAGGCTTAGAATTTGCCTGTGCCAGGTCGGGCGTGATAGCTCAAGCCTGTAATCCCAGCACTTTGGGAGTCCAAGGCGGGTAGATCACTTAAGATCAGGCATTCGAGACAAGCCTGGCCAACATGGCAAAACCTTGACTCTACTAAAAATACAAAAATTAGTTGGGTGTCATGGTACATGCCAGCTACTCAGGAGGCTGGGGCAGGAGAATTGCTGGAGCCCGGAAGGCAGAGGTTGCAGTAAGCTGAGAGTGCGCCATTGCACTCCAGCCTGGAGGCTGGAGTGACAGAGCAAGACTCTGTCTCAAAAAAAAAAAAAAAAAAAAAGAGAGAGAGAAAGATAATTTGCCTGTGCCTCTGTGCCCCTTATTGGTATGGCAAGCCCTCTGTTGGCCAGAGCACTGGTGGTTAGAGCTGTTCCTGAACCCCCTATTACCTGGGAGAGCCTTGAGGTCCTAGTGGTAAGATATTATTTCTACTTCTATACTCATGTCTGATTCTTTTTTTTTTTTTCAGACAGATCTTGCTGTGTTGCCCCAGCTGGAATGCAGTGGCTCTTCTCAGGTATCCCAGGTATGATCACAGTACATTACAGCCTTGAACTCCTAGGCCCGAGCAGAGTCCTCCTGGCTCAGCCTCCTGAGCAGCTGGGACAACCTCATGACTGATTCTTATCTGTTAAAAGAGGGCAGTTCTGAGGGATCTCAGCTACAGTTGTGTGTTGCTTAATGATGGGGATACATTCTCAGAAACGCATTGTTTTATTTTATTTATTTATTTATTTTTAGATGGACTCTTGCTCTGTTGCCCAGGCTGGAGTGCAGTGTCTTGATCTCGGCTCATTGTGACCTCCGCCTCCTGGGTTCAAGCGATTCTCCTGCTTCAGCCTCCCAAGTAGCTGGGATTACAGGTGTGCGCCACCACGCCTGGCTAATTTTTGTATTTTTAGTAGAAACGGGATTTTGTCATGTTGGCCAGGCTGGTCTCGAACTCCTGACCTCAGTTGATCCACCCACCTCTGCCTCCCAAAGTGCTGGGATTACAGGTGTGAGCCACTGCTCCCAGCCCCGAGAAATGCAGTGTTAAGCAAATCAGTTGTCCTACCAACATTATGGAGTACACTTATACAAACCTAGCTAGTATAGTCTACTACACACCTAGACTATTATGGTAAACCTGTTGCTCCAAGGCTACAAACCTGTATAGCATGTGACTACTAAATACTGAATATAGGCGGGGCACGGTGGCTCACGCTTGTAATCCCAGCACTTTGGGAAGCCAAGGCAGGTGGATCATCTGAGATCAGGAGTTTGAGACCAGCCTGGCCAACATGGTGAAACCCGTCTCTACTAAAAATACAAATAATAATAATAATACAAAAAATTAGCTGGGTGTGGTGGCACACACCTGGAATCCCAGCTACTGGGGAGGTTGAGGCACGATAGTCGCTTGAACTCAGCAGGTGGAGGTTGCAGTGAGTTGAGATCAAGCGACTTCCTCTAGCCTGGGCAACAGAGGGAGACTCTGTCTCAAAAAAAAAAAAAAAAAAAAAAAAAAAAAAGCTGGGCATGGTGGCTCATGCCTGTAATCCCAACACTTTGGGAGGCCGAGGCAGGTGAATCACGAGGTCGGGAGTTTGAGACCAGCCTAGCCAACACGGTGAAACCCTGTCTCTGCTAAAAATACAAACATTAGCTGGGCGTGGTGGCGGGCGCCTGTAATCCCAGCTGCTCGGAAAGCTGAGACAGGAGAATGGCTTGAACCCGGGAGGCGGAGGCAGAGGTTGCAGTGAGCTGAGATCGTGCCGCTGTACTCCAGACTCCAGCCGGGGCGACAGTGAGAGACTCTGTCTTAAAAAAAAAAAAACAAAAACAGAAAGAAAGAAAGCTTAGAGCTAATTTTATAGGGCAAGGAAGGATACATGATGTTAGAATGTGCATTTTTTTTTCCATTCTGTTAATCTTCCCCCTCCCACTTTGCTATCTTTGTTTTCCCCTTGCCTTATCTTTCTTGTTTTGTTTTAAAGGTATTGCAAACAGCATAAATCCTTTTAGAGACAAATTTGCACAACCATTTCCCTAGTGTTTTTCCTTACTATCCTAATCTTTGGTTAATTGAGATTTTGCCAGGAATTAACATCTTTTAGCATCAAATACTTTTGTTTGTGTGTGTGTGGTTTTTTCTTTTTGTTTTGAGAAGAGTCTCTCTCTGCTGCCCAGGCAGGAATGCAGTGGTGCAATCACAGCTCTGTGCAGCCTCGACTGCCAGGCTGAAGCAATCCTCCTACCTCAGCCTCCCAAGTAACTGGGACCACGGGTTCATGCCACCAGCCTGGCTAATTTTTTAAAAATTCTGATAGAGACTGGGTCTCACTATATTGCTCAGGCTGATCCTGAATTCCTGGGCTCAAGCAATCCACCAGCCCTTGGCCTTCCAAAGTTCTGGAATTGGCCGAATGTGGTGGCTCATGCCTGTAATACTAGTACTTTGGGAGACGGAGGTGGGAGGATTGAGTCCAGGGGTTCAAGACCAGCATGGGCAACGTGGCGAAAACCCTTCTCTACAACAACAAATTAGCCGGGCGTGGTGGTGCACACGTATAGTCCCAGCTACTCGGGAGGCTAAGATTGAGAGGTCAAGGCTGCAGTGAGCCAAGATCGCACCACTACACTGCAGCCTGGGTGACAGAGTGAGACCCTGTCTCAAAAAAAAAAAAAGTGCTGGGATTGCAGGTGTGAGCTACTGCATCTGGCCTAAAGTATTTTTTTTATTTCGATTTTACTATTATATAAGCCAAATTTCTAAATACTGGACCAAGAGAAAGACCATTGAAAGAGTAAGCATTGAAGCTTGTGGGTGCTGTGGAATATAGAGGTGATAACCAAAAAGAGCAAGACCAAAACTCCATCTCAAAAAAAAAAAAAAAAAAAAAAAAAGATGCATGAGCAAGCACAGTCAGCAAATTTATTTACTTTATTTCATGCCAGGTACTTGCTAAGCCCTTCATTGGATCCTACCCTCAAACTACTCTGACAAAATGTGTATGTATGTATTTGTTTATTTTAGACAGAGTCTCGCTTTGTCGCCCAGGCTGGAGTGCAGTGGCTCGATCTCAGCTCACTGCAACCTCCGCCTCCCGGGTTCAAGCGATTCTCCTGCCTCAGCCTCCTGAGTAGCTGGGACTACAGGCGTGTGCCACTATTCCTGGCTAATTTTTGTATTTTTAATAGAGATGTGGTTTCACCATGTTGCCCAGGCTGGTCTCGAACTCCTGACCTCAAGAGATCCACCCACCTTGAGCTCCCAAAGTGCTGGGATTACAGGCCTGAGCCACTGCGCCCGGCCAAAATGTGTATTCTTACAAAAGTTAAGGCCTGGAAGGTGGCTCAGCCCTATAATCTCAGCACTTTGGGAGGCGGAGGTGGGAGAATCTTTTGAGCCCAGGAGTTCAAGATCAGCCCTGGCAACAGAGTGAGACCTCATCTCCAAAAAAATTGAAAAAAATTAGCTGGGCATGATGGCACTCGCCTGTAATCCCAGCTACCTGGAAGGCTGAGGCAGGAGAATTGCTTAAATCCGGGAGGCAGAGATGGCAGTGAGCCAAAATTGCAGCATTGCACTCCAGCCTGGGTGACACAGCCAGACTCTGTCTCAAAAAAAAAAAAAAAAAGAGAGACAGTGTCTTACTCTGTCACCCAGGCTGGAGTACAGTGGCACAATCACAGCTCACTGCAGCCTCAACCTCCTGGGCTCAAGCCTTCCCCCCACCTCAACCTGAGGAGTAGTTGGGACTGCAGTCGCGCACCACACATGCCTGGCTAATTTTTGTATTTTCTGTAGAGACAGAGTTTCATGATGTTACCTAGGCTGATCTCGAACTCCTGAGCTCCACTGATCCTCCCACCTCAGCCTCCCAAAGTGCTGGGATTACAGGCTTGCACCACTGCCCCTAGCCTAAATTAATCTTCAATTAATGTTGTAAGCTTAAAAACAGATCTTCTTATGTTTTTAAGTTTAACTTCCATATCCTGATATTCTATTTAGAAATCTTGCAGGTTTTGGATAAAAGTAAGAGTAATAACTTGTTCTTTGATTAATACACAATTAGCCCATGGGCTTGACATATTTAATTTGCTTGAACATTACTCATAGCATTTACAAACTTAGTTAATTAAATTCTCTTAAATATTTAAACTACATTTACAAATTTAATATACTTGATTTTTTTCCCAACCACTTCCAATTCCTCAGGGTAGATTTACAAGTCAAACAAGAAGGAAGTATTCAGCATGTAAATAATTCTCATAAACCTAATAATTCAGACTCTTAAATGTGGCAAGTCAAGTTATCTTGAAGATTCCAGCCCGGGGATAGTGGCTCATGCTTGTAATCCCAGCACTTTGGGAGGCCCAGGCAGGCAGATGACGAGGTCAAGAAATCGAGACCATCCTGGCCAACATGGTGAAACCCTGTCTCTACTAAAAATACAAAAATTAGCTGGGCGTGGTGGTGCGCACCTGTAGTCCCAGCTACTCGAGAGGCTGAAGCAGGAGAATCACTTGAACCCAGGAGGCAGAGATTGCAGTGAGCTGAGATCACGCCACTGCACACCAGCCTGCGACAGAGCAAGACTCCGTCTCAAAAAAACAAAACAAACCAAACACACACACAGAATATCTCAGTCTTCCAAAATCTCTTTTCTAACCTTTACATTAAAAAAGTAACATTATGGGCCGGGCACGGTGGCTAATGCCTGTAATCCCAACACTTTGGGAGGCCAAGGCGGGTGGATCACGAGGTCACAAGTTTAAGACCAGCCTGGCCAAGATGGTGAAACCCCATCTCTACTAAAAATAAAAAAATTAGCTGGGCGCAATGGCAGGCACCTGTAATCCCAGCTACTCGGGAGGCTGAGGCAGGAGAATCGCTCGAACCCGGTAAGCAGAGGTTGCAGTGAGCCGAGACCTCGCCATTGCACTCGAGCCTGGGCAACAAAGCGAGACTCTGTCTCAAAAGAAAAAAAAAAGTAACATTATGCTGGGCTCAGGGCTGTGTGCCTGTAGTCCCAGCTTAAAAAAAAGAAAAAAATCTTGTGTTTTTTTTTATTTGATCATTTCTATTTTCCTTCCCAAAGTAATAAAGTACTTTTAGTTCATATTTTTCTTGCCATAATTCTACAATGGTCTTATTGATTTGCCCCTACAACTAAAAAGAAGTCTGATAATTACCTAAATGAATTTTAAAGTTACCTTTTTTCTTTCCTTAGAGACAGGGTCTCCTTTTGCTGCCTAGGCTGGAGCGCTGTGACAGGATCATAGCTCACTGTAACCTTGAACTCCTGGGCTGAAGGGGTTCCTCCCACCTCAGCCTCCCAAGTAGCTAGTACTACAGGCGTGCACCATCATGCTCGGCTAAGTAAAAAAAAATTTTTTTGTAAAGATGGGGTCTCACTGTGTTGCCAAGGCTGGTCTCAAACTCCCAGCCTAAAGGGATCCTCCTACCTCGGCCTCCCAAAGTGCTGGGATTATAGGTGTGATCCACTGACCTCAGCCTAGTTTACATTTAGAAATTTACATTTCTAAAAAAAAAAAAAAATCTCAGAGTCTCTTCTTAGAAAGTGGGAGAAGGGGCCAGGCGTGGTGTCTCATGCCTGTAATCCCAGCACTTTGGGAGGTCAAGGCGGGCAATTCACCTGAGGTCAGGTGTTCGAGACCAGCTTGGTCCAACATGGTGAAACCCCGTCTCTACTAAAAATACAAAAATTAGCCGGGCATAGTGGCATGCACCTGTAATCCCAGCTCTTCAGGAGGCTGAAGCAAGATAATTGCTTGAACCTGGGAGGCAGATGTTGCAGTGAGCCAAGATAGTGTCACTGCACTCCAGCCTGGGCAACAGAGCAAGACTCCATCTCAAAAAAAAAAAAAAGAAAGTGGGAGAAGGGAGGCGTTTTTTGTTTTTGTTTTTGTTTTTAAGTAGTGCAGTGTCACAGTCTCAGCTCACTGCAACCTCTGCCTCCTGGGTTCAAGCGATTCTTTCTCCTGCCTCAGCCTCCAGAGTAGCTGGGATTACAGGCGTCTGCCACCACACCCAGCTAATTTTTGTGTATTTAGTAGAGATGGGGTTTCTCCATGTTGACCAGGCTGGTCTCAAATTCCTGACCTCAAGTGATCCACCCATCTTGACCTCCCAAAGTGCTGGGATTACAGGCGTGAGCCGCTGCGCCCAGCTGGGAAGGGAGGCATATCTGAGAGGGAGTATCGTGAAAAGGAAGAAAAATGTCTTCAAAAAGACACCCTCTCCTTGCTCTTGTTTTGCTCTTGTTGCCCAGGCTGGAGTGCAATGGTGCGATCTCGGCTCAGCGCAACCTCCGCCTCCCGGGTTCAAGCAATTCTCCTGCCTCAGCCTCCCAAATAGCTGGGATTACAGGCATGTGCCACCACGCCCTGCTAATTTTGTATTTTTAGTAGAGATGGGGTTTCTCCACGTTGGTCATGCTGGTCTTGAACTCCCGACCTCAGGTGATTTGCCTGCCTTGACCTCTTAAAGTGCTGGGATTACAGGCCACCATGCCAGTCCTGTTTCCTGTTTTCAAAAATAGAAATAGTATGTACAACTGTCTCTTTTGTTTAAAGGATATGTTAAGGAGTATAAGAAAAACTTAAATAATCATTTATTTACGCAGATTTTATTTATTTATTTATGTTTTTGAAATATAGCCTCAGCCAGGTGCGGTGGCTTACACCTGTAATCCCAGCACTTTGGGAGGCCGAGGCGGGCGGATCACGAGGTCAGGAGTTTGAGACCAGCCCGGCCAACATGGTGAAACCCTGTCTCTACTAAAAATACAAAAATTAGCTGGGCATGTTGGGGGGCTTCTGTAATCCCAGCTACTTGGGAGGCTGAGGCAGGAGAATTGCTTGAAACCAGAAAGTGGAGGTTGCAGTGAGCTCAGATTGCTGCCACTGCACTCCAGCCTGGGCAACACAAGAGAAACTCTGCCTCAAAAAAAAAAAAAGAAAGAAAGAAAGTCTCACTTTGTCATCCAGGCTAGAGTGCAGTGGTACTGCAGTGGTGCAACCTCCGCCTCCTGGACTCAAGCAATCCTCCTACCTCAGCCTCCTGAGTAGCTAGGAATACAGGTATGTGCCACCATGCCTGGCTAATTTGTGTGTGTGTGTGTGTGTGTGTGTGTGTGTGTATGTGTATATATATATATATATATATATATATATATATATATGTATATATTTGTCATACATATATATTTGGTAGAGACATGGGTTTCACCATGTTGGCCAGGCTGGTCTGGAACTCCTGACCTCAAGTGACCTGCCCACCTCAGCTTCCCAAAGTGCTGGGCTTATAGGCGTGAGCCACCATGCCCGGCCCATTATTTTTATTTATTTTTTATTTTTATTAATTTTTTTTTCTGACTCTGCTCAGAAAGAATGCTAGCAGGTTTGATGCCAGCAGATGATTAAACAAGTGCTTTCGTGTTTGCACTTGTTTGCACTTCCTCTCCTGCTTGCGTGCAATTGTCATGAAAACATGCTCAGTCTAACCTGAGTCATATCTGGGCCAGCTAGCTGGAGGGATGTGAGAGAGACACATGGAGGGAACCCCAGCTGTGCAGGGGAGGCCATCCTATACCAGCCAGGTCCCAGGGAGTCCTCAATCACCTGATTAAAGATGCATGAGTGCAGCCAGGCATGGTGGCTCACGCCTGTAATCCCAGCACTTTGGGAGGCCAAGGAGGGCGGATCACCCGAGGTCGGGAGTTCAAGACCAGCCGACCAACATGGGGAAACCCTGTCTCTACTAAAAATACAAAATTAGCCAGGTGTGGTGGCGCATGCCTGTAATCCCAGCTACTCGGGAGGCTGAGGCAGGAGAATCCCTTAAACCCAGGAGATGGAGTTTGCAGTGAGCCGAGATCGCACCATTGCACTGCAGCCTGGGCAACAAGAGCAAAACTCTGTCTCAAAAAAAAAGAAAGAAAGAAAGAAAAAAGATGCATGAACAAGCCCAGTCAGCGGAACTGCTCAGTTGACATTGGCTGGAAGAAATCATAAATGGTTTTATGACCACTGTAATTGCCCACCTGGGTTCTTCCTGCCTGCTGCCCAGAAAAGCCAAACACGGAGAACACCAGGAATTGCAGTAGAGAAAGTTTAATCACAGGGCCAACCAGGCTGAAGGATGGAAGATGTTTATCAAATCTGCTTCCCTGAGAATTTGGAATCCAGGGATTTTTAAGGATAGTTTGGTGGGCAGGGGGCTAGGGAATGGGAAATGCTGATTGGTTG
This sequence comes from Homo sapiens, assembly GCF_000001405.40. Lineage (NCBI taxonomy): Eukaryota > Metazoa > Chordata > Mammalia > Primates > Hominidae > Homo > Homo sapiens. The sequence continues at coordinate 33,557,797 of NC_000006.12, forward strand.
GGTTGGGAATGAAATCGTAGGGGGATGAAGCTGTCTTCTTATGCTGAATCAATTCCTATAGGGGTCAGAAACCTACTGTGTCAGTTTATTGGTAAAGGTTACTGGTTTGGGCAGTGTCAGCTGGTCCATCAGAATGCAGGGTCTGAAAAATACCTCAAGCACTAGTCCTAGGATTTACAATAGTAATGTTATCCATAGGAGCAATTGAGAAAGTTACAAACCTTGTAACCTCTAGCTGCATGACTCCCAAACCATAATTCTAACCTTGTGCCCATTTTTTTTTTTACAAAGGCAGTTTCAAGCCTGGGCAACATGATGAAACCTGTCTCTACAAAATATACAAAAATTAGCCAGGCATCATGGCACCTGGGACCTGTGGTCCCAGCTACTGGGGAGGCTGAGACAGGAGGACCGCTTGAGCCTCAGAGGTGGAGGTTGCAGTGAGCTGAGATAATGCCACTGAAACTCCAGCCTGGGTGACAGAACAAGACCCTGTCTCAAAAACAACATCAGTGGCTGGGCGTGGTGGCTTACACCTGTAATCCCAGCACTTCGGGAGGCCGAGGTGGGCAAATCGCCTGTGCTCAAGAGTTTAAGACCACCCTGAGCAACATGGGGAAACCCTGTCTCTACTAAAACACAAAATATTAGTCAGGCATGGTGGAGGCACATGCCTGTAATCCCAGCTACTCGGGAGGCTGAGGTAGGAGAATCATTTGAACCCAGGTTGCGGTGAGCCGAGATCGCACCATTGCACACTCCAGCCTGGTCAACAAGAGCAAAACTCCCGCCAGGCATGGTGGCTTATGCCTGTAATCCCAGCACTTTGGGAGGCCGAGGTGGGCAGATCACAAGGTCAGGAGATCAAGACCATCCTGGCTAACACGGTGAAACCCTGTCTCTACTAAAAATACAAAAATTAGCCGGGCATGGTGGTGGCCGCCTGTAGTCCCAGTTACTTGGAGAGACTGAGGCAAGAGAATGGCGTGAAGCCGGGAGGCGGAGTGCAGTGATCCGAGACCATGCCACTGCACTCCAGCCTGGGTGACAGAGCGAGAGTCCGTCTCAAAAAAAGAAAGAAAGAAAGAAAGAAAATATACCAAACGAACTTGTAGATTTGAGCAAAGAAATCTCCAGTCAGAATGTTGAAAGTGTCCATTGGCTTTTACCATCTGTGTTTGATAAAGTTTTCTTTCTTTTTTTTTTTTTGACACAGAGTCTTGCTCTCTTGCCAGGGCTGGAGTGCAATGGCACGATCTAGGCTCAACCTCCGCCTCCCGGGTTCAAGTGATTCTCCTGCCTCAGCCTCCTGAGTATCTGGGATTACAGGTGCATGTCACAACGCCCAGCTAATTTTTGTATTTTTTTTAGTAAAGATGGGGTTTCCCCATGTTGGCCAGGCTGGTCTTGAACTCCTGACCTCAGGTGATCCACCTGCCTGGGCCTCCCAAAGTGTTGGGATTACAGGCGTGAGCCACCATGCCCAGCCCTTGATAACGTTTTCTAAGCTGGATCCATGGCTCATGTCTGTAATCCCAACACTTGTGGAGGCCAAGGCAGGAGGATCCTTTGAGGCTAGGAGTTCGAAACTAGTCTGGCCCATGTAGACAGATCTCATCTGTACAAAAAAAATTTTAAAATTAGCCAGGCATGCTGGCAGGTTCCTGTGGTTACAGGTACTCCGGAGGCTGAGGTGGGAGGATTACTTGAGCCTAGGAGGTCAAGGCTGCAGTGAACCATGATCGTGCCTCTGTACTCCAGCCTGGGTGACCCCATCTCAAAAAATTTTTTTACAAGAGGTGAGCTAAAGAGATGAACTAGTCAATTTGCAAGCTGAATTCAGAGGAAATGTGGAGGGTGCAGCATTTTCTGGGTTGGAAAAACAAAATTACTTCCCTGCTGGGCCTGGTCATTCACACCTGTAATCCCAGCACTTTGGGAGGCTGAGACAGGCAGATCACTTGAGGTCCGGAGTTCCAGACCAGCCTGGTCAACATGATGAAACCCCGTCTCTACTAAAAATACAAAAATTAGCTGGGTGTGGTAGCATGCCCCTGTAGTCCCAGCTACTCAGAAGGCTGAGGCAGGAGAATCACTTGAACCTGGGAAGTAGAGGTTACGGTGAGCTGAGATCTCACCACCGTACTCCAGCCTGGGTGACAGAGCAAGACTGTCTCAAGAGAAAATTTATTTCTCATTTCTAGCCTCTTAGCCCAGTAAAGAAATGCACTCTAGGGCATGGCTGAAGACTGTTAAATTCTCTGGGAATATCAAGACAGTGCCTAGTAGACCCTCTGACAAAAGGACATCTGTGAATTTTAAAAGCATGACTCCCACAGCACCCTCACACAGTTAGTTGATACCTAGTTAGTGGAGACTTAAGTCAACAAAGAAACATATCTCGAGAAAATTTGGGGTGTGGTTCTTGATGCATAAGGTGGACTCTAATCATACAGATATACTCAAAACTCCAAAGTTTTTAAGGATATTGCACCCACAACCGCACTGCTAATCTAGACACAAAGGGGCTGAGACTGTTCAAACTGTACAAAGACCTCTGGGTTGCCTGCTTTCCATCAGGAGGAAGGAAGCTGAGAAAGCATCTCAGCCACCATCAAAGCCTGCCTCGGCCGGGCGAGGTGGCTCACGCCTGTAATCCCAGCACTTTGGAAGGCCAAGGGGGGTGGATCACCTGAGGTCAGGAGTTCGAGACCAGCCTGACCAACATGGTGAAAATACTAAAAATACAAAATTAGCTGGGCGTGGTGGTAGGCGCCTGTAATCTCAGCTACTCGGGAGGCTGAGGCAGGAGAATCGCTTGAACCTGGGAGATGGAGGTTGCAGTGAGCTGAGATTGTGCCATTGCACTCCAGCCTGGGTGACAAAGCAAGATTCCATCTCAAAAACAAAAAAAAGAAAGTACCACATCTAGGCCTGATATAGATCACAAGATCCTGGACTTTCACCCTAATGTCAGGATTGGATGAGTCTTTTGGGGGTCCTGCAATGGGGAATGAGCATATTTTGCATATAGAAAAAACATAAGTAATCGTGTCTAGAGAGGCCAGGTGTGGTGGCTCATGCCTGTAATCCCAGCACTTTGCAGGATGGAGGCAGAAGGATCGCTTGAGGCCAGGAGTTTGAGACCAGCCTGGGCAACATTTTGTAGAGACCTTGTCTCTACAAAAGATTTAAATAAAAAATTAGCTGGGCGTGGTGGCACGCACTTGTGGTCCCAGCTACTCAGGTGGCTAAAGTGGAAGGATCACTTGAACGCAGGAGTTCGAGGCTGCAGTAAGCTGTGATACCTTCGCGGCACTCCAGCGTCCGCAACAGAGTGAGACCCTGTCTCGGAAAAAAAAAAAAATCCTGTGGCCAGAGGGCAGACTGTGGTATATTGATTGCATTAATGGCTCCGAGTCTTCACCCCTCCCTGTCTCCACACCCTTTGCCGTGTGAATTTGCAATTTCTTCCTTTTTTTTTTTTTTTTTTTTCCGAGATGGAGTCTCGCTCTGTCACCCAGGCTGGAGCGCAGTGGTGCGATCTTGGCTCACTGCAAGCTCCGCCTCCCGGGTTCACGCCATTCTTCTGCCCCAGCGTCTCCGAGTAGCTGGGACTACAGGCGCCCGCCACCACGCCCGGCTAATTTTTTGTATTTTTGGTAGAGACGGGGTTTCACCGTGGTCTAGATCTCCTGACCTTGTGATCTGCCCGCCTCGGCCTCCCAAAGTGCTGGGATTACAAGCGTGAGCCACCGCGCCCGGCAATTTCTTTCATAATAGAAGTAGAGTCTATTTCCCCACCTTCTTGAAGAATCTGAGCTTAGCCATGTGACTTGCTTTAGCCATTACGATGTTAGCTGACTTGACACAAGTAGAGGTTTGAAAAACTGGCCGGACGCAGTGGTTCACGCCTGTAATCCCAGCACTTTGGGAGGCTGAGGCGGGCGGATTACCTGAGTTCGGGAGTTGGAGACCAGCCTGACCAACAAGGAGAAACCCCATCTCTACTAAAAATACAAAACAATTAGCTGGGCATGGTGGCGCATGCCTGTAATCCCAGCAACTCCGGAGGCTGAGGCAGAAGAATCATTTGAACCCTGAAGGCCGAGGTTGCGGTGAGCCGAGATCGCGCCATTGCACTCCAGCCTGGGCAACAAGAGCGAAACTCCGTCTCAAAAAAAGAAAAAGAAAAACCACCTGTGTGTTTCTGCTTCTTCTCTTGCTCCTCGGTGATCACCATGAGAACACACCCAGAACATTCCCAGGTTGACCTGCTGAAGGGACATGAATGACACATGGAAGAAAGCTGACTTGTTTCAGCTGAGGCTATCCTAGACAACCCTCAGCTGACTACAAAGTTTTTTTTCAGACGGTGTCTTTTTTTTTTTTTTTTTTTTTTTTTTTTTGAGACAGGGTCTCACTCCATTGCCCAGGCTGGAGTGCAGGGGCTGGATCACAACTCACTACAGCCTCAACCTCCCACGCTCACTCAAGTGAGGCTTCCACCTCAGCCTCCCAAGTAGCTTGGATTAGGAGCCACCACCCTGCACAGCTAAACTTCAATTTCTTTATCTGCTAAATGGGCATACTGCAAAAACTTGTGAAAATTAAATAAGATAAAGTAGATAAACAGTATAGTGCAGTAGCAGGCACACATAGTACAAACTCAACAAAGTCCCTAGCTATTTTCTTTTTCTTTTCTTTTTTTCTGAAACAGGGTCTTACTCTGTCACCCAGGCTGGAGTGCAGTGGTGTGATTATGACTCACTTCAACCTCTGCTTCCTGGGCTCAAGCAATCCTCCCACCTCCACCTCTTGAGTAGCTGGGACCTCAGGCACGTGCCACCACACCGTGCTAATTTTATTTATTTATTTATTTATTTATTTATTTATTTATGTTTTGAGATGGAGCCTCACTCTGTCACCCAGACTGGAGCGCAGTGGTGCGATCTCAGCTCACCACAACCTCCGCCTCCCAGGTTCAAGCGATTCTCCTGCCTCAGCCTCCTGAGTAGCTGGGATTACAGGCGCATGCCACCGTGCCTGGCTAATTGTGTGTGTGTGTGTGTGTATTTTTAGTAGAGATGGGGTTTCGCCATGTTGACCAGGCTGGTCTTGAACTCCTGATCTCAGGTGATACACCTGCCTCAGCCTCCCAAAGTGCTGGGATTACAGGCTTGAGCCACTGCACCCGGCTATTTTTGTATGTTTTTTAAGAGACAGGGTCTCCCTATGTTGCCCAGGCTGGTCTAGAACTCCTGGGCTCAAGCCATTCACCCACCTCAGCCTCCCAAAGTGCTGAGATTATAGGTGTGAGCCACCGCACCCAGACTTTTTTCTTTCTTTCTTTCTTTCTTTTTTTTTCTGTAGAGACAGGGTTCCCTATGTTGCCCAGGCTGGTCTCTCAGGTGATCAGCCCACCTCAGCCTCCCAAAGTGCTGGAAATACAGGCATGAACCACCATGCCCAGTCCCTATTTTCTTTTCTTTCTTTTTTTTTCTTTTTTGAGATGGAGTCTCACTCTGTTGCCCAGGCTAGAGTGCAATGGTGCCATCTTGGCTCACTGCAACCTCCGCTTCCCGGGTTCAAGCAATTCTCCTGCCTCAGCCTCCCAAGTAGCTGGGATTACAGGTGCACACCACCACGCCCGGGTAATTTTTGTATTTTTAGTGGAGACGGGGTTTCACCTTGTTGGTCAAGCTGGTCTGAAACTCCTGACCTCAGGTGATCCACCTACCTCGGCCTCCCAAAGTGCTGGGATTACAGGTGTGAGCCACCGCGCCCAGCCTATTTTCTTTATATTAAAATATTTTTGGCTGGGCATGGTGGCCTGCACTTGTTATCCCAGTACTTTGGGAGGCTGAGGTGGGAGGATTGCTTGAGTATAGGAGGTCAAGACCAGCCTGGCCAACATCAGGAGACCCCATCTCTATAAAAAATTTAACCAGCCAGGTGAGGTGGCTCAAGCCTGTAATCCCAGCACTTTGGGAGGCCGAGATGTGTGGACCACGAGGGCAGGAGTTTGAGACCAGCCTGGCCAACATGGTGAAACCCCCGTCTCTACTAAAAATACAAAAATTAGCTGGGCGTGGTGGCGGGCACCTGTAATCCCAGCTACTCAGGAGACTAAGGCAGGAGAATTGCTTTAACCTGGGAGGCAGAGGTTTCGGTAAGACAAGACTGCACCATTGCATGCCAGTCTGGGTGACAGAGAGAGACTCCATCTAAAAAAAAAAAAAAAAAATAGCATGCCACCACCCATGGTTAAATTTTTTTTTCACAAAGGCGGTAAGTGGCAAAGCTTGGATTTGCACCCAAATATTTGGTGTCTTTAACCACTTGGATGTCAGATTACAGCAACTAGAAGCCATTTCTTTCTTTTCTTTCTTTTTTTTTTTTTTTGAGACAGAGTTTCACTCTTGTTGCCCAGGCTGGAGTGCAATGGTGTGATGTGATCTTGGCTCACCGCAATCTCTGCCTCCCAGGTTCAAGCGATTCTCCTGCCTCAGACTCCCGAGTAGCTGGGATTACAGGCATTCACCACCATGTCCGGATAATTTTTGTATTTTTAGTAAAGACAGAGGTTTCACCATGTCGGTCAGGCTGGTCTCGAACTCCTGACCTCATGATCTACCCCCCTCGGCCTCCCAAAATTCTGGGATTACAGGCGTGAGCCACCACGCCTGGCTGCTAATTTTTGCCCCACTAATTTTTGCCTCAGGAGGCTGAGGCAGGAGGATTGCTTAAGCCCAGGAGGTCAAGGCTGCAGTGAGCCTTGATTGCACTCCAGCCTTGGCGATAGAGAAAGACCCTGTCTCCAAAAAAATAATACTAATAATAATTGCTGGGTGCGGGGGCTCACGTGGCCTGTAATCCCTGCACTTTGGGAGGCTGAGGCGGGCAGATCACCTGAGGTTGGGAGATCGAGACCAGCCTGACCAACATGGAGAAACCCTGTCTCTACTAAAAATACAAAATTAGCTGGGTGTGGTGGTGCATGCCTGTAATGCCAGCTACTCGGGAGGCTGAGGCAGGAGAATCGCTTGAACCCGGGAAGTGGAGTTTGGAGTGAGCCAAGATTGTGCCATTGCACTCCAGCCTATGCAACAAGAGCAAACTCTGTCAAAAACAAAAACACACACAACAGATACACTCAGAGATTGTGCCCTCAAGTCATATACTGCACATGACAAGTACAAATACCGGAGCTAAATCCTAATACTCTCCCCATTCTATTTGAGTTTGTTTATTGAGGCTTCAAGGCACTCAATAAATGTTTGCTGAATGAATGAAAGAAAGCCAGAATTCTCATTTGATTTCATATTAGAGGAATTGGCCCTAAAACTATTTAAGAGGCAGACTTGAACTTATACACAGGTCCCACAACTTAAGCCATGTCAAAGGACAACATTATAACAAATTTAGCTTAAAGATCTCAGTTGGCATTATTTTCGATTCTAGAATCAGGCAACACTTCATTCCGTAAAATAGAATAAATGTTCCATGAGCTCAGCAGAAGATGTTGCCTTTTTTTTTTGAGATGGAGTCTTACTCTGTCACCCAGGCCAGAGTGCAGTGGCGTGATCTCGGTTCACTGCAACCTCTGTCTCCTGGGTTCAAGCGAAGTTCAGGCGACTCTCCTGCCTCAGCCTCCTAAGTAGCTGGAATTATAGGTGTGTGCCACCATGTCCAGCTAATTTTTGTATTTTTAGTAGAGACGGGGTTTCACCATGTTGGCCAGGCTGGTCTCGAACTCCTGACCTCGGGTGATCCACCCACCTTGGCCTCCCTAAGTGTTGGGATTACAGGCGTGAGCCACCGCACCTGGACTGAAGTTGGTTTTATAAACACAGAAGAGCTGAAGAAAGCAGAAGTAAGGAAGAATGTATTAAGTTACTTTTCAAAGTTTTTTTTTTCTTTCTTTTTTTTTTTGAGATGGAGTTTCGCTCCAGGCTTTGTTGCCCAGGCTGGAGTGCAATGGCACAGTCTTGGCTCACCGCAACCTCCGCCTCCCGGGTTCAAGCGATTCTCCTGCCTCAGCCTCCCGCATAGCTGGGATTACAGGCATGCGCTACTACGCCCAGCTAATTTTGTATTTTTAGTAGAGACAGGGTTTCTCCATGTTGGTCAGGCTGGTCTTAAACTCCCAACCTCAGGTGATCCGTTCACCTTGGCTTCCCAAAGTGCTGGGATTACAGGCGTCAGCCACCACGCCTGGCCTTCTTTTTCTTTTTCTTAGAGACAGGGTCTTGCTTTGTTGCCCAGTCTGGTCTCAAACTCCTGACCTCAAGCAATCCTCCTACCTCAGCCTCCCAAAGTGCTGGGATTATAGGTGTGAGGCACCACCCAGACTTCAAAGTTATTTTTTTCTTGTAAGGTGGGGGAAAGGGACGCAAAACAATTGGAAAAACAACTGATTAGTTAACATCGGGTCTCTTCAGGTTCTTTAAGCCTTTTTTTTGTTTAAGGATTAAAACAGAACTTCATTATCATGTGGTTAAAGATTTAAACTGATCTTTTTGAGAAATTGGCTGTTATCTCTCTCTCCTTATTTTTCAGAATGTCGGATAACAACTTAGTTTAGCATGGGTGACTCCATCTTGAGTTTTAGTTCTATCTGTTTTGACCTAGTGCAGTCCCGTCCCTCCCTCCTTCCCTCCCTCCCTCCCTCCCTCCCTTCCTTCTCTCCCTCTCTCTCTCCCTCCCTTCCTTCCCCCGTTCCTCCCTCCCTCGCTCCCTTCCACCATTTGTCTCATTCTGTCGCCCAGGCTGGAGTGCAGTGGCACAATCACGGCTCATTGCAGCCTTGAACTCCTGGGCTCAAGCCTTCCTCCCCCTCAGTCCTAGCTAGGACTATAGGCGTGTGCCACCATGTGTGACTAATGTTTTTTTTTTTTTTTTTTTTGGTAGACAAGGGGGGGTCTCACTGTGTTGCCTAGGCTGATGGCTTTCTATAATTTTTATTTAATAAATGAAATGCTGTTTCCAACTCAACAAGGCCATTAACTGGCCAATGAGTGGATCAGATCCCAAGGGCCATTGGTGGTGAGAAGGGGAGAGACTGACCCACAGGGAATTATCATTGGATGTTAAGAAATGGGAAAGCACATTGAAACAGAAAGGAGATGAGTCAGAGGAGACATTCCAGGGGAGAAGCAGATCCTGTAAAATGTCCTGTGGGTTGAGAGGAGGAGAGAGGTGGAAGGAGCTCGGGAGAGCCCAGAGTGGTGCCTGGACCATCCGGCTGTAGCAAAGGCAAGAGTCAGAAAAAAGTCTGGAAAGCCACTGAGAAGGCCTTGAGTGCCTGCCTGAACATGATGAGTTTGTTCAAGGAAATGGTTTATGTGTCCCCTCCTGAAAAGCCTCCCTGGGTACTCCCAGACCAGGCCAACCTGGCACATTTTTTCTGGGGCACCAAATTCCCTGCGTCCCACTCAGATTACTGCTTGATGCCTCCTCCTCCATGGCTATGTAAGCTGCCTGAGGGCAGACCCTTCAACACTCCTGTGCTCCTACCAGGGATGGGCAAGGAGGAGGCGAATGTAATGAATATCATGCACCTCATGGATTTTCAGTGGGGATCAAGACGATGTTTTGTGAAACCAGTTTGGTCGTGGTGGTGGTGGTGGTGTGCTGGGGACACTTTGAACTGGGGGGGACCTAAGGCAGGGCCATTACCAAAAAACCTAGAAGTTAAGAATATACCCCACAGCCTTGGCAGTGGCAATGGGAAGGCAGAGATGGGCAGCTAAGGAGTGACCGTCTACAGGAGCGGCCTCTGACTCAGGGTGGCCATGAGCAGAGGAAGGCACAGTGGCTTCAGAGACTGGTGAGCAGCAAGGAAGAGAAATTCATGTAAGGCACGGACCTGCCTCCTCCCTGCCCAACGTTGTGTGCTTTCAGCTCTTCCTCCTCTACCCTCTACAAGTTACTTTTCCCACTGGACAGCACCCTTCGGGGTCTCTCTGTCAGGCACCTGGGTTTGAGACAAATTCCACAGCGTGACACAGCCTAGGAATAGGCTTTACTGGGGGAAGAGAAGACAACAAATCATCAAGAGAAGCAGCATGGGTTCCTTGACCCTCCTCTCATCACCCTCCCCACCCTGCTGGGGGTGGGGGTTTGCCGCGAGGGTGGGGAGGGCCCCGAGCCAGAGCAGCCGAGCGCTCTTCCAGTGTGCATTCCAGTGGGAGGGCCTTCCTGCCATCACGCTGCCTTTGTGTAGAGCTGGCATGAAAAAGCAGCTTTGTCAGTGGAGGTACCCCAGGCTGCTTGGCACCATGCAGTCTAGATTTGGGGTGCCAGCCCATTACAGGAGCTGTCTGAGAACACCAGCATTTGAACACCCTAGTCCTGTAGACATCGCAGTGCCTCCCACTGGTGGAGGGGGCTGGGGAGACGGAAAAGCATGCATGGAATACTCAGAAGAATCCCCAGTCTCCTGGTGAACTGAGCGTGGATGTGCCCCCTCTTGCCAGGAAAAGGAAGGGCTATTCCTAGTTAGCGCATTCTGCAGGCCACCCAGAATGAAAGTCCAAGCTCACGTTAAGACACTCATCCGGCCGGGCGCGGTGGCTCACGCCTGTAATCCAAGCACTTTGGGAGGCTGAGGGGCGGATCAGTTGTCAAGGGTTCAAGACCAGCCAGGCCAACATGACGAAACCCCGTCTCTACTAAAAATACAAAAATTAGCCTGGCGTGGTAGAGTGAGCCTGTAATCCCAGCTGGAGGCTGAGGCAGGAGAATCGCTTGAACCCAGGAGGCAGAGGTTGCAGTGAGCCGAGATTGTGCCACTGGACTCCAGTCTGGGCAACAGAGTGAGATTCCATCTCAAAAAAAAAAAAAAAAAAAGACACTCACCCATTCTACTAGGCATTACAAGCAGGGGGATCCCCCATGCCCTTACCAGGACAGCACTCGGCTTTTAACCTGCCCACAGCCCCTCTCACACATAGCCTGGTAGTAGTGTTATTTAGGTTCCTGCAAATCTGTTTTTTTTTTTTTTTTTTAGCAGACATGGTAACCAACATCGAAGTGCCTCTTGCACTCTAATTCACAGCTTCCAAATTTCAGAGACACCAGACATGCCAAATGCATCTTGCCTTTCCTCAGTATGGCCCACCTGAGACTTTAGCAAAAAAATATTCACACACTTGAGGAAGCCTAACCATCCGCTGGAAATTAACTGGATAAGCTGCCCTCAGTGGGGTCAGAGGTCAGCTTAGAGCAGGTCAGGTTAGAACATGAGAAGGTTGGTGAGCCCAGCCCCACACAGCTATCACAAAAGTCTGTGCCATGAACTTCACAAAGTAGGTTCACCTCAAGGTTCAGTGGAGCCTTCAGTGTGTCCTTAGCCAAAGCTGTTTGGAAAAAATTGTGACATTGGACACCAGGAATGATTCCAAGATTGCAAAGGAAGAGTTGAGATAAATGGAGCTAAGAGATGTATTGATTCATACTTTGATTCCAACAACCCATGCCCACTCACATGTTACTCACCAGATGCCACATACACACTTAGCCACACGCACGTTCACACTCTCACATGCATCCATTTGGTGCCTGCCCACGTCCATTGCCAAATCCCATACTCCAGGTAAAGGGAGGTTGTATGGTTTCAGTCTCTTCAGCTATGAAGTGGCCTTTCCTAGAAAAGTCCAGTTTTTGCCTGTTAGTCCATCACCTGATCTTGGTAATGGGGGCGGGGTGCCCCTTCATTGGATCACTCATAAAATATGCCAGGGATCTGCTTCAGTAGGCCAAATCATTACTTTTTGTTCTCTCTCTTTTTTTTTTGAGACAGAGTTTCACTCTTGTTGCCCAGGCTAGAGTGCAATGGCACTATCTCAGCTCACTGCAACCTCTGCCTCCCGAGTTCAAGCGATTCTCCTGCCTCAGCCTCCACAGTAGCTGGAATTAGAGGCATGCACCACCATGCCCGGCTAATTTTTTGTATTTTTAGTAGAGACAGGGTTTCTCGATGTTGGTCAGGCCGATCTCGAACTCCTGACCTCATGATCTGCCCACCTTGGCCTCCCAAAGTGCTGGGATTCAGGCATGAGCCACTGCGCCCAGCCTGTTGTATTATTTTCTAGTGAACTGAATCCCCTGTCCTCTCACGTCTTACTTTTATATCCCAGGAGTCCAGTGTTCACCTTTAACGTGTCCAGCAACAGCTCAACACACCCCAGGAGAAGCTGGGTTTTGCTGATTCTGGTTCCTGACCTTTGGGCACCTCCAGCAACCTTCAATAACTCCCTTCTCTTTCTCTCTCTCCACACACACACACACGCATGCATGCACGCACACATACACACGCATGCACGCACGCACACACACACACGAAATCATGATTATCCTTATCTGTTCAGCTCAGATAGAATTAAATCCACATTTGGGCCTCGCACTGTGGCTCACGCCTGTAATCCTAGAACTTTGGGAGGCCAAGGTGGGCAGATCATGAGGTCAGGAGTTCGAGACCAGCCTGGCCAGAATGGTGAAACGCCGTCTCTACTAAAAATACAACAACAACAAAAAAAATTAGCCGGGCATGGTGGCGCGTGCCTGTAGTCTCAGCTACTCGGGAGGCTAAGGCAGGAGAATCGCTTGAACCCGGGAGGCGGAGGTTGTAGTGAGCCGAGATTGTGCCACTGCACTCCATCCAACCTAGGTGACAGAGCGAGACTCTGTCTCAAAAAAAAAAAAAAAATTAAATCCACATTTTACAAGCATCTTACAAAATGGGGCCTCTACATCTGAAGTGCATACAACTGGAGCAGGAGGGGTACATTTTTGTCACGGGTGAAAAAACAAAACAAAAACAAAAAAAACTAGTGGATATGGTGGTTTAAGTTTAATGAATACATGTAAATTTATTTTAATGCATTCAGGTGACTATGTCATAATAACTTGTTCAATATACTGAGTGATTTTAGGCTAAGGAAGGATTTTTTCAAATGAAAGGGTTTGGATGGACACTCGGTGACTCTCTAAAATATACTCTTCAGAGGAGGTAAAAATAAATACGTGAAGGTAAAACGGCAGGGTGGGGGTGGGGAGAATGTGAGGCTGTTGTGTGCAAGGAAGGGCGGGTATTCATACTGAAACTGCAGAACTAAGCAGGTGACAGCTGCACACCGCTCCTTTCCCTGGCCGGGCTGCCCCAGCTCAGTGACATCACAGACTGTGACGAACCCAGACGTATTTGGTGGAAACCAAGCCACAATCTCAGAAGCAGCGCACAGTTTGAGTAGAAATGAGTTTTTTTGGTTTCTCTTCCCTAATACCCACAGAGCCCCTACACTCCCGTTATCCTCGCAGCCCCTGGCTGACTGTGTCCGACCTAACTTCTCGCCCCCTGGTTTCAGAATATCCTGGCAGCGGAATAGAGGGCGTTGGGGGGCGGTGCAGGCCAAAACTTTTTGGGCTGCCCCACCCATGCCTTTCCGGTTAGCGTTGCAGCTCCTTAGACGAGTAGGCTAACCACAGCCCACCCGCCTTTCTTCCAGCGATGCAACGATCTGTTCGCCGCTCAATGCCGCATGCTGTTCAAAGCCCAGAGGCTGGAGTGGGTGCGCCCCAAAGGCCCCGCCCAAGGAAGGGCACGCTTGCGTGCTCGCGGCGGCGGCCATCTTGGACTCGGGCAGCCGCCCACTTCTAACCTCTATGGCATCGCTCCGGGAGGGAGGCGACCCCGCACTCTGGGCCTCTTAAACCTGTGCTCGCGAGCCCCACATTGCTCTCCGGCCTCCACGTAAAACTCGAGCCAGTTTCCTGGTGGCAAGTCCTCACTCCTTGGGTGACTCTGAGAAAGCACCCGTTTCCTTATCTGTAAATAGTAGTTTGAGTACCCCCACCCCCGTCTCCTACCTATTATTTGGGCAGATGATGAACTCTCAGCATAAAGCCTGGCACACAGTATGTGTTCTATAAATGTTGTCTGTGAGCTTTTCCTGTACACTGCGGGGTGCCTTGTAGCAACCACCTTCCAGCCACCACTGCCTGCAGCGCCGCCTTTTCCCTTTTCCAAGATCGCGTCTGTACTAGACTCTGAAGACCTTGTGGAGGGAAAAGGGGCTTGGCAAGCCCACCCCAGGAGGGTGAAGGTGAAACTCACGAGTTCTCTTGGACTTGCATGTGACCCTTTTGGAAGGGCGTCAGAAACACAGACCAGGGTGCCCAGGACTGGAAAGACTGTAGATTTTGGAACATTTAAACGCCCCCATGCTTGTTATTTTTATCACCCCTGGCTGGGTACCCATAGGGACTCCCAAGCAGCATAAAACTAGAATGAAAGCCCTGCGTGTGTGCTGACTGTGGAGACATCAGGAAGGGGGAGCTGGGACATTGTGTCCCAGGCAGAGCTAAATGTGGGGGAGAAGGGCCTTTTGGACCAGCGTGGGTGGTAGCCCCAGGGTGGGAGAAGAATTCAGCCCAGGTCAGAGGTAGCCTGTGGGGGTCCTCAGATATGTGCAGCTGCTCCACCAGCTCTGTAGCTAAAGGACCTCCCAGACTTCCTAAAGGGTGGAAACTGCATGAAACCCAACGAGATGAGAGAAGTTCATGGGGAGGGGCGAACGCCTTCCATCGGAGTGGGGGCTGCAGAACCATACTCAGGCCTCTATGGGATTCTAGAGGCCTAGTGTGAGGTTTTATTCAGTAATAAGCCAGATGTATGCCAGGCGTGCCCAGGTTCCCACAGTCTGGCCTGATGGAAAGAGGGGTAGCAGAGAATACAAAAACTAAGTCAGGGTGAGGGGATTGCACAGTTTATTTCCAAACACTCAGAGGATAGGGGGTGGCCTATGGGCTCCATCTGCCTCCCCTCCCTGCATTTGGCTGAATCAAGAACTTCTCCCCCCTGACCCCCAAGACCCTAGGCTGTGCCCAATAGAGAAGGCACTGTCACCCCCCACCCTGAGGAGACCTAGACAGGTGAGGAGCATGGAGGGTGGGGGAACAGAGTTCAAGTATTCACAGTTCCCCCATCTACACCCCTGGATTACACTGTGCCAGAGCCATGAGGGAGGATCCCACCTCTGGGATTCCTAGTGGTGTTGATAGTCCTTCTCCCACTTAGAACCCTCCAGATGAACTCCCTACTCCTTTTCCCTGATATAACAAACCAAGTCCTAAGCCCTGTAGTCTGGGCAAGGAGGAGCCTTAGCAGGCCACTCACCCAAGGCCCCCAGGGATGGGGGTGAGAGCCTTCACCTGTAGTGAATGGGTTGGGAGCAAGTGTCTATAAGGAGAGAGGAAGGGAGAGAACTGAGAGGACCTTGGGAGGCAGGCTTGGAGGCTTCTGACACGTGAGTTCAGACAGCTCTGGTCTGCGACTCCACCCCACCCCACACCCCAAGCCCAGAATCCCTGAGAGTCCAACTGCAAAGGCAGTATGGCCGGAGGGAGGAATGGGAGCAGGGGTAGAGTTGAGCAGGACCTTGGCCCCCCTCTCCTAGTAGGTCCTGCTCCTGGGACACATGCTTAGGGACGGCCAGGACCAGGCTCAGGTCCTAGTCCCATCTCTTAGGGTGCTGATCTTCCAGAATAGCTGAATCCTGGGGAACATAGACCCACCAATCCCCACACCCCAGACGTCCTGGCCTCAGGTAGAATGGTGGGAATGGGCTCTCACAAGGGTATTATAAAAAGCTAAAACCGTTAAACACTTTCTGGGGAGAAGTGGCTCCCAGTCTCTTGCCTCCCCAAGTTATCAGTCTCCCCAGCGCCTAGCAGACAGGGCTAAGGAGGTCCCAGAGAGCTGAGGGAGGAGACGGCCACAGCCCCTGGGCCCAGAGAGAGGGCCCACTAGCACCATGCAATGTTGAGGTGCCTCTGCAGCCTGACTGGCCCCCACGCAGGGGCCCTCCGAAGCTGGAGTGCACACTTGCTAAAGCTTCTGTACTCTTGAGGGGGGACCCCTGCAAGGGAACAGAGAAGGCAAAGACTTCGCTTAAGTCCAGGCAGGGGTCTGAACCGGGACCCCAAAGGGCACCCTTGGGAGTCATGATTTGAAGAATCTTCGTACCACAAACTGGCCCAACAGAACCACACCCAGAACCACCAGCACGTTCAGGATGGGACCATTGCCCAAGTTCAGGGCTGCCACCTGCCGGGAGAAACAAGGTGGTCACAGAGAGGCTAGCAGAAGATATAGGAACCCGAGGAAGGGGTGGGGCCTGGGAGAGGGGCAGCCCCAACAGCAGGGAGGACATTGCAGTCCTTGGATACTCACCCAGCCACCCCTCTGTGCAATCCACCGGGCAATGCAGTGATGCAGCATGAAGTCGACCACGAAGCGGGTCACCTGGCCTAGGAAGCCAGTCAGGCCATGCTGGTAGACGTGTAGGGCCAGACGGTAGCCGAAGCCCAGAAGAGCCACCACACGGCCCCAATTGATGCCACTCTCAAACAGGCTGTGGGCAGAGCATCCCATAGCATTGGTGGAGAGCCCCCAGGAAGCCCTTCAGCCTGCCTGGCCTCTCCCACCCCTCTCCCAGCTGGAAGCTAAATAGCTTAGCTGTGAATTAAGGCCGCAGAGGCTGCCCCAACCTGGCCTGTATTTGGGAACAACCTGGGTCTCTGCGAAAGGAGAAAGCTCAGGGGCAGATGAGCTGGATGCCACTGCTGGGGTGTACGCTCAGGTGCAACGGGGCACAGAGAGGGCAGAGGGCAGAGCAAGTGGATGGAGTCAGCGGGGAGATTACCTGTGGGTGTTGCTGCTGGCCTGGCAGCCCGAGGGACAGCAGAGAGAAAAGGACAGAAAAGATTAGGGTAGTTCCTGTCATCACAGTGGTATGAAGGCTGGCCTCTAAGTTCACGGACTGGATATTTCAGCTCTGAGCACTAATTCTAAAATCTATCACTTACTCCTACCTTCACCTCCAGTTTCAAATCTACTCCGACACTGACTTCCCTAACTCTGGTGGTAGCAATGGCTAACACTTTGTAAGGTGGACACTAATCTAAGCATATTTTCCCTATTTTACAAACCAGGAGACTAAGGGCTAGGAAGCTTCACGAAGGCAGTAAGTGGCAAAGCTTGGATTTGCACCCAAATATTCGGTGTCTTTAACCACTTGGATGCCAGATTATAGCAAGTAGGAGCCATTTCTAGGACCTGGCAGAGGTTAGCACCCTCACCATCTTCAGTGTGATATGTGGTTTCAAATTGGAACTATGAAGGACAGCTATGTCCCAGCTGGGCTGGGGAGCTGTGGGGGACGTCCCCACCTCAGGCCCCCTCTAGAGTCCTGATCTAACCAGTCAAGACCTTGGAGTCAGAGCTCAAAAGAGCTGTGAGCTAATGCCCAAAATACAAGTCTGGGACCCCGAAAGAGAAAAATAGGGGGCCGAGACCACATGTGAGTTCACAGCAGACATTGGACACTGACAGAAGGCTTCTCCCCATGCCAGGAGAGCATCATGCAGGCAGGGTATGGTATGGTTGTGACATGACAGAGGAGTGACTGGAGCTGGCAGGGAGGTGGCTGGGGTACCTGGTGGCAATCTTGGTGAAGTACTCATAGGCATTCTCTGCCGTGGGCTGCAGGTGCTGCAACATGGTCTGGAACTCTGAGTCATAGCGTCGGTTGATGTCGTCCCCGATGATGGCGAGCTGCCGTCCCACCTGCCCCATGGTGCTGTAGGAGCAGGAGGCATGCAGGTGAGCCAGTAACCAGGCAGTCGGGACCAGGCCCTGGCTCATGGCAGAGGGGTTCTGCCTGAGCTGTCCATGGCCCTGTGCATCCCTTCTTGGAGGTCCCTGACAGTGTTCTAAGACATGAGTGCTGGGCTCCAGGAGAAGGGGCAGGCATGGGCTAAAAAGGATACAAGGTCCTGGATGGGGGTGGGAGCCCAACATAAAAGAGGAGCAACCATGAGAGAAGGGCAAGACCCCCGAGGCCTCCCCAGCTCCCAGGACCTGCACAGAGACCCATGCGAGCTACTGCCTCCCTGAAGATGTCCTTGTGGGCCCAGCGGTTGTAGCTCACCTGCTAGGTTGCAGAGGTAAGGTGACCATCTCTGGGTCGGCAGGGGCAGCCACCCCTTCAGCCTCCTGTTCCTGCTGATGGCGGTAAAAAACGTAGCTGCGGAAAACCTCCTCTGTGTCCTGGGCTACCTGCTCCTCTGAGGATCAAAGCTGGGAGTCAGGGAGAGAGGGCCGAACCCTGGCAGCCCCATGCCTTATAGGGGATTCACTCTTCCTAAGGCCATAGCTGTCCTCACCCATGGAAAGAAATATCCCAACCAGGTGCGGTGGCTCACGCCTATAATCCCAGCACTTTGGGAGGCCGAGGTGGGCAGATCACCTGAGGTCGGGAGTTCAAGACCAGCCTGACCAACATGGAGAAACTCTGTCTCTACTAAAAATACAAAATTAGCCGGGTGTGGTGGCACATGCCTGTAATCCCACCTACTCAAGAAGAGGCTGAGGCAGGAGAATTACTTGACCCCGGGAGGCGGAGGTTGCGGTGAGCGGAGATCGTGCCACTGCACTCCAGCCTAGGCAACAAGAGCGAAACTCTGTCTCAAAAAAAAAAAAAAAATGGCCGGGTGTGGTGGCTCATGCCTGTAATCCCAGCACTTTGGGAGGCCAAGGCGGGCGGATCACGAGGTCAGGAGATTGAGACCATCCTGGCTAACATGGTGAAACCCCGTCTCTACTAAACAAAATACAAAAAATTAGCCAGGCGTGGTGGGAGGCGCCTGTAGTCCCAGCTACTCGGGAGGCTGAGGCAGGAGAATGGCGTGAACCCGGGAGTTGGAGCTTGCAGTGAGCCTAGATCACGCCACTGCACTCCAGCCTGGGCAATAGAGCGAGACTCCATCTCAAAAAACAAAACAAAACAAAACAACAACAACAAAAAAAACAAAAAAAAAAAAAAGAAAAGAAATATCCCTACTTCAGCACCTTAGCCGCCCCTAGAGCTTATGCTGTGTGGAGAGTTGTTCCGGCACTTGCATTGAGTCCTCACAGTAGCCCTGGGAGCAGGCAATCCCCAGCTGGCAGGGGGAAAATGGCACAGGGTGTCTGAGTAACGTGTGCAAGGTCATACAGCCAGAACAAGCCGGGGAACCGGGACAGTCCCGGGCATTTGGGGTCCTGAGTCTACATTAGTACATCTCAGCTCCGCAGCCCTTTGCGTGCAGGGAAATGTGGGAAACAAAATCTGAATTTGTAGCTGCGGCCCAGAAAAGTCACACAGGGAGATAGTGACAGACCTGGGACCTGATTCCCAAGTCCAGGGAACAGCCCGCCGTGAGGTGTGAGCTGGGGCTTCCCTGGCTATCCCCTGGGAAGAGGGAAGGAGGGCAGCCATCTTACTTCCTCCCCAAGTCACAATAATTGCGTTCCCTGTTGAGCAGACCTGACTGGGTGATTGGCCAGCTTACTTCCTTATTTCTCCCGCTGGAGGGATACAGCAGCCAGGCCCCACTCTAATTCCTGCCTCCCTCGCCCGTGACCCAGCCCTCTGCCCCGGTGGCACTGTGCCTACCTTACACTCACTTCCTGGCCTCTCCCAACCTCCAGGCCCTCCCCAGTCCAGACTCCTCCCCCTCCTGGGCTTAACCTTGACAGCAGCTCCAGCCTCTGAGCCCGTGGGTGGGGAAGAGTATTCCCCACCCACAGTGGGTGAACCGAGGCGAAGGAGCCTGCCTGAGTCCTGCTCCTTCCATCCTCACGACAGCACTCATGGTTATGGGATGGGTGAGGGGGCAGGAAGACCCTTACCAGAAGCAGAGGGCAGGGCAGGCTCTCCGCACTCCTGCCTGGGAGGACCTGGGCCTTGCCCCGAAGCCATTTTTCAGGTCTCAGTGGAGGACGGGATCAGCCTGCGGGGAAGGGCGAGAAAAAGCAGAGATGGGGGTGAGCACAGACCTGTGACTGGGGACCCCATACAGGTTGCCATGTCCACATAGGAGAGAGGATCCCCCATTCCCAGAAAGGCCCTTAGTCCTCTGGGACTTTGGCCAGGCCGGTCTCAAACTCCTGACCTCGTGAGTCTGCCTCGGCCATCCACAGTGCTGGGATTACAGGTGTGAGCCACCGTGCCTGGCCTCCTCTGGGACTTTTTATTCTTACTCCAGCATGGGTCCCAGTGAAGTCTGCTGGGAGGAAACAACTTACTGAACACTCCCTCTTTGAGGGAGACAGGGTAAGAAGGTGAGGCAGCCAAGGGCAGACTGAGGTATCTGCACCATCGAGGAGGGTGTGGCTGCAGCAGTGCCCGCTGGCTCTCAAGTTCATGCCACTCCTGGGGCAAGAGCCTGGGGGGTTTTTAGCTGTTCCTGGGGCCTCCTGCAGCCCACCCAGCACATGCTTATTGCAAGCGAGCCACTGCCCAGCCAATGGCCCATGAAGGCTGTCCTCAGAGGCCCTACTTCCCTCTGGCTGGCCAGAACACACCTGTTTTTTAACTCTGGGCTGTTAGCCGCAAACATTTCCTGAGAGCCTAAGATATACTCTCCCACTTAGGAGCACTCTGTGGGTGGTGAACACTGGAAACTCACATGAACCCAGCAGGGTGAGCGCCATCATACCCACTTTACAGGCAGGAAAAGTGAGGCACAAAGAGTTGAGTGCCCGAGGTCACATCGTTAGTCACGGAAAGTCAGGTTGTTTGTCTGAATCTCCGTGAGTCCATGTACTCAACACGCATGCAAGATTTCTTTTCCAGTTTGTGGACCTCAGAGTGTGTTCTTTCTCAGGGCAACTTTCCCTATTTACCTCCTGTCTGTGCCTTCCCCACTGCTGCCTTGCAGTGACCGGAGGGAGCCCTCAGGATCAGGGCCTTCTTTGAAGCCCCATAACCTGCCTCGTACTCCCACCACACACCTGGTCTTCTGTCCCCGGCCCCAATTTTCCTCTTTGCCTGGTCCTGACCGCAGCCCCAACCTGCTGTGACCCCTCATCAGGGCGAGTGTTTCCTGGATGTCAGCTGTTTCACTTTCAGTTTGCACCCCTCCCAGAGCCCCATTTCCCCAGGCAGCCTCCAGCCCTCAGAAGGAGAGCGCCCTCCTCCTATCCCAGAGGGAGGGGGTGTGCAGCCCCACCCTGGGCCAAGCACACAGCCCCACCCCCACCGCCCAGGGCCTGGGGACCTTCGCCCACCCTCCTTCCGCTAGGCCTGGGAGTGTTTTCGAAAGTGCCCCAAGAGCTCTCAAGAAGGGGTGGAGGAGGGCTGGACCACCTGTGCCCTCACCCAGCTCCCCACTCCTCCTCGATCTGCCGGACAGGGACAGGGTGAAGGCAGACCTTCCTCTCCTCCACCTCTAGGGGCAAGGCCTTGTTAAAACAGAACTTTGCAGCCGGGCATAGTGGCCCACGAGGTCAGAAGTTCAAGACCAGCTTGGCCAACATAATGAAACCCCATCTCTACTAAAAATACAAAAATTAGCTGGGCATGGTGGCGTGCGCCTGTAGTCCCAGCTACTCGGGAGGCTGAGGCAGGAGAATCGCTTGAACCTTGGAGGCGGAGGTTGCGGTCAGCCGAGATTGCGCCACTGCACTCCAGCCTGGGCAACAGAGCGAGACTCCATTTCAAAAAACAAAAAAAAAGAGTTTTGCTTGCCTCCCACCCCCCGTAGCTCCTTACATAAGATGGCCTTCCTTCTTCCCCAGTCTCCAGGACCCGGCACCCCCAGGACAGTAGGGCTGGAGGATGCTGACTGCACCTCCAACTCCCTCTACCAACACCCCAGGCTTCCGAGGGGAGCAGGTAGAGCCTCAGAACACCCACCAAGGCCAGCAACCTATGCTGACTCAGGCCTAGCTCTGCCTCCCCCATCCAAGTGGCCTAAATTCCCGGTGAGGGGAGCCACCCCCGACTTCCTGGGCTTGCTGGGCCCCGATGAATGTTGCCCAGGGATACATGCCTGGCCAGGCCCTGGACCCAGTCTAGGGATGTTGGGCAGCAGCAAGCGCTGAGAAAGTTCTCTCTCTGCCCTTGACCTTGGCTCTGACCTCCACTCCCATCTCCCAGACTGTTAAAGGACCCAGTTCTTACAGTTCTCCGGCATCCAGGGCTGGGCCAAGAGGGGAAGCTGTGAGGGGCAGCCAGAGGCAGGCATGGCAGGATCAGGTCCCCAGCCGGGGCGGCAGACCTGCCCAGGGAAGCCTTGAGCTTCCCCTTCCCCACCCGGCTCCCGGCAGGCTCCCTGCCCCACCCTGGGGCTGGGGCTGCTGAGATCTGGGAGGATGGACAAGACCCTTCCAGCTTACCTGCCGGGATCCTGGCCCAACCCGGGTGGCTCAGCAGGGTGGAGATGGAGGTCCCGAGGGGCTGGCGGCTGCTGCTCCCAGGGGCTGAGTGGGAGCCCAGTTTCCAGGAATGGGCGTCAGTGCATTCCCGGCATCTGGATGTAGCCTTTACTTGTCCCTGTGCAGCCCGAGGGACCCGCGAGACTCCAGTGATCATAGAGGTGCCAGCGGCACCCGGCTCCAATCAGCTCCCTCTAGAGGAAGTTGCTCTGTGGCCACCGGATGCAGACGCACAGGCCGACAGCCTGTAGGGTGATCTGGGTGGGCCAGGCCCAGGAGCATGTCCCGCCCACTTTCCCCACCCCACCTCCCAGGCAGGCAGGGCGGCTGTCAGTGGCCCACTGCTTTTCCCATCCCTGATTCTCAATCCTTGTCTTTGATCTTCTCCCCCACCTCTACATCAATCAATACCAATAAAAAACCCAGGGTGAGAAGTTTCTTAAGCACTGCTGCATGCCTGGCACTTTAGCAACTATTTGTCTCATTGGATCTTCTCAGCAACTCTTGTAAGTGAGTGCTGTTGACAATACCCATTCAGATGAACAGAGGCTCAGCTGGGTTAATCATCAGTTCTGGGCCAGGCGCGGTGGCTCACGCCTATAATCCCAGCACCTTGGGAGGCTGAGGCAGGCAGATCACGAGGTCAAGAGATCGAGACCATTCTGGCTAACATGGTGAAACCCCGTCTCTACTAAAAATACAAAAAATTAGCTGGGTGTGGTGGCGGGCGCCTGTAATCCCAGCTAGTTGGAAGGCTGAGGCAGGAGAATCCCTTGAACCTGGGAGGTGGAGGTTGCAGTAAACCAGGATTGCGCCATTGCACTCCAGCCCTGGTGACAGTGCAAGACTCCATCTCAAAAAAAATAAATAGTAATAATCAGTTCTGTAGTCGCATTGGGGAATACTAATACTAGATTGAGATTCAACCTGCAATTTAGACCTGTGCACCATGCACCTTGGTGGTCTCTGGATGTTTGAAATCCTGAAGGTGATAGTCAAGTAAACGGAGATTAAAACTCAATAGAGGCTGGGCCCAGTGGCTCACGCCTGTAATCCCAACACTTTGGAAGGCTGAGGTGGGAGGATTGCTTGAGCCCAGGAGTTCAAGACCAGCCTGGGCAACAAAGTGAGACCATGTCTCTACAAAAAAAAATTAGAAATTAGCTGGGTATGGTAGTGCACACCTGTGCATTTGGTGGTCCCAGCTACCTAGGAGGCTGAGGCAGGAGGATCACCTGAGCACAGGAAGTCGAGGCCACAGTGAGCCATGTTTGCACCACTGCATTCCGCCCTGGGCAACAGAGCAAGACCTTGTCTCAACAACAACAAAAAAGGCAGCCAGCTGCGGTGTGTCACGCCTAGAATCCCATCCCAGCCATTTGGGAGGCCAAGGCAAGAGGATCGCTTGAGGCCAGGTGCAGGAGTTCCAGGCCAGCCTGGGCAACAGCAATACCCTGCTTATACCAAAAAAAAAAAAAAAAAAAAAAAAAATTAGCAAGGCATGGTGTTGTATGCCTGTGGTCTTAGCTACTGGGGAGGCTGAGGTGGGAGGATTGCTTGAGCCCAGGAGGTCGAGGCTGCAGTAAGCTATGATTGCACCAGGGCAACAGAGGGAGAGTCTGTCTCTAGAAAAAAAAAAAAAAAAAAAAAAAAGGCCGGGCACGGTGGCTCACGCCTGTAATCCCATCCCAGCACTTTGGGAGCCCGAGGCAGGCAGATCACCTGAGGTCAGGAGTTCAAGACCAGCTTGCCTAACATGGCGAAACCCCGTCTCTTTTAAAAATACACAAAAGGGAGGCCAAGGCAGGTGGATCACCTGAGGTCAGGAGATTGAGACCATCCTGGCTAACATGGTGAAACCCCGTCTCTACTAAAAATACAAAAAAATTAGCCGGGCATGGTGGCAGGCGCCTGTAGTCCCAGCTACATGGGAGGCTGAGGCAGGAGAATGGCGTGAACTCAGGAGGCAGAGCTTGCAGTGAGCCGAGATCACGCCACTGCACTCCAGCCTGGGTGACAGAATGAGACTCCGTCTCAAAAAAAAAAAAAAAAAATTGGTCGGGCACGGTGGCTCACGCCTGTAATCCCAGCACTTTGGGAGGCCGAGGCTGGCTGATCACCTGAGGTTGGAAGTTCGAGACCAGCCTGACCAACGTGGAGAAACTCCACCCCTATTAAAAATACAAAATTAGCCAGGCGTGGTGGCGCATGCCTGTAATCCCAGCTACTCTGGAGGCTGAGGCAGGAGAATTGCTTGAACCCGGGAGGCAGAGTTGTGGTAAGCTGCGATTGCGCCATTGCACTCCAGCCTGGTCAACAAGAGCGAAACTCCATCTCAAAAAATAATAATAATAATAAATAAATAAAATAAAGCCGGTTGTGGTGGCGTGCGCCTATAATCCCAGCTACTTGGGAGGTTGAGGCAGGAGAATTGCTGAACCCAGGAGGCGGAGGTTGCAGTGAGCTGAGATTGTACCACTGCACTCCAGCCTGGGTGACAAGAGTGAAACCCCATCTCAAAAAAATAAAATAAAAATAGGGCCGGGCACGGTGGCTCATGCCTGTAATCCCAGCACTTTGGGAAGCCGAGGTAGGTGGATCACAAGGTCAAGAGGTCGAGACCATCCTGGCCAACATGGTGAAACCCTGTCTCTACTAAAAATACAAAAATTAGCCGGGCGTGATGGCGGGTACCTGTAGTCCCAGCTACTCAGGAGGCTGAGGCAGGAGAATCGCTTGAAGCCAGGAGGCGGAGGTTGCAGTGAGCCAAGATTGTGCCACTGCACTCCTGCCTGGCGACAGAGCTAGACTCCATCTCAAGAAATTAAAAATAAAAATAAAAACAAGGCCGGGCCCGGTGGCTCTCGCCTGTAATCCCAGCACTTTGGGAGGCCGAGGCGGGTGGATCACGAGGTCAGGAGATCGAGACCATCCTGGCTAACACGGTGAAACCCCATCTCTACTAAAAATACAAAAAATTAGCTGGGCGCCGTAGCAAGCGCCTATAGTTCCAGCTGCTTGGGAGGCTGAGGCAGGAGAATGGCGTGAACCCAGGAGGCAGAGCTTGCAGTGAGCCGAGATAGCCCACTGCACTCCAGCCTGGGCGACAGAGCGAGACTCTGTCTCAAAAAAATAAATAAATAAAAATAAAAACAAATAAATAAATAGACTTAGTGGGGTCTGTGCTACCACCTGGACACAAAACCTGGATGCTAAGAGGGAAGACAGATACTGTCTGGCTGCTGGGAGTGTTCTTGAGGACAGAACAAACCCAGGAAGGACAGAGGTGTGTGCAGTCCTCAATAGCCCCTGCCCTCAGGGTTCAGTTCCCTCCCTGCCTCTCCCTGTTTGCTCCCTGCCAAGCTTCCTGGGGCTCTCACATCTTTTCCTCCAAGTCTCCACCCCCTTTCCCCCAAAATCCCTGCCTGCCCCCCACACCTCCTTCCCTGCTTCATCAAACCCCTGCCCCCTCTACCTCCAACTAATCTCCCCCAACCTCCCATCCTCCCCAGTCTTTGCTTCCCAGAATTCTGGGAAGTTTCCAACTGGAGGTTTTAATTTGAAAACTCTTCCTGTTCTTAAGCAGTTGGTCCTGGGGTGGCTGTTACAGGATCTGAATTGGGGACCTTCTCAGGATGGAGGCCCCAGCTCCGAAGCCCTGATCATGAATTTCAGGCTGCTCCTCCATGTTCCGCCACCAGGGTGCCATTTCCCTGATGATGAGCCAAGAGGGACATGTGAGGAGGAGGGGGCCGGGACCATCTGCCTTGCCGCCCCACCCCTTCTCTGTGGCCATACCCAGGGGCTTCTCAAAACGGTCACAGCAGCCTCCCTTAAAGCTGGGCATGGGGCGTATGGTGACCTACACCTGCAAGAGCAAGAAGGCCTGGCGGAGAGGTGAAGTCAGTTCTGCCCATAGCAAGCCAGGAGGTGTTGGGCAACCTGCCTGAGAAGGAGGGGAAGGAGCCAGCAGGGGACGCCTCTGGGAAAACAGGGGCCTCAGACAGGTGAGGGGCTGGAATTGGGGGGTACCCAGGTTGGCAAGGCCTGGGACAGAGGTACTGAGAAGAGGCCTGGACATGAGATGGGGGAAGGGCATGGGCCTGAGATGGGGGACCCATGCTGGGGAGGGTCTGGGGAGGGAGGCCTTGGGTGGGTAAAGGTCTGGAACAGGGCACCTGGTGGGGAAGGACAGGGAGATGTGGGTGGGGCCAACGGACAGAAGCATCTGGTGGGGAGGAGGCTGGAGATGGGGATTTGGTTTGGGAAGGAGGGAGAGATGGGGTCCTCCCACAAGTGAGGGGTTGTGGATGGGGGATACCAGATATGAAAGAGGACAGGCTAGGGAGTAGAAAGGGAATATGCCAGGGCCAGAGGGACGGGGGGTCCTGTTGCTCCCAGCTCCTTCTACAGGCCTGGCAGCCATCCCCTGTGAGGACAGGGACCCACCTCTCTCTGTTCCCCACCCCCTCATCACCCTACTTTTGAGAGCGATAATCCCCCTCTATGATGAGGACCCCAGATGCAGAGCAGGGGGCTGATGGGAGAGGAAGGCTGCAGAGGGCCAGCAGACCTGTAGGTGAGCCTTGGGGGAGGTTTAGGGGGTCTCTGTCACATCTCTGAGCCCCACCTGCCTCCCTCACCTGACTGTGCTTTGGGATTAGCAGCCACTTTATCCAGATCCTGCAGTTGAAGGAAGAATACCTGCAGAGAGCCACAGGGCCCCGTGAGGTCAGCCCTGAGCCCTCCACCAGGGAGAAGGAGTGTCTGCTTGAAGGTGAGTGTGGTGGCCATAGGCATAGGGGAAGCGCCAGAAACGGACCCTCTTCCTGTAGAACTTCTTAGGGGTGTGGGGCCTGGCAGGACACGGGACACATTTTGAGGGACTGCTGGAGTCAGACTGCCTGGGTTCAAATGCCAGTTCTAACATGCTGAGCCGTGCGATGGGTGGCAGCTTGCTCAACCTCTCTGCGTCTGTTTCCTCGTCTTTAAAGTGGGAATATAATAGTAGCTATCCTTGAAGGAAGTTGCAAGGATGAACTGAGATACTCTTTGTAAAATGCCCAGAACGGTGTGTGGCACACAGTAGGCATTTGCTAAAGAAAACAAGACAACCCCACCCACAACTCAGCCCCCTGTGTGCTTGCCCTCCAAGGCCTGGACCACCCCACTTGCTGCCAGCCTGTCAGTGACCACCACCCATTCACAGGAGACTGCGTGTTGGCCTCTTCCAGGGTGGAGGCAACTCCTTGGAACCACTTCCACAGTTTGGACAAGGAGCTTCAAAACTCGGCCATGGCCAAGGTCTGTGGGTGATGGGGTCATGAGGCATGGGTTGGGGCCTTTCCCACATCAGGCTGGGCCCCAGAATATGTGGCCTGGGCCTGGAAGGAGCAGTCCCCTTTCTTAGCCTTTAGGGACATGTTGCCTCCTGCTTCCTGTCTTGCCTAGGGGTGGGGTGGGGCTGCAGGCCTGGGGTCCTGGGCCTCCTCACCTGCTCAGAGACTGGCTGGACTCCTCTCCAAGGTTTGCCCAGCGAGGAGAAAAGTGAGGAAGAGAAAATGAAGGAAGAGGACAGCTCATTCAAGCTCTGTGTCCCAGGCATTGTTGCCCTCCAGTCGCCACCGAACAAGGCTTTCAGATCCACAGACACAGTGGGTAAGGGCTTCCGCCCTTCCCCTCCCACGTGCCCCCAGGTCCAGGAAGCCTCGCTTTGGCCGGCGGCTCAGGGGTGCAATACCAGCAGGTACCACCAGATGGTACCAGAGGACCTAAGAGGACCACCCGAGACCAGGGAGCAGCGTGTGGCTGGGCTGGAGGCCACACTAGGTGTAACGGGTCTTCCTCTGGGTTTGGGAAGTGGTGACTGCGGGGGTGGTACTACTCAAGCACCACCCTTTCCCCCAGCCCAGAGGCTTCTAACGCCTTCAGTGGCTGCCTCCATCCCTGGTTTTCCCATCATGCACTGCTGTGACAGAGCCCCAGAGGGTCCTCTCTGCCAGTAGAGCCCCGGGCAGCCCAGACATGGACAGCAGTTGGGTTAGTGGTGATAGCATACATAATATGATGAAAATCGTGGTTCACATTTACATAGCCATTAATGGGGCAGACCCTCTTTAAGCACTTTTCATAAAATCCTGCATTTTACGACTCTGAGGTAGGTCCTATTGCCATCTCCAGTTCACAGTGAGAACTTGCCCGATGTCACACAGCTAGTGATGGGCAGAGCTGGGACTTGAGTGCAGGCAGTTTGGGTTCCAGATCCAGGCTCTTGAGTTGGTTGGTGGTGGGGGCAAATACCTGCCCTTTGCATGCTGTCCCCAGTGGGTGAAGACGCAGGCTCTCATGCTGCCGCTGCCAGAGAAGGCCCTCAAAGAGTGAGCTTCCTGGGGAAGGCAGGGCGAAGGAGGGGTGGTACCTGGCTGGCTCTACGTCCTGGAAGAAGAGAGGGCTGTGGCTGAGGGTGAGCAGGAACCACACAGAGCTGGGATGAGGCTCAGGGAGCGGTTGCACCTCCGGGTCCTTGGGTTCCCAGTGGGCTGCTCCATCCTACTCCTGCCTGTTCCCTGCCATCTCCCTGTCCCTTGCCATCTCTCTGGCTCTCAGGTTTCCTGGAGTCGGAGTTGAAGAAGCTTCTGGGAATGCAGCAAGAGTCCCGCCTCTGGAAGCTAGGCAGCCAAGAGGGCCGAGAGCTGCTTACCCGGCCAGAGATCACCGTGGTGGAGGTGAGCATTGTGGATGGCCAGGTACGCTTGGCCCGTGCCAGACCACCAACCCCTTCCTGGAGAAGGTGGGGCTGGAGGCTTACCATCCCCTCCAGGCCCTGGGCCCTGGTTCCAGCCCCCAGGCCCTGGCTCCAGCCCCCACTGCCTGGGTAGGGTAGGCATAATGCCTTCTTGGTGGTAGTGTTTCTAAATTCAGGACCCTGGCCCCCTGAGTGAGTGCACACTGCATGCACATAAACACACACACACACACACACACACACACACTTCTCCATCAGTCTCTCTGTTTCTCACTTGACTCAGAGTCACAATGTCCATTATTTTTGTCTCAACTTTGCTATTCCTTTGCTATGTGGCCTTGGGCAAGTCCCTTCCTCTTTCTGAGCCTCAGTTTCCTCATCTGTAACATAAGTGAATTTGTCTAGACAGGCTGTAAGCTTTCCTGTGCATCTGTAATTCACATGATGCTGCTGTTTTTCTAATCTCTCTCCCATTCTCGTCCACTCCAAACACACATAGGCTCAGGGGAGCGACCCCGCTGGGTCAGACCGAGTACCATCCTGCTGCTCCCCTTCCTTGACATCAGCCTTTAAAGGTTAGGCCTGTCTCAGCTTCTTTGAGTGCACATTGATGGATCTGTTGAAAATGTGTTGATGACCTTTTTGGTTAATTTCCGTCCATTCATCATCTCATGCTTTTATCCAGTGGACATTTGCCCTGACAGTCTGTGTAGCTTACAAAAAGAAAGGGCATGGGGTTTGGAGGCCAGAGGTTTTAGTCTGGCATTAGCTTGCTCTGTGAGGTTGAGTAGAGGCCTCAGTTTCTTTACCCGTGAAAGGGGACTGTTGCAAGGACCTCCTGAGATGACGAGTGTGCAGCTGTAAGCTGCAAAGGCACTCCCTTGCGGGGGCTTAGCACAGTGTGATTCACTTTGGAGCAGTGCCTATCAGAAAGACTTGCCACCTGGGGCTGGGTGCAGTGGCTCACGCCTATAATCCTAGCACTTTCGGAGGCTGAGGTGGGCGGATTGCTTGAGCTCAGGAGTTTGAGAAAAGCCTGGGCAACATGGTGAAACCTTGTCTCTACAAAAAATACAAAAATTAACCAGGCATGGTGGCGTGCACGTGTGGTCCCAGCTACTTGGGAGACTGAGGTGGGAGGATCACTTGAGCCCCGGCAGTTGAGGCTGCAGTGAGCTATGAGAGTGTCACTGCACTCCAGCCTGGGCAATAGAGCGAGACCCTGTCTCAAACAAAAAAAGAAACATGCCTGCTGGGCACTGAGGGGCATCCTTCTAATTGCCCCAAGCCCGCATGCATGTCCATGTCACAGGAGGCCTCTGTGTTACCTCATCCACAGCCACGTAGGTTGTCAGCACCTGGCAGAGCCCCTCACTTTTGTCTTTTCACATCGAAGGGTTTGAATCTTGGTATCTGCCCTTTCTGGTCCCTCCTCCTTCTTCTCATCCCCTCCCCAGCCAGCCTGCCCTGTCCCAGGAGTCACAGTCCTGGGGTTGCCTGAGTAGCGCTGAGAGGCCTGGGTCATTTCTGGGTGGTGGCAAGTAAGGGCTCAGCCCAGTCCTCACTTTGGGGACAGAGCTGCCTTAAGAATACCTTTCCCCAGTGGGTGTTTTGTTTTTTTCTGTTAGGTTTATTATCTTATTACTATTACCTTTATTATTATTTAGGTTCATTACCTTCTTTTTTTTTCTCATTATTATACTTTAAGTTCTAGGGTACATGTGCACAACATTTCAAAGGTCCTGTCCTCATCACCATTCCCATCTCCCCTTACTGCCCTCAGGGACACTGTGCTGAGGGGGAAGGAGGCTGCCCCCGAGCCTTTGGAGAATGCTGGAGACCTAGGGAGGAGCACGGAGGAAGCAGCAGCACCACCTTGGGCTTGAGGGGAGGGCACAGACCCCCCTTGGGGTCGTGTCCAGAAGTGAGGGAGGGGAGGGACTGGCTGCGGTGCTGACTCCTGGGGCTTCCAAGGAACCCCCCAAGTTGGAAGGAGAAAGGATTCTCCATTTTGTGGCAGGGAGGTGGCTCAGGGTTGGTGGAGCTGTGCCAGCCGAGGGGAGGTGGCGGAAAGGTGTCCTCGGGTGCTTGTCTCTGGGGGCAGGGAGAAGGTTATGAGGTGCAGAGAAGACTGAGGCATCTTCCTTCACCCATTTCTGTCGCCCAGTGCCTGCTTCTTGAGGAGAAAGGTGAGATGGGAAACTGGCCTCCAGAGTGAAGCCGGTGCTGGCCCTGAGTCTGCCCTGCCCAGATCCCCGGAGCTGGTACATGGAGTATGTCTTTTCTTAGGGTACATCTAAGGATCCCCTGTGGCCAGCGGGTCTTGAGACACAGTGTCCATGTGTCTGTAGGATGGGCCTGCCCCAAATTCTATCCCACCCAGCCAACTCAGGCCTGTGATGTTATTAATAAAAATGTGCTTTGACTTTGGCCTCATTGTTGGCTGTCTTTGGACCCCAACCCCCAATCTTCAACCCTGGAGCAAGCCCAGTCTATCTGAGGTCTTGATCTAGTCCCCAGTCTGTGCCCATGGGGCTGCTAGGGCTGCCCTGCTGCAGAGTGGAGGGGTTGCAGCAGGGCATCTGTGCAGAGAGGGCAGGAGGTCTAGTTGGCCTGACCTAGGGCTGGGGAAGGACCCAAGGCCCAGAGTGCCAGGGGACCCTGCTGCCCACAAGCCGTGCCCCTGTTAGGAGGGGTGTCCCTGACTTCCCTCCCTCCCTAAGTTCCCAGGCTGTGCTGCAGCCTCCTAGGGAGGATCCGGGAATTCTCCAGCAGGAAGTTCCTGCCCAGCCAGCCCAAGGACAAAGCCAGGAAAGAGGCCCTGGGATGGGGGATCTGCCTCGGGAGGGCGGGCCTGGGTAAGCCAGGGGTCCCTGGTGTCCAGTGTTGCCTAATCTCAAAAGTAAGGGTGGGCTTGGGATGGAGTGCATAATGATGGGCCTTACTGGCCAGGGAAGGAGACCGACACACCTGGCTTCCCAGAGATGAGATGGGCAGCAGGGCCAGGCCTAGTTTGGACACCAGGAGGTGCTGTTCACCAGAAGGTCCTGCTGGCTTCCCTGTGGGGTCCCCCGTTCCTTCCTTTCTTTCTGCCTGGGTCCAGGCTCTGAGACCCCTCAGCAGATGTATGAGAAAAAGAGCTCACTGTCCCCAGCTCTTTTCAACATGACTGCTATCCATGGATGCTTGTCTGATGGTCCCCATGGGTCCCCACTGTGTCTAGCCCGAGGCCTGTTGCAGAGCTGAAGTTCAGTATCAGAACATGATGGCTATTCTTAGTAATCGCGGTGATTGATAACAACAGCTGTTGGTTGGATGGCCGGCCCTGTGGCCACAGACTTGGCGTGGGGAGACAGAAACTGTAGCAGCCTGGTCCCCTGCCCTGGCCCAGGCCAGCCCAGTGAAGGTGGGAGTCCCTGCCTCTGTCCCCCAGCCTGCAGGGTGTGGGTGGAGCCTGGAGAGGGCTGAAGGCTTTCTCCTGGACTTCCTGGCCAGAGCCCATGGTGTCCTTGACTCAGACCCCGAGCTGGGGCCGGGTGGAAGGGCCCATCTGGACTGCCCCCCTGAGTCAGCCAGGAGGCAGCCTTGTGACCAGATGACTCACCTGTGCCCTAATTGCCCTGTTAATCATTTCCTCCCAGAGTGTTCTCTGTTGGGAAGGGTGGGGCCTTGCAGGGCTTCCCTGGGAGCACCTGGATGAGGGGGGAGGGGCAGAGGGGGGCAGAAACCTTGGTTCGGGGTGTGGGACCCTGGGCTGGTCACCCTTCCTCTCTGTTCCTCATTTTCCCTGTCTCTCCAGTGAGGCCCATGGCACCTTCTTGTCCACTCCTGGGATTCCTCTGAACTGCGGGGGTCTGTGAGGCTGGGAAGTGTGGTGTGCTGGCGCTGTCCCTGGAGCAGGAGGGGGTCTGTGTGCTGGAGCAGGCCTGAGGGCCTCTTCCCAGACACACAGTGTCCTGGGCTGGTTTCTGCGGAAGGGCCTGGCTTGACATTTCTGGGTGGTGAAGGCAGAGGTGACCCAAGGACCTGCTGTGGGGGAAGGCCCCGTGGGTGAGGGCAGAGGGCTGGGCTCGGGTCAAGGCTAGAATGGTGAGAGCCCAAGCGTTCCTGAAAGGCCTCAGAGAACACTGCAGGCGCAGGCCTGCAGGGCGGGGCTGAGGACTGGGGATCCTGAAACGCCTCAGAGAACACTACAAGGGCAGGCCTGTGGGGTGGGCCCGAGGACTGGGGAGCATTGCAGCATTGCCTTCTCCCCCTTGCATAGAGACATCTGGGGACAGCTTCCACGGCCCCTCCTGCACCAGCACACTCACTCGGCCGAAGGGCCAGCGGGACTGAAGCCCAGCCCATCACACTCACTCACCAGGCCCTGGGAGGGGTAGCATCCCCCCGGAGGGTGCCTTTCCTAACTTGTTCAAAAGGGACAATGGGCTGGCAGTGGCCCTGATTGGGTCCATGAGGTTTGGAGCATTGCGAAGGGACTTGCCAAATCTCTGTCACTCTCCTGGTCTCTCCCTGTTGGTATATAAATGTGTCCCTGTGTGTGTGTTTCTGTCTCTGCCCTGTCTCCCCATGTCTCCCAGTGTCTCTGTCTCTCTCACTGTATCTCAGGTGGGATGAAGGCAAAAGCAAAGAGGCACCCAGGTCCATTCTGAGAGAGTTTAGGGACTCAGTGGTGGCTGAAAGGAAGGCAGTGGGTTGGGTCATTTAGGAGCTGGGGGTCAGGGTGGGTGGTCCCAGGAAAATGTGGGCAGGGCCAAAGGTGGGCCTATCCACCTCAGGAGACTGTATGATCCCCCTCCTGTGGCCCCCTGGCCAAGACCTCCCAGGGAGATGGTGCCTCAGGCCCTGTCTGGGGTCACTGGGGGTCAGCCTGGCCTACACTAGGGTGAAGGGAGGGCAAAACCGGAGATTTTGCTCCCCTTCTCAACTGGGAGATGAGCTGGAAAGCAGAGAGGCAGAGGGGAGAGACTCAGCTGGGTTGAAACCTGGCTCCCACTGCAGCAAGCTCATATGACGGCAGACAAGTCTCATATCTCTCTGAATCTCAGTCTCCACGTCTGTGCAATGGGTGAATGAAGAGCTGCTTGGCTCGTAGAAGATTCTCAAAGAATCCGTGGGGCCGGGCACAGTGGCTCACGCCTGCAATCCCAGCACTTTGGGGGCCATGGCTGGTGGATCACCTGAGGTCAGGAGTTCGAGACCCGCCTGGTCAAAATGATGAAACCCTATCTCTACTAAAAATACAAATAAATTAACTGGGCATGGTGGTGGGCACCTGTAATCCCAGCTACTCGGGAGGCTGAGGCAGGAGAATCACTTGAACCTGGGAGGTGGAGGTTGCAGTGAGCCGAGATCACGCCATTGCACTCCAACGTGGGCGACAAGAGTGAAACTCCGTCTAAAAAATAAGAATCCATGGAACCATTTTTATGAAGCATCGACTACATCCTAGTCCTGTTCTAGGCACTGGGGAATAGAGCAATGAGCAAGACATACACAACCTCCACTTTGGGGGGCTTACATTATTGCTAGTGAGATAAACAACAGATACGCCAGGGTGAGAGGTGCTATGAAGAAAGCTGAGACTGGATAGTTGGGGGGATATCACAGAGGGATGAGGAGGCCTTGCTGAGGAGGTCGTGTGCCGGAAGCCAGGGAGGGAGCCATCTGGGGGAAGGGCAGCCATGGGCACAGCAAGTGCGTCGCCCTGAGGCAGGAGCAGGACTGGTGGGTTTGAGGAAAGGGATCCGTGGAGCTGGAAAGGCATACGTGGGAGGGGGTGGGACAGGAGGTGAGGTCAGAAAGGAAATGTGGAGATGCGCTTTGCTGATCATGGGTTTGGGGGTTTGTTTCTTTCTCTTTTTATCTCTGTCGCTCGGGCTGGAGTGCAGTGACGCGATGACAGCTCACTGCAACCTCCACTCCTGGGCTCAGGCGATCCTCCCGCCTCAGCGAGGACTGCAGGCGCGCGCCACCGCACCAGGCTTGGGTTTCTCGGATCCAGTGTGGAGTGATGCGATGTGGTTTGCATATTTAAAGCTCCCTGGGCTGCCGAGGAGGAAAGGCTGTAGGGGGCGGGGCCTGAAACAGGGAGGCAGGTTCCGAGGCTGCCGCAGGCGTGGGGCGGGGTCGTCTGGCTGTGACTTACTGCAGAGAGTATGAGGGGGAACCAAGAGGGTACTTACCACTAAGGGGAGCGCCTTGGCCAGCACCTCTGCTCAGTGGGGAGCCAGGCCCCGCCCCAGGTGGTACCTTCCCCCTTGCCCCATATGAGGGGCTTGTGGGGGACTTTGTCTCCATCATCCGCAGGGTGGAGCGGGGCGGCCTGGGACCTGGAGTCCGGGAAGAGTCGAAGGCCTGTGGGCGGCCGAGGTCACGCGTGGGCGCCTGCGGGGGGAGGGCGGAACCAAGAGGTTGGCACCGCAGTGCCTGTGCGCACCGAAGTGCAGCAAACACGTCTCGGCCACGACTGCCAGGCCACCCCAGGCTCCAGCGGAGCGTGCGTACCTGCGCAGGCGCTCGCATCTGAGAACTGCCGAACCGTGCCACATTTCCGTTCCCTCTGGCCTCGCCCTCAGGGGTCGACCGGCGGCGGAGCGCGGGGCCTCCTGTGCTGAAGGCAGCTCCCTGGCCTCCAGAAACTCACAGTCAGTGGTGGGAGGGCCGTAACAGACCCGCGCAGTTAAGAACCAGATGATGATGTTGCTGTAGTATAGTTTGGAGAGTGCAGAGAAGGAAGCAAGCAATGCCAGCAGGGAGGAATCCAGAAGGCTTCCAGGAGAAGGCACCATTTATGATTTGGGCTTGTATCAGGAGGAGGAAGTTGACAGGTGAAATAAGGGGAGGGCATGCCTGCCAGGCGAACAGTCTGTGATTGGGAAGTGTCCAGTCTGCACCATGACCCCACTGTCCACCTTCCTGACCAAGTAGGAACCATTTGGACTCCTCTATTGTCCTGGGCCTCCTTGTTTAGTCCACCCTTTTATTTTATTTTATTTTATTTTATATTATCTTATTTTATTTTATTTATTTCATTTCATTTCATTTCATTTTATGAGATGGAGTCCCGCTCTGTCGCCCAGGCTGGAGTGCAGTGGCGCGATCTCTGCTCACTGCAACCTCTGCCTCTGGGTTCAAGCGATTCGCCTGCCTCAGCCTCCTGAGTAGCTGGGATTACAGGCACCTGCCACCGCGCCTGTCTACTTTATTTATTATTATTATTATTTTTTGAGACAGAGTCTCACTCTGTTGCCAGGCTGGAGCAGGCTGGAATGCAGTGGAGCTTTTTCGGCTCACTGCAACCTCTGCCTCTCGGGTTCAAGCAATTCTCCTGCCTCAGACTCCTGAGTAGCTGGGACTACAGGCACGCATCGTGACACCCGGCTAATTTTTTCTATTTTTTTTAGTAGAGAAGGGGTTTCACCATGTTGGCCAGGATGGTCTCGATCTCTTGACCTCGTGATCTGCCCATCTTGTCCTCCCAAAGTGCTGGGATTACAGGTGGAAGCCACCGCACCCTGCCTTTTTTTTTTTTTTTTTTTTTTGACGGAGTCTTGCTCTGTCGCCCAGGCTGGAGTGCAGTGGCGCGATCTCGGCTCACTGCAAGCTCCGCCTCCCAGGTTCACGCCATTCTCCTGCCTCAGCCTCCCAAGTAGCTGGGACTACAGGTGCCCGCCACCATGCCCGGCTAATTTTTTGTATTTTCAGTAGAGACAGGGTTTCACCGTGTTAGTGTGCCTGGCTAATTTTTGTATTTTTAGTAGAGATGGAGTTTCACCATGTTGGCCAGGCTGGTCTCGAACTCCTGACCTCAGGTGATCTGCCCTCCTTGGCCTCCCACAGTGTTGGGATTAAGGGCATGAGCCACCACACCCAGCCCACCCATTTATGTTTAGCTTATTTTCTCTCTACCATCTATCCCGCTCAACACCCCCACTCTCACTGCCTTTGCTGGAGCCCTAAATCACCGCCCTAGCCTTCCATCCTCTCACTGCATCTGCCTCACCACTGCCAGGGTGCCGTTGGCTCTCTTCCTCTCTCCCCCTCTATAACCCCTACCCATCCTGTACAGCTCAGCCATGGCACCTACTCCAGCCCTGGTTTCCTCACAGCTCCCTGGTTTTAGGGCTAACAGGATTCACTGCATGTGTTTACTTGCTCTCCCCAGGGGAGACAAACACAGCATGAAGGCAGGCCCTGGGGGTGCGGGCGGGGGTTTTGGGGGAGCTTTGTTTCCATTGTCTGCAGTGTCCAGCATGGTGTCAGATTCAATATATGGCACTAGACTGAATGAGCAGAGGGTGGCTTGCAGAAGGACGCTTGTGAATAGGGGTGGGTGAGAGCGGGGGAAGCAGGCAGGGGCTGGATTACATAGGGCCTTAAAAGCCAACTTAAGCAGCTTGGCGTTCATCCTCAGGGCAATGGGAGCGAGGGCCGGAGACCTGGGAGAGTGGCCTGGTAAGATGTACAGCGAGGGGGCAGGGGCTAATGTGGAGGCCTTCACAATGGTCACAGTGAGAGAGGAGTGGACCTGAGCTGGGACAGTGGCAGGTGGAGTGGACAGGAAAACAGAGGAGAAGTGGTTCTCAACTGGGGGCAATTTTACCCCCGCCCCTCGAAACATTTAGCATTGCCTGGAGACATCTTGGTGTCGCAACTGGGGGAGTGCTACTGGCATCAAATGGGTAGAGGCCAGAGATGCTGCTAAATATCCTACAATGCACGGGACAGCCCCCCATGACAAGGAATGAGCTGGCCTAAAGTGTCAACAGTGCTGAGGGTGAGAAACCCTGCCCTAGAGGAAAGCCCAGAGAATCGCCTGCTGGATGGAGGGAAATGGAGCGCATCTCAGCCTGAACTCTTGGAGCCACGCTGAGGCCTGACTCTTCTGTATTTTAGCCATGTAATAACCCTGAGCGAGTCACTCAACCTCTGTGCACATCGGTTTCCTCATCTTTTTTTTTTGTTTGTTTTTTGTTTGGTTGGGTTTTTTTTTTGTTTTTTTGAGACGGAGTTTTGCTCTTGTTGCCCAGGCTGGAGTGCAATGGTGTGATCTTGGCTCACCGCAACCTCTGCCTCCCAGGTTCAAGCGATTCTCCTGCCTCAGCCTCTCAAGTAGCTGGGATTACAGGCATGCACCGCCACACCCAGCTAGTTTTGTATTTTTAGTAGAGATGGGGTTTCTCCATTTGGTCAGGCTGGTCTCCAACTCCTGACCTCAGGTGATCTGCCTGCCTCGGCTTCCCAAAGTGCTGGGATTATAGGTGTGAGCCACTGCGCCCAGCCGGTTTCCTGACCTTTTTATTTATTTATTTATTTATCTATTTTTTTTTTTGAGACAGAGTTTTGCTATTGTTGTCCAGGCTGGAGTGCAATGGTGCAATCTCAGCTCACTGCAACCTCTGCCTCCTGAGTTCAAGCGATTCTCCTGCCTCAGCCTCCCAAGTAGCTGGGACTACAGGCATGCGCCACCATGCCTGGCTAATTTTGTATTTTTTTTTTTAGCAGAGACGGGGTTTCTTCATGTTGGTCAGGCTAGTCTCGAACTTCCAACCTCAGGTGGTCTGCCCGCCTCAGCCTTCCAAAGTGTTGGGATTACAGGCGTGAGCCACCGCACCAGGCTTTCCTCATCTTTAATAAAGAATTGGGAGGATTAAGTGGTTGAATGCATGTTCAGTGCCTAGGAAGGAGACTGACACATAGTAAGCACTATGTCCCTGAACTACTGTGATTTTAAAGCATCAGGCCTCTGTCCAGACTCCTGTGCTGACTCCACATCACCCCAGTCCTTCAAGGGCTGACAAGGCCCCTGGCATCTGGCTCTTCCTACGTCTATGACCCCATCTCCTATTGCTCTCCTTCTTGTTCTACGTGCTCTGTCCACCCTGGGTTCTTTTTTTTTTTTTTTTTTTTTGAGATGGAGTCTCACTTGCTCTGTTGCCCAGGCTGGAGTGCAGTGACACAATCTTGGCTCCTGGGTTCCGCCTCCGCCTCCCGAGTTCAAGCAATTCTCCTGCCCCAGCCTCCCAAGTAGCTGGGATTACAGGCATGTGCCAACATGCTTGGCTAATTTTTGTATTTTTAGTAGAGATGGGATTTCACCATATTGGCCAGGCTGGTCTCGAACTCCTAACCTCAAATGATCCACCCGCCTCAGCCTCCCAAAGTGCTGGAATTACAGGTGTGAGCCACTGTGCCCAGTCGCACCCTGGGTTCTTTGCTGTTCCTTGCCCACACCCAGCTTATCCTGTCTCAGGGCCTTTGCCCTTGCTGTTCGCTCGGCCTTGGAGGCCCTGCCTCTGGGAGTCTATGTGATTCACTACCTCACTTCCTGAGGCCTCTGCTCAGCTGTCACTTTCTAAAGGGGTATTTCTAAACCACATAATGTTTAAAAAAAAAAAGGCAGTGGGTGCCATGGCTCACACTTGCAATCAGTCCCAGCACTTTGGGAGGCCAAGGTGAGTGGATCACTTGAGCCCAGGAGTTTGAGACCAGCCTGGGCAACGAGGTTATTTTTTTATTCTTCAACAGCTAATTTCTGTATTTTTAGTAGAGACAGCGTTTCACCACGTTGGTCAGGCTGGTCTCCATGCTGCCAGACTGGTCTTGAACTCCTGGCCTCAAGTGATCTGCCCGCCTCAGTCCCCCAAAGTGCTGGGATTACAGCGTGAGCCACCGTGTCCTGCCTATTTTGCCCTGCTTTATCTTTCCTCAGATCACTTTCATCATCTAACATATTATATATTTAATTTATTTATATGCTTATTGTCTGTCTCTCTTAACTGGAATGTAAGTTTCATGAGGGCAGGCATTGTTGCCTGTTTTGTTTGCTGCTGTAAGCCCAGCTGCCTAGCATATATAAAGTTTTCCTTAAATAGAGCCAGACGTGATAGCTTGCATATGTAGTCCCAGCTATTTGGGAGGCTGAGGCCAGAGGATCACTTGAGCAAGACCAGCCTGGGCAACATACCAAGACACTGTCTCAAACAAAAATCAAACATAAAATATTCCTTAAATAGTGCTTGAATGAATGGAGTGAGTGAAAAACCTTACTAGGAGTCAGAGAAGTAGGAAGGGAATGGAGAGAAGATAGGATGGTAGAAAGGAGTGCAGGGGCTGAGTGGACCCTGAGAGAGGCTAGGGTCCTGGCCTGGCCTGGGGCACAGAGCCTCAATTGTCTGCTTTCCCCAGGCCCTTCCACCCAGGTCTGCTCTGCTTACCAGCTCCTAGACATGGCTCTTCCAGCCCAGGCAGATGGCCAGGCCTGAACAGAGTGTCCTTTCCCCTCTGATAAGCTGCCTCCTTTCATGGGCACGAAGGGCAGGACGTGTCCTGCTACTCAGGAAGTGCCCAAGGGCCTGGATGGGCCCCTGGAGTGGGCAAGGGGCTGGGCATTTGCCACCTTGGCAGCTACCCTGTGCGGAGGCAAGGCAGAGAGGAGCAAGGGGCAGGGGCCAGGACAGATCCCTACTCCTCCCCAACATGCTCCCCAAACTTCTCATTCAGTCAACAAATCTCTATTTTAATTTTTTTTTTTTTGGGACAGAGTTTCGCTCTTGTTGCCCAGGCTAGAGTGCAATGGAGTGACCTTGGCTGACTGCAACCTCTGCCTCCTGGGTTCAAGCTATTCTCCTGCCTCAGCCTCCTGGGTAGCTGGGATTATAGGCGCCCCCCACCATGCCGGGCTAATTTTTTGTATTTTTATTTATTGATTGATTGAGACGGAGTTTTGCTCTTGTTGCCCAGGATGGAGTTCAATGGCGCAATCTCGCCTCACCGCAACCTCTCCCTCCTGGGTTCAAGCAATTCTCCTGCCTCAGCCTCCTGAGTAGCTGGGATTACAGGCATGCACCGCCATGCCTGGCTGATTTTGTATTTTTAGTAGAGATGGGTTTTCTCCATGTGGGTCAGGCTGGTCTCGAACTCCCAACCTCAGGTGGTCCGCCTGCCTCTGCCTCCCAAAGTGCTGGGATTACAGGCGTGAGCCACTGCACCTGGCCAACAAATCTCTATTGAGAGGCTGTTGGGAGTACAGCTGTGAACAGTCCCTGCCCTGGCTGGGTTTCTATGATTGGCTGCAGCTCAGCTTCTTTTGAACCTGAGAGACTAGGTGTCGGTTTCCAGCCCCTCTCACCCCAACAGGCCTTTTTTTTTTTTTTTTTTTTTTTTTTTTTTGATACAGTCTCACTCTGTTGCCCAGGCTGGAGTGCGGTGGCACAGTCTCAGCTCACTGCAACCTCCACCCCCCGGGTTCAAGCAATTCTCCTGCCTCAGCCTCCCGAGTAGCTGGGATTATAGGCACCTGCCACCATACCCGGCTAATTTTTGTATTTTTTAGTAGAGACGGGGCTTTGCTATGTTGGCCAGGATGGTCTGGAACTCCTGACCTCAGGTGATCCACCTGCCTTAGCCTCCCAAAGTGCTAGGATTACAGGTGTGAGTCACTGTGCCCGGCCCTGAATACAATTTAAATGCTATGTAAATGGTTGTTATACTGTACTGTTTTAAAATTTGTGTGTTTTTTTTTTCAGATATTTTCAAATGGAAGTTGGTTTACATCTGTGGATGTGGAGCCACAGATACAGAGGGCCGACTGTAGTAAGCAGAACATTGCCTCAAAGCCCTTCCCGGTTCATTCCTTAGTCCCTGCCTACCACGGCTCCTAGGCTGAACCCTTGCTGGACTGGACCCAAAGCTGGGTGATGGCTCACTGGGCTCTGAAAATGCAGTGAGGGAGTGAGGCAGGCTGCCCATCATTCCTCCAGCCCCCAGGGGGTAAACAGAAAGCACTTGGCCAACCCTGATGGCAGTGAGCAGCCACGCACCTGACAGATGAGCCGCTAGCAGCATGTCCCACCCCAGTCCCTACTGTTTGGCCAGGACCAATATGTCCCTGATGTTTGCCTTTGTGCCCATGCTGGCCGTTAGCCAGGCCCTGCCCTCAGCCTCTGGCACCCCACGTCTCCAAGGCCTGAGCTCCTATCCCTGGCCTACTGGCTGAGCAGGGCGAGAACCGGATGAAGACAGGATGAGCTGTCACCAGGGATCCTGGCCTCGGGGAACTGAGGCCTTAGATGTGGCTGGGGCTGGAGTAAACACTAGAAAGACTGACTGGCAAGAGAAGGGCATGTGGGAGGGAGGCTGGGAAAAGGGGTGCCTCTGGAGGGAAGGGAATGTCTAGGGCTGATGGAGGGAGATGTTTTTCTGTCTACCTTTTTTTTTTTGAGATGGAGTCTCGCTCTGTCGCCCAGGCTGGAGTGCAGTGGCATGATCTGATCTCAGCTCACTGCAAGCTCCGCCACCTGGGTTCACGCCATTCTCCTGCCTCAGCCTCCCGAGTAGCTGATACTACAGGCGCCCGCCACCACGCCTGGCTAATTTTTTTGTATTTTTAGTAGAGACAGGGTTTCACTGTGTTAGCCAGGATGGTCTCGATCTCCTGACCTCGTGATCTGCCCATGTTGGCCTCCCAAAGTGCTGGGATTACAGGCATAAGCCACCGCGCCCAGCCTGTCTGCCTTTTGGTTGTTGTTGTTTTTTGAGATGAAGTCTTTCTGTGTTGCCAGGCAGGAGTGCAGTGGCGCGATCTCGGCTCACTGCAACCTCTGCCTCCCAGCTTCAAGCGATTCTCCTGCCTCAGCCTCCTGAGTACCTGGGACTACAGGCACGTGCCACCACTCCCAGCTAATTTTTGTATTTTTAGTAGAGACGGGGTTTCACCATGTTGGCCAGGATGGTCTCAATCTCTTGACCTCGTGATCCACCTGCTTCGGCCTCTCAAAGTGCTGGGATTACAGGCGTGAGCCACCATGCCCAGCACTCTGTCTGCCTTTGTACCACTTGAACGTTCCTTGTGACTGTGAAACCCAGTCCAAATACACACATACATGCTTACATGAACACACAGATAGATGACAGCTGGGAGAAAGCTGCAGCAGTTGCCCTGGATGCGCTGCCTGCATCCCTCAGCTTTCTGCCCCACCTATGAAAGCTGTTTACTGAGCTCTTTAGCAACTCTCTGCCCGAAGGTCTTTTTTCTGGCTGTGGGAGATTGGCTGGTCATGGCCACAGGGCAGGCTGGAGGTG
The DNA here is from genome assembly GCF_000001405.40 of Homo sapiens. Classification (NCBI taxonomy): domain Eukaryota; kingdom Metazoa; phylum Chordata; class Mammalia; order Primates; family Hominidae; genus Homo; species Homo sapiens. Next base: position 33,600,897 of record NC_000006.12, read on the forward strand.
CCAGGGAGTTAAGACCCCAGAAGCAGCCTTCAAGCAATGACCGACCAGCAGTTGATGAAAAACCCTGCTGGGCACGGTGGCACATAACTAATCCTAGTGACTCGGTAGGCTGAGGTGGGAGGATCACTTGTGCCCAGGAGTCCAAGGCTGCAGTGAGCTATAATCCTGCCACTGGACAACAGAGCAAGATCTTTTTTTTTTTTTTTTTTTTTGAGACTGAGTTTCACTCTTGTTGCCCAGGCTGGAGTGCAATGGCGTGATCTTGGCTCACCGCAACCTCTGCCTCCCAGGTTCAAGCGATTCTCCTGCCTCAGCCTCCCTAGTAGCTGGGATTACAGGCATGAGCCACCATGCCCGGCTAATTTTGTATTTTTAGTAGAGGTGGGGTTTCTCCATGTTGGTCAGGCTGGCCTCAAACTCCCGACCTCAGGTGATCCACTTGCCTTGGCCTCCCAAAGTGCTGGGATTACAGGCATGAGCCACCGCACCCAGCCAAGTCTCACTCTGTTGCTCAGGCTGGAGTGCAGTGGCGTGACTCGGCTCACTGCAACCTCCACCTTCCAGGTTCAAACGATTATCCTGCCTCAGCCTCCCAAGTAGCTGGGATTACAGGCGTGTGCCACCACACCCAGCTGATTTTTGTATTTGTTTAGTAGATACGGGGTTTCACCATGTTGGCCAGGCTGGTCTCGAACTCCTGACCTCAGCTGATCCACCTGCCTTGGCCTCCCAAAGTGCTGGGATTACAAGCATGAGCCACTGTGCCTGGCCAAAAGATATTGCTAAAAAAAACAGGCCGGGTGCAGAGTGGCTCATTGCTATAATCCCAGCACTTTGGGAGGCTGAGGCAGGAGGATTGCTTATGGCCAAGAGTTTGAGACCAGCCTGAGAAACATGAGATCACATCTCTACAAAAAGTAAAAAATTATCTGGGCGTGGTGGCACGCACCTATAGTCCCAGCTACTTGGGAGGCTGAGGCAGGAGGATCGTTTGAGCCCAGGAGGTTGAGACTACAGTGACCCTTGATATTGCCACTGCACTGCAGCCTGGATGACAGAGCAAGACGCTGTCTCAAAATAATTGATTAATTAATTAAACTAGAAACCCCCTGCTGCCGGGCAGCTTGCTTGGGTCAACTCTGAGGCATATTCTCACCTGGCTCCCTGAGCTCCCCAGAGGTAACTGGTTCGATGACACCTCCATTCTTGGCATCCTTCCCTCCGCTGCCTCACTTCTTCACTCCTCTGCTGGTGTTTGCCGTGGCCACCTCCATTCATGTGTGTGTCCTCTGACCTTTGTCTCAGGGTCTGCATTCTGGGGACCCCAAACCAAGACAGAGATACCAAGATGAGTCTTCAACAAACTTATAATCAGACTGAGAGGTGAAATCCACAGAGTTAGGATAATGAAGTACTATTAATAATAAGAGAGCACATATAATAAATTTAGCCACGATGACCTGACTCTTAAGCACTGGCTCTGTGCCAGGAACGGATCACTGGGCTCAATGTCTGTTATCTTATTGAGTACTCACCAGAGTCCTTGTGTCACTCCATTTGCATTGCTATAAAGAAATACCTGAGACTGGGTAATTTATAAAGAAAAGAAGTTTCATTGGCTCATGGTTCTGCAGGCTGTATAGGAAGTATGACACCAGCATCTGTTCCTGGTGAGGGCCTCAAGAAGCTTCCAATCATGGCAGAAGGCAAAGGGGGAGCAGGTGTCTCACATGGTAAGAGAGACAGTGAGGGAGAGAAAGAGGTGGTAGGTGCCACACACTATTTTTTTTTTTGAGATGGAGTCTCGCTCTTGTCGCCCAGGCTGAAGTGTGATGGCACAATCTCAGCTCACTGCAACCTCCACCTCCCAGGTTCAAGCAATTCTCCTGTCTCAGCCTCCCAAATAGCTGGGATTACAGACACACACCACCACACCTGGCTAATTTTTTGTATTTTTAGTAGAAACGGGGTTTCACCGTGTTAGCCAGGCTGGCCTCAAACTCCTGACCTCAGGTGATCTGCCTGTCTCGGCCTCCCAAAGTGCTGGGATTACAGGCATGAGCCACCGTGCCCGGCCCGTGCCACACTCTTTTTAAACAACCAGATCTCATGCAAACTCAGAGCAAGAACTCACTTATCACTGCTAGGAGGGCACCAAGCCATTCATAAGGGATTCACCCCCATGACCCAAGCACCTCCCACCAGTCCCCACTTCCAACATTTGGGATTACATTTCAACATGAGATTTGGAGGGGACAGATATCCAAACCATATCACATTGCCCCATGACCCCCCAATCTCATATCCTTCTCACATTGCAAAACACAATCATTCCTTCCCAGTAGTCCCCAAAAGTCTTAACTTGTTCCACCATCAATCAATCAAAAGTCCCAAGTCCCAAGTCCCAAGTCCAAGATCTCACCCGGAGATGAGTTTCTTCCACCTATGAGCCTGTGAAATCAAAGACAAGTTATTTATTTCCCAGATACAATGGTAGTACAGGCATTGGGTAAACATTCTTATTCCCAAAGAGAGAAATTTACCAAAAGAAAGGGTCAAGACATCTCACACAAGTCCTAAATCCAGCAGGGCAGTCATTAAATTTTATTTTATTTTATTTTATTATTTTTTTTTTTTTTGAGACAGAGTCTCGCTCTGTCCCCCAGGCTGGAGTGCAATGGTGCGATCTTGGCTCACTGCAAACTCCGCCTCCCAGGTTCCAGCCATTCTCCTGCCTCAGGCTCCCAGGTAGCTGGGACTACAGGTGCCTGCCACCACGGCCACTAATTTTTGTATTTTTAATAGAGACGGAGTTTCACCTTGTTGGTCAGGCTGGTCTGGAACTCCTGACCTCAGGTGATCCACCACCCTCAGCCTCCCAAAGTGCTGGGATTATAGGCATGAGCTACGGAACCCGGCCCAGTCATTAAATCTTAAAGCTCCGAAATAATCTCCTTTGACTCCATGTCCTACATCCTGGGTAGCTCTGCCCTTGTGGCTTTGGAGGGTGCAGCCCCTGTGGGTGCTCTTCGTTGAAGCTGAGTGCCTGCAGCTTTTCCAGGCTCAGTATGCAAGCTGCCTGTGGCTCTACCATTCTGAGGTCTGGAGCATGGCAGCCTCCTTCCCACAGCTCCACTAGGCAGTGCCCTGATAGGGACTCTGTGGGGATTCCATTTCCACATCTTTCCTCCCCTGTGGCAGGCTGTACCTCTGTGGCAGGCTTCTGCCTGGGCACCCAGCCGTTCTCATACATTCTCTGACATCTAGGGGGAAGCTGTCAAGCCTCCTTCATGCTTGCACTCTGTTCACATGCAGACTTAACACCACATGGAAGCTGCCAAGGCTTACGGCTTGCACCCTCCAGAATGGCAGCCCAAGCCATACCTGGTGCCCTTTGAGCCACAGCTGGACATGGAGCAGCTGGGATGTGTGCAGCACTGTCTCAAAGCTGAGCAGGGCAGCAGGACCCTGGGCCGGGCCCAGGACACCAGTCTTTCTTCCTAGGCCTCTGGGTCTGTGATGGGAGGGCTGCCTCTAATGATTTCTGAAATGCCTTCGAGGCCTTTTTTTCCATTGTCTTGGATATTAGCACTTGGCTCCCTTTTAGTCTTGAAATTTTCTCTAGCAAGTGATTGCTCCACAGCCTGCATGTATTCCTCTTCTGAAAATGCTTTTTTCATGAGCCGGGCACAGTGGCTCACGCCTGTAATCCCAGCACTTTGGGAGGCTGAGGTGATTGCCTGAGGTTAGGAGTTCAAGACCAGCCTGGCCAAAATAGTGAAACCTTGAGTCTACTAAAAATACAAAAAGTTAGCCGCCATGGTGGTGGGCGCCTGCAATCCCAGCTACTAGGGAGGCTGAAGCAGGAGAATCGCTTGAACCCAGGAGGCGGAGGTTGCAGTGAGCCAGGATCATGCCATTGCACTCCAGCCTGGGAAACAAGAGCAAAACTCCATCTCAAGAAAAGAAAAGAAAATGCTTTTTTCTTTCTCTGCCACATGGTCAGGCTGCAAAGTTTCCCAACTTTTAAGCTCTGCTTCCCTTTTAAATATAAGTTCCAACTTTAAGTCATTTATTTGCTCCCATATCTGATTATAGGTTGTTAGAAGCAGTCAGGCCACATCTTGAATGCTTTACTGCTTAAAAATTTATTCCACCAGATGCCCCAGTCATCACTCTTAAGTTGAAACTTCCACAAATCCCTACAGCATGGAGACAATGCAACCAAGTTCTTTGCGAGGGCATAACACGGGTGACCTTTGCTCCAGTTCCCAATAAGTTCCTCATTTCCATCTGACATCTCATCAGCTTGGCATTCACTATCCATCTCACTATCAGCATTTTGGTCACAACCATTTGACCAGTCTCTAAGAAGTTCCAAACTTCCCCTCAACTTCCTATCTTCCTCTTAGCCCTCCAAACTCTTCCAACCTCTACCCCATTATTCAGTTCCAAAGCCACTTTCACATCTTCAGGTATCTTTATAGCAATGCCCCACTCTTGGTGCCAGTTTTCTTCCCCTGTTGGTCCATTCTTGCATTGCTCTAAAACAATACCTAAGACCATGTAATTTATAAAGAAAACAGGTTTAATCGGCTCACAGTTCTGCAGGCTGTACAGGAAGCATGGCACCAGCATCTGCTCCTGGTGAGCGCCTCAGGAAACTTCCAATCATGGTGGAAGGCAGAGGGGGAGCAGGCATACCACATGGTGAAAGAGGAAGCAAGAGAGAGAGCAAGGAGAGAGGTGCCACATTTTTTTTTAACAACCAGATATTGTACAAACCCAGAGTAAGAACTCACTCATTACCATGAGGGCACCAGTCATTCAAGAGGGATACACCCCCTTAACCCAAACACCCTCCTACCAGGCCCCACCTCCAACATTGGAGATTACATTTCTTTTTTTTTTTTTTTTTTTGAGATGGAGTCTAGCTCTGTTACCCAGGCTGGAGTGCAGTGGCGCGATCTCAGCTCACTGCAACCTCTGCCTCCCAGGTTCAAGCGATTCTCCTGCCTCAGCCTCCCAAGTAGCTGGGACTACAGGTGGGTGCCATCATGCTCGGCTAATTTTTGTATTTTTAGTAGAGACAGGTTATCACCATGTTGGCCAGGCTGGTCTCGAACTCCTGACCTCGTGATCTGCCCACCTCGACCTCCCAAAGTGCTGGGATTACAGGCGTGAGCCACTGCCCCTGGTGAGGATTACATTTCAACATGAGATATCCAAACAGTATCTGTCCTCTACAGTTGTTACTTCATAATCCCCATTTGACAGATAAGAAAGGTGAGGTTTAGAGAAGGCTTTTGTTCAAGGTTAAGAGCTATACTGGCCGGGCGTGGTGGCTCACACCTGTAATCCCAGCACTGTGGGAGGCTGAGACAGATGGATCACAAGGTCAGGAGTTCAAGACCAGCCTGGCCAACATGGTGAAACCCCGTCTCTACTAAAAATACAAAAATTAGCCAGGCACAGAGGCAGGTGCCTGTATTCCCAACTACTGGGGAGGCTGAGGCAGGAGAATCGCTTGAACCTGGGAGGCGGAGGTTGCAGTGAGCCAGGATCACGCCACTGCACTCCAGCTTGGGTGACAGAGCAAGACTCTGTCTCAAAAAAAAAAAAAAAAAAAGCTAGGCAGTGGCAGGTTGGCCTGGAGAGCCTAGGCCCCAAACAGGGGTGGTCCCTAAGCACTGACTGCATTGTGGAGAGCAGAAAAGAGAGAGGCTAGAGGTCCCTGGCATGACCTTTCAGGAAGGGAGACATTTAAGCTGAGCCTTGAGGGATGGGCAGACATTGGGAAGATGAAGAGTCCTGTGGAGGGCCTTCGGCCTCAGTTTTCTCATCTGTCAAGTAGGCCTAATAATAGTACCCCTCCCATAGGGCCATTTGGGGATTAAGTGAGTTGATATAGACATAAAGAGCCTGTAGTAAGTGTTCACTAAATGCTAATTATTATTGACTATGAATGGGAACAATGTGAGCTGTCGGGTGTGGTCCTGGTTGGAGGTCTGAACAGGTTCCAGAGGCAACCTTCCAGTTCCCAATCCCAGCACCCAGGCCCTGAAGGGAGAGAGCTGGAAAGGCCAAAAAAAAAAAATAATAATAAATAAATAAAAAGGTTAATCAGTCTGGAGAGTCTGGAGCCCCTGAACTTGGGATTTTAGTCAGGCAGGCTGCATTCCTGCATTTTCCTTTTTCAAAGAACATCACAACCTCTGTCACCCAATCTTCACATCTCCGTTCCCGACAGCCTGGAAGTCCTCCCTGCTGTCTAACATCTTGGCTTCCTCCTGTGCCTTTTGTGTGTGGGACAAAGGGAGAGCTAATGAATCTCAGTGATTGGCACTGGAGTTGGCTGGGAGCAGGACAGGTGGAGCCTGTGTGTGGTCCACAGACTGTGGTGCCAGAGAAAACTCACCCTGGGTTCAAAGGCCTGTCTGGCTCAGGATGGAGGGAGTGGGCCAGGGGCCCCCACTGGAAGGTGGAATCAGAGATCTTGGAGGCAGCTGCAGTTGGAGGCTGGAGACAGGCCTTGGTGAAGTCCCTGTCCCAGCTTCGAGGCTCCTCCCAGCCACTGCTGGGGAAGTGTTCGGGGCAGGGTCTGTGAGGGGTCCTCTGCCGGGCTGCTCTGCCTTTGTCTGGGCATAGCTCCTGAGTGAAAAGAGATTCTCCTCCCAGATTCCCCAGCTGTGACCCTTCTGCAGCATGGAGGTGACGCCTCCGGGCTCTGGCGACAAGCAGACCCAAGTTTAAGTCACAGCTCTGTCACTTATTAGCTTGTGACATTGAGCAAACCCCTTCACCTCCCTGAGCTTTCCATATGTGAAAAATGAGGATGCCTTGCTGGCTGTACAGCCTTCACCAACCTGTTAAACAGCTGAGTTTCCATTCCCCATCTGGAGCATGGGAATGATCCATTAGCTGTTTGATCAGCAGCAAGTCCCAACAGCTTGGTAAGCCTCAGTTTCCTCATCTGTAAAATGGGGACTAGAATGAGTTAAGACTAAGCACCAACACACCCAAGCACCATGGCACCACCTAGGGGCGGGCATCAGGTGTTGGCGATGGTTGGTTATTTGTTCCTCCCTTCTGAATCCTCCCCACGTGCCTCACCCTGGGTAGCTTTTCTCTCCGCTCTCCCAGCCAACTCTGGACAAACACAGAGAGCTGCTGGTACGCTGGGGTCACTCCTGGGAGTGGCTACATTTTGAAATAGAGCATAGAATGACAGCAGTGCCAACCACAGGAAGGAGCTGCTGATGTTCAGCTTGGCCCAATCCATGTCTATCACGGGCTTGCAGGGGGTCAGGAGCTGGATTGCAACTGGGGGTCATGGCAACCAGGGGCACCAAGGCCCTTGGGGAGTCTTCCCCCTCATGCCCCTGCTTTGGCTGGGAGGGGAGAGGAGACTGCCGGCGCAGTGGTTCTTCAGGGTTGGTTCACCCGGGGACTCAGGCTGAGTGGGGGCAGTGCTTGGCAGGAATCCATCTCTGTCTTCTAGGAACCACCCTTTGGAGCTCAAGGAGACTGATCACAGGACCTTCTATCCCTGGGGACCCCCTTCCAGGGACCCTGAGATTCCACACTTTGCTGCTTCCTGCAGCAAAGTGACAGGGATCCCAATGTTTCCTGTGAAATGAGCCCCGCACAGGGGTGGCACACAGCAGGCCCCCACTGAGGGTCTATGGGATGAATGAGTGATTGGAGATGCCGAGGAAAAAGCAGAGGACCTAGGCTGGCCCTCAGCGCCCCTCCGAGTCCTTCCATGGGCTCTACTAGGCTGCTCCTCTGTCCTGGGCTTCCTCCCTCTCCACAGGAACATGGGAACGCTGGGATTAACGTCCCCAGTACTACCCTCAACCAAAAAGCACAGGAGTTAGTGGTTAAACAACCTGCTCCCCACTTTGGCTCTCCCGCCCCTTGGTGGGACAACCCGAAGCTGTAGGGCATAGCCCCTGAGAATGTCGCCAGCAGGGTAGAGCCTCTGTGCCAACCAGGCTTGTGCTTCCCGAGATCTTCTCCCAAATAAACCGCTATCCCCAGGTCCTGGCCTCAGCGTCCACTTTAGAGGAACGCAAATGAACCCAGGGTCCCAAGCTTTGCTCCTACCAGCTATGTGATGATGAACAAATGAAATAACATCTCTGAGCCTCAATTTCCTCACTCATCTGGTGTCTCCATGATGGCTGCTCTCCACCGTGGTGAGGGTAGCGGGGTAGCATTGCCTGGGAGGGTGGGGTGCAGTCTATGGACTGAGAGCACCTGGCTGGTTTCCTCTGGAATTGCTCTCCTGGGGTGGTGAAGCTGTCTGCATACTGTAAAAATGGATGCATGACACTGCACATTTTTCAGAAGCCATGGAACTGCACAAAAAGAAAAATGAGCCCTCATGCAAACTGTGGTGTTTCATTAATGATAATGTATCAATATTGTTTCCACAGTTGTAACACACATATCACACCAGAGCACCACGGTAATCATAGGGGAATCTGTGAGAGGGGGAGGGGGGTATATGACAACTCTACATTATCTGCTCAATTTTTCTGTAAACCTAAAACTGTTCTGCAAAAATAAAGTCTCTTAATTAAAAAGAAAAAGAGCAATCTGTGGGCAGCCAGCGCAGGGCTTTCTTCGGAGTTGCTCTCCCAGGAGTCCCACCCACCCTGGATGAGGGTCAGAAGGGAGGAGGACGTTGGCTGGCCTGCCACATGCATCAGTTAATCAGCAGGATGATTAAGCCACTGGACTCCTTCCCTGCCCGGGATTCCAGGAGGGACTGGCGTGGTCACAATGTGGACTCAGGAGGTTAGAATTTTCCTGTGAACCAGGCGGATGCCCTGCCCGTCCCAAGGCCCTTGGGAGGCTGGGGAGGGGAAGCAGGTGTGGAGAGAGAATGAAAGCCACCTCCCCAAGCATGACAGCCTGTCTGGTTCTGTCAGCTCCTACACTGTGACATGCCCCATCACCCCCTCAGTCTAGGGGCCCCAGAGGGCAGAAAAGTCATCCTCACACCCCATATCCTGTTATCTCCAAGGACCGCTGTAATTTGCTCTTGACTCCCTTGAATCTGCCCCCTTCTCTCCTTTCCTGTTTCCCTCCCCGACACCCAGCCCCAGCACCTGCTGCCTGGACCCTGTGGCAGCCCCTCCCAGCAGTGCTGCACTCAGAGACAGGGAGTGGGCTTCAAAACCCAGCTACCAGCCAGTCCTCCCAGGCAAAAGCCCTCCATGGCTTCTCATTGCTTAAGACAAAGACCAATCCCTTCCTGTGGCTCCAGGTCCTGCCTGGCCTCAGCCCCATCTCTTGCCGGGGCCCTTCCTGCTCCATTACAGCTGCGCTGCTTGCTCCTTCCTGGAGCGTGTTCACTGTGTTCCTTCCTGCCTCTGGGCCTTTTCACTTTCCATTCCCCAATGCTTGGAATGTCAGTTCAAGTGTCACTTCCTCAGGGAATCCCTCCTGCCTCTCCCTACCTCCCCACCCATCCCCTACTGCTCTAGCCTCCCTTGGGAGAGCTCCAGTCTTGTATCATCACACCGTACTCTCCCACAGCACATGGCAAAGTTGCAATATAACTTAGGTAAGTGATTCAGACCTGCACCCAAACTTGAATTCCAAGAGGGCAGGGCTGCGTCTACTTGGGGTCACTATAGTACCCCAGCATCCTGTACAGCACTTGGCACACAGTGCAGACTCAATAAATATTTGTCAAGTGGCAGAATGCAGCCCTCCACCCCAGATTGCTTGTCTCAAAAGTTAGAGGCTGGGTTTGGTCAACCACAGACTGGAGAGCCCCTTCCAGAGAAAACCTGCCCAACTTTGAAGGCCAGACTCTTGAGGATTTTTGCAGCGCCAGGGCCTCAGCGCCTGGGGATGCTTCTGAGTGCCCTGGTTGCCTCGGCATTCTGGTGCCTGGCTGGAGGTTGGGGGTTGCACTCCTGCAGACCTCAGTCAGGTCTCCTCTGTTCTTAGGCTGGCCCAGCAGCCGGTGGGGCTGTGGGAGGAAGAGGCCGACTGCTCAGGCCAGGCCTGCTCTACATCTGGCCAGCAGCCTCCCCCGCTGCCCCAGGACAAGGGCCCCAGTGTCTGCTCAGCTTTTACAAACAGCAGGCCTTTCTCTCCCTCTCCACTCTGGAGCCTCAGCTGTGACCCCTCCCTGCCCCCTCGGAAGGCACAGCCCTGGATGCATGACCTTTTCCTTCTGAATGATTCGGAAACAGGCTGACAAACCCGGCGCAGGAGCAGGTCCTGTATAGTGTGTGAACCCCTCTATTTCATCCATTCCCAGCTTTGGCCGGGCAGCCAGGGCAAGGACTGGCTGGGAGGGCCTTAGTCCTGCCAAGGTGGGGTGGGGTGCGGCTAGAGGCCAGGCCCAGCCCAGGTGGACTTGACGTCATGCTTTTCACCTCTGTCTCTGTCAGACAAAGCCTGCTCCTTCGTGCCTGGCCCTGCCCCCGGGGAAGTTTTCCATGCTGCTCTCCTTTCTCAACAGGATCACAGGGCTGATGCTTCCCCTCCCAACCCACCTTTCTTGTTGGCAGGTGAAGTGCCAAGGCCTGCGCACACTCACAGAGACCTGCGCCGCTTCCCTCCTCGTGCAGGGTCCCCCTTCGGAGTCTGGAGAAAGGAAGAATGGCCAGAGGCCACTCCCTCTCCTTGGGAGCTCCTGCCGGGATGCCAACCTGGGCTTCAGGATGGGATGACCTCAGAGGGCAACTCGGAACTGTAATTAGCCTCCACTGTAATCCCCGCCACTCCCAACTCAGACTCAGAACTCTGGGGGCTTGGCAGCTCAGCCCAGACCCCCAGCTTCCTCCTCCTATCCAGCGGGTGTAACAGGCACTCAAAAACTGATTACTAAACAGGGAAGGGGACTTGGAGGCCTGATTTGTGGAGATCTTGATAAAATCTTGCCTTATACATGTCCTATTCTTGGTCATCCATACAAAACAAAATTCCACCGTTAGATGGTCATTCCTTTAGATCTACACGCACTTGTCTTTTTTTTTTTAGAATCCTCAGATGTAGGCAAATAATGACAATTACAGACAATATTTGTTGACTGAGCTAGGTGTTTTACAAAGTAGTTACTTATGCTAGATATTTCTATCTGCCCCTCCAGCTCCTCTGCCCACTCTTCTGCCCTGGCTCTGTGCCCCAAAAGGCTGACTTTTGTGGCCTGAATCACCCAGCTCCCCTGCCCTCTGGTTTCTCATTAAGCTCTGCCAATGGGAGGCACTGGTAAGAGACTGGAGGGTGGAGGAGAGAGAGAGGTGGGGGTATCTGTTCCATCAGGTCCCTGCTTCCAAGACCAGGCTGGCAGTGTCTGGTCCTTGCCCTCTGGAAGGCTGTATTCCCCTCCTTGGCCTTTTCAGGCCTGAGTGGTAACAGCTTCCTGCAGTTGCCAGCTCCAGGGTGCTGCACTACCCTTGGTGCCCACACCTCTGCAAATCCATCCATTCACCAACCTCTTTTTTTTTTTTTTTGAGACAGAGTCTCACTCTGTCACCCAGGCTGCAGTGCAGTTGTACGATCTTGGCTCACTGCAACCTCCGCTTCCCGGGTTCACATGATTCTTGTGCCTCAGCATCCCTAGTAGCTGGGACTACAGGCATGCACCACCACGCCTGGCTAATTTGTGTATTTTTAGTTAGAGACAGGTTTTCACTATGTTGGTCAGGCTGGTCTCGAACTCCTGACCCCAAGTGATCCACCTGCCTCGGCCTCCCAAAGTGCTGGGATTACAGGTATGAGCCACCATGCCAGTCCACTAACCTCTCTTTAATCACCTGTTGGGGGTGTGTTGCCAACTTCCTGCCAGGACCTGGCAGTTACAGGTCTATATTTTTATTTTACATAGAAGGAAATGGAGACCCAGAGAGACTGGGAGCTTCTCTACCCTGTTAGTGGCTGGGGCTAGGACTCCAGTAATTTTGCTCCAGGACTTGTTTTTCTTTTTCTTTCTTTCTTTCCTTCCTTCCTGCCTGCCTGCCTGCCTGCCTTCCTTCCTTCCTTCCTCCCTCCCTCCCTCCCTCCCTCTCTTTCTTTCTTTCTTTTTTTTTTTTTTTTTGACAGAGTCTTGCTCTGTCGCCCAGGCTGGAGTGCAGTGGAGCAATCTCGGCTCACTGCAACCTCTGCCTCCTGGGTTCAAGCAATTCTCTGCCTCAGCCTCCTGAGTAGCTGGGATACAGGCTCCCACCACCACACCTGGCTAATTTTTGTATTTTTAGTAGAGATGGGGCTGTTGGCCATGGCTGGTCTTGAACTCCTGACCTTGTAATCCACCCACCTCATTCTCCCAGAGTGCTGGGATTACAGGTGTGAGCCACCGCACCCAGCCCAGGACTTGTTTTTCACTGTGACTGTGAAGGTGCCCCGGGAGATGTCATAGGTTACCTACCCTATGACCTATCCTCTCAGAGGAGAGGAGGAGGGGGCACCTAGTAATGGAGTGTCAGCCTGGGGAAGACCTGGAGTAGCGGCCCCTTGGTTTCAGGACTCCAGCACCAGGGGGCTTATTCCAAGGCCAACACCAGAAGAGGGCAAGGGGCAGGCTTTCTTCTGTGGCTGGTGGGAATCTCGGCAGCGGCTGGCTTTCATCTTTTGCTTCACCAGGCTAGGACCACGTGTTGGAGTTAGCTGGCTGCATTCCTCCAGTCCCTTGCATGTGGTAGGTGGTTAGCAAATATCTGAAAGAAATAGATGTGGCATTGATGACTGGGGCATGGGGGTGGGGGTGAGGAAAACAGAACAAGTTCTGTCTCCTTTCTAGCCTTCCCAAGAAATCGGGTGTGCCAGTGTGTCTGAGTATGTGGATGAGAGTATGTGAGTGAAAGTGTTGGTGTATGAGTGTGAAAGTGTATAACGGTGTGTGTGTGTGTGTGTGTGTGTGTGTGTAGGCTTCTGGGGCAGGAAGCCCTGTACACTCTCCCTGGCTGTGGCTAAATGGTTACTGTGGGCTGCGGTGCTTGCCCAGGGCAGCTTATGGCATGGGGAAGGAATTCTCTGGGAACCCCAGCGGGCCTGGATTGGCACCCCACCCACGGCGGGTGACCCAGCCGGATGGCTGCTACACTGAGTCAGGCCTTCTGGCCCGGCCTCGCCCCGCCCTGCTTGGCCCTGCTGTCAAATCAGGACTGAGGGTCAGAGGAGCCCTTGAGAACTCCCGATTATCTGCCCCCAACCACGAGACTATCTGTCTGCACAGCCAGCTGCCATAAAGAGGGTGTTCTCCTATGCCTCCCTATCACAGTCAGAGAGGGCCAGTCAGAGCTTAAAGAACAGTCAGAGCCAAGGGTGGAATCTGGGAAGGTGATGTGAACCCTGTTTACAACAAGGTGGACACTGAGACTTAGAGAGGTCTGATCCTTGTGCAAAGCCACACAGCAGAGCTGAGAGCAAGTCTCTAGAAGATGGAGGGGAAAGAAGGACATTGGTGGAGGACACCTAGGTTCAGAGCTGCTTTCCCCTCCCCAGATCCCAGTCCCCTTCCCCGGCCCCAGTGTCCTCTCCTGAGTCAGGGAGAAGGTCTGGGCACTGCCTGCCTTCCTTTCCTTGCCTTCTCAGGCCCAGGGTGGATGCAGAGTGTAGGAGGAGGGTTTCCTGGGGGCGTTCTGCTGGCACTTGGAGCTTGGGGTTAATGCTTTGAACATCTTTATTTGTATCTATTTTTGGTTATAGGTTATACAGCCACATAGTCTGAAATGTAAAAGTTTTAAAGCTGGGCACAGTGGCTCACACCTGTAATCCCAGCACTTTGGGAGGCTGAGGCAGGTGGATCATCTAAGGACAGGAGTTTGAGACCAGCCTGCCAACATGATGAAACCCCATCTCTACTAAAAATACAAAAAATTAGCTGGGCTTGGTGGTGCATGCCTGTAATCCCAGCTACTTGGGAGGCTGAGGTAGGAGAATTGCTTGAACCCAGGAGGCGAGGTTGCAGTGAGCCGAAATCATGCCATTGCCCTCCAACCTGGGCAACAAGAGCAAAACTCCGTCTCAAAAAAAAAAGTTTTAAAAAGAGATAGGGTAAAAAGTGATCCTTTCACCAGTCTCTGGCCCCCAGACCTCCCACGCAGAGACCCCTAAAATCACTGGCTTCCTGGGAATCCTAATCAGAGCTTCTTATTCCCTTTGGGAGGTGGGGCTAGTGGGTGCTGGGAGATACCCAGCCATTGAGGTTGGGGCCTGGGCCGGGCAGATTGGTCATGAAGGGGATGATGGTGACCTCCTTCCTGGGCCTGAACTTGGCCCCAGCTTAACAGCATTCCACTCAAGCCACTCAGAAGAGGTGCAGCCCATCAGCTCTTCCCAATTCCTTAGAGCATCTCTGGGAGCTCTGTACTCCCCACCCAGGGGACCCAGGCACGTGACACCCCAAGCTGGGGCTCCCACAGTCTCCTTGTGTATGTATCTCCTGGTGTAGTTTATATACTTTCCCCACCTCTTTCTCCCTGACAGTTCAATTCCACACAGATTTATTGAGCACTTACTATTTTCTTTCTTTTTTTTTTGAGAGGGAATTTTGCTCTTGTTACCCAGGCTGGAGTGCAATGGCACGATCTCGGCTCACTGCAACCTCTGCTTCCCGGGTTCAAGTGATTCTCCTGCCTCAGCCTCCCGAGAAGCTGGGACTACAGGCGCCTGCCACCACATCTGGCTAACTTTTGTATTTTTAGTAGAGACAGGGTTTCACCATGTTGGCCAGGTTGATCTCGAACTCCTGACCTCAAGTGATCCACCTGCCTCGGCCTCCCAAAGTGCTGGGATTACAGGCGTGAGCCACCGCACCCGGCCTAATTTTTGTATTTTTATTTTTTATTTATTTGTTTATTTATTTATTTGAGATGGAGTCTCACTCTGTTGCCCAGGCTGGAGTGCAGTGGCACGATCTCGGCTCACTGCAAGCTCCGCCTCCTGGGTTCACACCATTCTCCTGCCTCAGCCTCCCAAGTAGCTGGGACTACAGGCACCTGCCACCATGCCCAGCTAATTTTTTGTATTTTAAGTAGAGATGGGGTTTCACCATGTTAGCCAGGATGGTCTTGATCTCCTGACCTCAGGTGATCCACCTGCCTCGGCCTCCCAAAGTGCCGGGATTACAGGCGTGAGCCACCCCGCTAGCCAATTTTTGTATTTTTAATAGAGATGGGGTTTCACCACGTTTGCCAGGCTGGTCTTGAGCTCTTGACCTCAAGTGATCCGTCCACCTTGGCCTCCCAAAGTGCTGAGATTACAGGTGTGAGCCACTGCACCCTGCCAAGCAAGCACTTACTATTTTCCTGACTTGGTCTGGAGACACAAAGTGAAGTGAAGTGAAGTGTTCCTTCATCTAGCTAACAGTTGGCTCAGGGAGCCCAGAAAGAACTGAGTGTTTCAATCCAAGATGGCTCATGATATGTTCTCTGATAGTGGGGGAATAAAGAAATCTCATGTTACAAAGTCTGTGTTGGTGAGGATATGGTTCACTGGGCACATTCCCATGTAGCTGGCAAGAGGGTAAATTAGAACATCCAAGTTGGACAATAATTTGGCAACTCCTCGGAGGTTGACAGTGCACCTTCTCTATAATCCAGCAATTGTACTTTCTAAGTTTTTACTCTAGAGCAGGGCTTTTCCGGCTTTTTGACAAGTATCCTCAATAAGAAATATATTGTGACCCACAGCACACATACCACACAACAGACAACTTTCACCCTACTAGTTACACTGATGATGTGTTACAAACATTGATATTTCCTAGTCGATTTTGAGTTTTAAAAATGCTGATCTTGGCCGGGCACGGTGGCTCATGCCTGTAATCCTAGCACTTTGGGAGGCCAAGGCAGGCGGATCACGAGGGCAGGAGATCGAGACTATCCTGGCTAACATGGTGAAACCCCGTCTCTACTAAAAATATAAAAAATTAGCCGGGCATGGTGGCGGGCGCGTGTAGTCCCAGCTACTCGGGAGGCTGAGGCAGGAGAATGGTGTGAACCAGGGAGGTGGAGCTTGCAGTGAGCTGAGATCGTGCCACTGCACTCCAGCCTGGGCGACAGAGCGAGACTCCATCTAAAAAAAAATAAAAAAAAAAAGCTGATCTTCACCCACTAAGTTGATTTCCTAACACATTAATGGGCCTCAATCCATAGTTTGAACAACATTGCCCTAGAGACACGCAGGTCTGTGCATAAGGAGACAAGAATGTTTATTGCAAAACTGTTGCAATAGCAAAACTTTGATAAGTCTTTATCTGAGACCTGTCACCAGCAAAATGGATAAAGCAATTGTGATGTGGTCAGGAAGTAGACTATCACACAGTAGCTATGTGTCAAAGGATGCACACAGGGTGATAACATTTATACAAAATATAAGACCCTGCAATGTGATATCATACATTGTTTTATGGATACATTGAAATGCGATACAAACATAAAAAGCTGCATGAAATGAAACCCACCCAAATCAGGATAGTGGCTGTCTCTGGAGGGAGAGAATGTAGTTGGAGAAGGGTGCATAAGGAACTTCAACTGATCTTTTTTCTTTTTAAGACAGGATCTCACTCTGTCACCCAGACTGGAGTGCGGTGGCATAATCATGGCTCACTGCAGCCTCCTTGATCTCCCTGGGCTCAGGTGATTCTCCCACCTCAGCTTCCCAAGTAGCTGGGACTACAGGTGCACACGACCATGCCTGGCTAATTTTTTTTTTTTTTTTTTTTTAGAGACAGTGTTTTGCCATGTTGCCCAGGCTGGTCTTGAACTCCCGGGCAAAAGTGGTCCTCCAGACTCGGCCTCCCAAAGTGCTGGGATTAGATGTGAGCCACCTTGCCTGGACACAACTGAAATTTTTTAAGTTTTAATTCTTTTTTTTTTTTTGAGATTGAACTGCACTCTGTCGCCCAGGCTGCAGTGCAGTGGCATGATCTCGGCTCACTGCAACCTCCACTTCCTGGGTTCAAGTGATTCTCTTGCCTCAGCCTCCCGAGTAGCTGGGACTACAGGCATATGCCACCATGCCTGGCTAATTTTTGTATTTTTGGTAGAGATGGGGTTTCACTATGTTGGCCAGGCTGGCCGTGAACTACTGACCTCAGGTGATCTGCCTGCCTTGGCTTCCCAAAGTGCTGGGATTATAGGCATGAGCCACCGTGCCCGGCCTAAGTTTTAATTCTTAAAAAAAAAAAAAAAAAGAACCAAATTTGGCAAAATACAAAGATTTGACAAAGCTAGAGGAAAGATACAGGCACTCACTGTATTTTTATCTATTACTTCTTAAAATATTTCATAATAGTACTTAAAAGATTAGTGCTCCAGTACTTTAGGGAAGAAGACTTTATTCTGACCATGGGAACTTGAAAAGGTGAAGTGCTAGAGAGAGCCACAGGAGCGCAGGCACAGGGGTATGAGTGGATGAGGTCCTGGGGAAATGAGAAGGGACACACTGAGTCCTTCCTGCCTGGGATGCTGTGCTGATGGCTCACACTTCCTTCACATGTTGGTATGGTACTCTCTCCATTTAACAGATGAGCAAACAGGCTGAGAGAATGCCTGCTAGAAAGTGGCAGAGCTGGGACTCTAATCCAGGCCTGTAAGAGTCAGAGTCCGGGCCAGGCGTGGTGGCTCACACCTGTAATCCCAGCACTTTGGGAGGCCGCAGTAGGCGGATCATGAGGTCAAGAGATTGAGACCATCCTGGCCAACATGGTGAAAACTTGTCTCTACTAAAAATACAAAAATTAGCCGGGTGTGGTGGCGGGCACCTGTAATCCCAGCTACTCGGGAGGCCGAAGCAGGAGAATTGCTTGAACCTGGGAGGTGGAGGTTGCAGTGGGCTGAGATTGCGCCACTGCACTCCAGCCTGGGCGACAGAGTGAGACTCCGTCTAAAAAAAAAAAAAAAAAAAAAAAGGGAGCCAGAGTCTGCACTCTTGGCCAGTCTACAGCATGGATCCTCCTTGAGGAGCAATTGTGTTTTCTGCAGAGGGTGGGAGGACAGCAAGACTTGAGGGTCCAGTGTGCTGGGCTCAGGTCTGTAGACTTCTGTGGGCAGTGAGGAGGCATAGGAAGGCTTCAAGCAGGAAGCAGGGGAGGGAACTCATTGGAGCTGTACCATCTGTTTCTTAAACTTTGGTCTTTGTTGTTGTTGTTTAACCAACAGAAACTTTCTTGAAACAAATTCTAACTCAGAACGCAGGTATATAAAATAGCTTACAGTGGAGCTGATTTGGAAGAAGCAGGTGACAGGGGCCCAGAGCCCTCACCTCTGAGACCTCCTGGTTGGTGGAGAGACAGAGGCTCTAAGTATTCCTAGGATGGGGAGGGGTGGGGAGAAACAAGGCCATGTGCTTTAGTCCAGAGAGACCCAAAGTGGAGTGACCTCCATTCCTGGCTGCTACACCTCGGCTGAGTTATGGAACCATCTATATGGATGTCAGGGGAGGAAGGAGGTGGATTCCTGGGTGTGGCTGTGGCACAAGTTCTGAGTGTGGCCACTGGAGGCAAGTTTTCAACTTGTCCCTCTTCATCCTCACGGTCTGGGGAAGGGAAAAAGGCAATTGGGCCCAGGCTGACAGCTTGATCAGAGCCTGGTGCCCAGCAGAGGCCTGACATCACAGGCCTTCAATAAATGCTTATGGAATGAAGGCATATTTTTCCCTTCTAACTTTTGGGGATGATACAGGAGGCCTGACTCCTGGGAGCAAGTGAAACTGTCCCAGGGGCTGCCCCTTCTCAGTGAGGTTCCAGTGACCCATCGCTGTGGCTCAGTTGGTGTGGGGTAATAGGAGAATACCCGGCTAAAAATCAGAGGCTTGGTTGGCTTCTGCCTCCAGTTGCCAGGAACCTGCCGTGTGCCCTTGATGGGTGGTGTTCCTTCTCTGGGCTTTGGTCATCTCTTTTTGGCACAGTGGACTGGATGAGGTTTTTTAAACTGCAGTTTGCAACCCATTTGGGACATTAAAAAAAACCAGTTCAGTGGGTTACAATCAGCATTAAAGCAACAACAAGAACACAACTGAAATAGAATAGAAAATATCAGCATGCATCAAAGGTCATAAAAGTAAGTATTGTTTGGTGATCTATTGTTTTGCTTATATATAGACGAAGGTGTGGACTGGTCTGCTGTAAAACTTGTTACTGTTTGCCATGGTGAAAAAACAAAACAAAACTGTAAAACACGGTACTTAGCGATCCTGGAGGTGTCCTTCCCTCCCACATCGTTCCTGGGGGTCTTCGTAAAACAAACAAACAAACAAACAAACAAAACAACAACAACAACAAAAAAACCACTGCCTGGGGCTCTTCTCCTCCCAGGGTCAGCAGCTGTCTCTTTGCTTTTAGCTGTCTCCACCCCTCCCCTAGCCTCTCTTCTTCCTGCTTCAGTCACCGAGTCCCCTCCTCCCTCTCTCCCAGGGACAAACGCCCCCCCACAACTCAGGAAGTGGGGTTGGGGGGTCCGAAGGGAGCAAAAGTGATCGGATGGCGGTGGCAATGGGCACCCTATCTTAGGCGTTCAAATAAAGGACTAGGAAGCAAACACCCAAGCACCGGGGAACAGAACAGAAAGTAAGCGAGCCCGGGACGCGAATTTGAGGGCAGGACTTCGGGAGCCAGAGCCTGGCGGCGCTGCCGCAGCGGGTCACTCCCAGGGGGCCGGCACCCAGACTTGGCATCGTTAGCGCTTGGGTGCTCTGTCAACTAGCGAAGGTAATTTTCATCCCTGCTTTTTTTTTTTTTTTGAAAGGAAAGACGGAAGGAGCCAAGAGTTTTGGAGCCAACTCCTGGAGAGGGAGCGGCTGAACTGATTCGGAAGTTGGATCTCTTTGTACACAGGAATGCGGAGAGAAAAAAAACAAAACCCACCCCATTGCTTCATTTCCCCTCCAAGCCTGAGCACTTTCTATTGTGCAATGAAAAGGCTTTTCACGTTGAGAAAAATGAATCCCGAATTTGCTCTGCAAAGGGATGAGCGCGCCTCTGGGCGCCAGCCTGCTCTCAGCTGGGCGCGGAGACCGCGCGGTGGCCGCAGGGCGGCCGCGGCCAGGGCGCTCCAGGGCGCGCCCTCCGCGAGCGGCTCCGGGGTGACGCCCGCCGGAGAGCTGGACTCCCCCTTCCGCGGGCGCCTGCACTGGCTCTTAGCCAGCCGAGGGCCCGGGTGCAGATAGTCCGGGAACCCCGAGGGCGGAGAGCTCCCCACTACGCCTGGGCCTCCCAGGGATGGCAGCTCCGAGAGCCCCCTAGACCCGGTGCCTTGCAGGACGCCTCTGGAGATCAGGAGGGCTGGCGGCGCATTCGGCGTCCGGGAGGCCGGGCCCCGGACGCGCGAGGAGCGCGGGGCGCGGGAAGGCAGGCGGGTGCACATGGGTGCCGGCGGGCGAGCTGCGGGGGGAGGGGGGGCGGGGTGTGGCCTCCCCGCCTCCCGGGCGGGATTTGCATGTGTGTGGTGGCCCCAGACTTCCTGCTCCTTCTACGCTGCAGGTACGCGCGGGCCGGGCGGGGCGGGCGGGCGGCGGGCGCGCCAAGACGTGGGCACCTCCTCACCCGGACCCCGGGCCCCGCCGAGCCGCCTCCTGGCTCCCGTGGCCGCCAGCCCGCCCCGGCCGCACCGAGCGTCGGGATCCGAGGTGGGAGCGTACCCCTCCCCGCTCCCCGGACGCCTCAGTCCTCCGCACTGAGCTTGGCCACGCGCCCCTAGGCGCCCCCCACGCCCTGGGCCCCGGAGGGCCGCAGCCATGAGTGAAATGTCCAGCTTTCTTCACATCGGGGACATCGTCTCCCTGTACGCCGAGGGCTCCGTCAATGGCTTCATCAGCACTTTGGGGTGAGTGAGCCGAGCTCGAGAGGGGCGCGGGTAAAGAGGGGGCGCCGTGGGCCCTGGTGCCAGCTGCGTGCGTCCAGCCGCCGCCCCCCGATAGAGGCCTGGACGTCCCCCTAGTCTCAAGGAGCGGGAACGGCTCGCCTCCTTCTTTTACAGAAAGGAAGTGAAGTGTTTGCTCAGGTAGGACTCGGGCTCCCTACTGGAGTTGGCAGGAGGAGCCTCCCTCGGCGGCGCAGCCTCTACCCTCCCGCGCACGCCTTTGGAGGGGGCGGAGGGACGGAGGCTTCCTTTGCAGGTGGTCCCGGGGGCGGGCAGGTGGGTGGCTGGAGGCTGAGTTGGGGAAGGGCAGCCGGGCCGAGACGTGCCCGGCTCTGAGGGTAGGGCGGAGCTGTCGGGAGTGGGCAGGCTCAGCTTGGAGCCCGTAATCCTCTATTACCGATCCCGTGGTGCCTTTGAGGGGTCGCACCTTCTCCTCACAGCTCTCTCCCTGTTCTTCCCAGCTTCAGTAGGAGTGTCTTCTCAGCCCTCCCCTTCCAGGCTTCAAGGTCCTGGCCAGCTGCCCCTTCTCCCCGCCTCTCCCATTCAATTTCCTGCGCCGGTCATCTGGCGCCCTTGGGTCCTTGGTTCTAGCTTCTCTCCAGCACTTCACAAACATTAATTAATTCTGGCCGCCACCTCCCAGGGTCTGGGCTGGATGAACAGGGAATCAGTTCACGTCCCTGGAGAGGGCCAGGCCTGTAGCAGGGAGAGGGCAGGAGAGAAATTAGGTAGAGAGGATGGGTTTATCTTCAGAGGAGCAGCTGGATGTGATTCGCTGGATGGGAGCGTAGGTGGTTTCTCCAGCCAGACCCCAGGGCAGGGTCGGCTATCTTTGTCCCGTTTACAGTCTGGGGGCCTGGGTTAAATTGTCTCATCCTCCCAACCACACATGGCTGTCCTCTAGGGTACACCCACCCTCCTCTGCTGATCCACTGAGTGGGACCAGCCAGCCGCGTGGTGCCTTCTTTCTGATGGCCTTGGAGGACAACCTGGCACCCTCAGCTCAGGACTGATGCTGGACAGGGCCCGGCTCACCCCAAGCCTGGGAGGTGAGGGGTCACTGGTCTCTCCCAGGGTTGCTGGGAGTTTAGCTTTCATCTTGGTGTAAAGGGAATGGATTGTGGGATTGGAGGGCTGGCTCTGCCAAGCAGGGAGTTCTCACCTGGCATTCCAGCCTGCCCTGCTCGCCTTCTCGCAGAACCATCCAGGTCCCTCCTGGTGCCCTCCCCTTCACACGTGGAATCCCTGCCTATTTGTCCCCACTTCCACTAGATCTAACTTCTTCCCAGCTCCCTAGAGGATGGGGGTGGAGCCACATCTGGGCCAGCATTTGTGCAGGCCTCCTCCAGAGAGCAGTGACTAGGCCCTGGCTGCCCTGAGGCCAGGGCTGCCCACAGTAGGTACAGAGTAAACACCTCTGATAAAGCTGAGGGAAGGAGGAGAGGGTGTGGGGACTGGGAGGGACATAGGGATCTATCGTGGAAGTCCCCTCCTAGTGTCTGAAGAGCACCAGGGACTTTTGGGAAATGACCACCTCTGTTGCTTAGTGCCTGGCTTGGGGCTGAACACATGATGATTTTCAAGTGCCTGTGAGTTTTGTTTTTTTTTTTTTTTTTTAAGACAAGGTCTCACTTTCTCACTCAGGCTAGAATGCAGTGATGCAATCTTGGCTTACTGCAGCCTCGACCTCTGGGGTTCAAGCAATCCTCCTGCCTCAGCTCCCAAAACTAGCTGGGACTACAGGCACATCACCACACCCGGCTAATTTTTGTATTTTTTTTGTAGAGACTGGGTTTCACCATGTTGCCCAGGCTGGTCTCTAACTCCTGAGCTCAAGCAATCCGCCCACCCCAGCCTTCCAAAGTGCGTGAACCACCGTGCCCTGCCTAGCACCTGTGAGATTTAACAAGATCAGGGAAAACATCTTATTGCTTCTTCCCCTGCCCTTGTGCAGGCCTCACTCCCTCACAAAGGATTCCCTCTGTTGCCTCCAAAACTTCCTCCCAGCTTGGCCCTTCCTGCCCCAGGAACTGCTTCCTCCAGTCCACCTTGATCCTGGGGCAGATCCTGGTGACCTCTAGAAAGCCCTTCTACGCCGGGGTACCCCCTCCCTCTGCAAACACCTCCAACATCTCCTGATGTTCCACCAGCGGATGTCCACCCTCCTAGCATGGCTTTCTAGCATCGGCCTGTGCAGGTCTGCATCATAATTTTCTGGGGCTTTTTCACCTTCCCATACCTGGAACTCCAGGTGCACCACACGACTGCAACCTGTCCCGCGCTCTCAGTCTCTTTACCTTTGCTCTTGGGTTGTTCCCGCCCTTTAGCAAGCAAGTCTCCACCTGGGTAAATCTGTCCCACCCTCTAAGGCTTAATGCAAAGTGGCCTCTTTTGAGAAATCCAGCTTCCCCAACCCCTAGGGCAGAATTAACCCTTCGTCCTCTATGCTTTTGAACTGCTTTGTACAAACCACTCTCTGGTGTTCCTCACATTGGAGGCTTCCCTGTAGGCCCATCTAATGCTGGGCACCTTGCCAGGATTAACACCATTCATATATTTAGCAGGTCTACAGGCACTGTACTGGGTGCTGGGGACTTGGTGGTGATTAAGGGAGCTGTGCTTCCTGCTTCCTTGGAAGTTAAGAGTCAAAGAAGGAATGATTTGTAAGTGCTGTAAGTAATCAGTCCAGCAGCTTCAGCGTCACCAGGAAGTTTGTCAGAAATGCAGAATCTCAGACCCCGTGCCCGTCCTACTGAATGAGAATCTGCATTTTATTAAGATCCCCAGGGGACTGGTGCATTAAAGTGTGAGGAGCGTTGCTCTGAGTGATTTTCTCTCTGCCCCATCCTCCTCAGAATCCTTCTGCCTCCTTTCTGAACTCTGGTCCCCTCTGCTTTTCCCGAGGCTGTTGGTGCCCATGTCTGTGAACCCATAGGCTGATTTGACTGAATTCCTGGGCTAACCCAGTGCCCAGTGTGTGGGCCCCAGGAGGTACCCAGTAAGGGCTGGATAAAAATGAATGTGTTGAAGGCAGGGGTGGCCTTGGTGGGCAGATGGGCCAGGTCACCTGGGAGATGGGAAGGGGGCATTAGTTGGGGAGGGAGGCAGAGGCAGCATTCAGATTCTGGCCAGAGCTCTTCAGTGCAAAGTGGACGAGGCCAATTAGAGCCTCCTGGAGAATTAGAGGTCCTAGTGAAGATTGTACATTAACTCTAGGTGGGAAGGATGGGAGGGATCTGGGTAGTGGATCCAGGAGCGGTTGAGACTGCCAGCCGGCCAGCAAGGGAAAGCAGGCCCACGCCTGTTCTTGGCAGGAGAGCAAGGCCAATGCCACTGCTTTATCCCTTACCCTAGGTGGGAGCAGCAGAGGCCAGGGATGGAGTAGCTGATTAGGGCCAACAAAAAGTGGAGGATTGAATGTGGCCTCAGGCCAGTGGCTAGGGAGAACTGGCCTTGGGTACACAGGGTGGACCCATCAGGATCTCAAGTCATCTCTTGAAGATCTCTTTTTTTTTTTTTGAGACAGAGTTTCACTCTTGTTGCCCAGGCTGGAGTACAATGGGGCGATCTTAGTTCACTGCAACCTCAGCCTCCTGGGTTCAAGCGATTCTTCTGCCTCAGCCTCCCGAGTAGCTGGGATTACAGGCATGTGCCTCCACACCCAGCTAATTTTGTATTTTTAGTAGAGACTGGGTTTCTCCATGTTGGTCAGGCTGGTCTCAAACTCCCGACCTCAGATGATCCGCCTGCCTCGGCCTCCCAAAGTGTTGGGATTACAGCCGCGAGCCACTGTGCCTGGCGAAGATCTCTTATGAGTACCCAGAGAGGTAGCCCCAGACCCACAGAAAGTAAACTGGGGGAGTGCAGGTGAACTGGGTCTTGGAGCTGAGCTTTCAACATTTGTCAAAGTGCCTCTGCCCACCCATGGCTCAGCCTTGGAGCCTATTTGGAGCTCTCAGGGCCTCTGGACCTGGATCACCCAGGGCTGGGTAATCATAGTGAGTAGGAGATGCTGCCTCTTACCCATGGGATTCTCTGTCTACCTGCCAGCCTGACCTGCTTCCCTGGAGGTCAGGACCCAAGAAGTATGGGGGTGAATATAGACGAAGCCCCAGGTCTCCAGGCTCAGGATCCCTAGGTCGGAAACCTCAGAGGCATAGCTCTCAGGAAGGGTGTCTGTCTCATGTTCCATCACCAACTTGTTGGGTGGTTTCTGTTTTGTTTTGTTTGAAATGGGGTCTTTGTCACCCAGGCTGGAATGCAGTAGTGTGATCTGGGTTCACTGCAGCCTTAATCTCCCAGGCTCAAGCAATCCTTACAACTCAGCCGCCCGAGTAGCTGGGACTACAGGCGTGTGCTACCGCATCTGGCTAGTTTTTGTATTTTTTATAGAGATGGGGTCTCCCCTTGCTGCCCAAGCTAATCTAAAACTCCTGGGCTCAAGTGATCCTCCCTCCTCTGCCTCCCAAAGTGCTGGGATTACAGGCATGAGCCGCCGTGCCTGGCCGTTGCTGGATGCTTTGAACAAGGCCCTGCCTTCTCAGAGTGAGTTTCCGTCAGCCTGCATTATCCTCTATGGTGCTCTGGCTGTACCTGAGAATCACCTGGGGATTAAAAAAAAAATTTCAGCTCCCAAGTCCCATGCCAGACCAACTGAATCACCATCTCTAGGGCTAAGGTCTGGGTGTTAGATTTTTAAAAAGTTCTCCAGGTGGTTTTAATGAGTACCTGGGGCCGGGATCCCTGATCTGGGGGCCCTCCCAGGCTGACAGGCTGTGAGGAAGCCTGCCTGCTAGGTCTACCTGCCCCTCAGCCCAGAAGGCCCATCTCTTTGCCCTCATCAGACTTCATAATGTCATTCAACAAACATTTATTAGGCATCTACCATGTGCTAGGCAAGGCACTGTTTTAGGCACTGCAGAATCAGTGGTACCCAAGGCACAGGTCCAGCTTGTTCCGTTCTGTGCAGTGGGGCCCTTTGAGCCTTAAGTCTGAGACACATGTAATTCCAGGAGCAGGGGACTGCCTTTCCCTCGCTGATAGCATTCCCTGGGTGGATTTCAGACCTGTCTTGGCTTTCTTTCTTTTATTTTTTTGGAGAGAGTTTTGCTCTTGTTTTCCAGGCTGGAGTACAATGGCACAATCTCAGCTCACCACAACCTTCGCCTCCCAGGTTCAAGCGATTCTCCTGCCTCAGCCTCCCGAGTAGCTGGGATTACAGGCATGTGCCACCACGCCCGGCTAATTTTTTTGTATTTTTAGTAGAGATGGGGTTTCTCCATGTTGGTCAAGCTGGTCTTGAACTGCTGACCTCAGGTGATCTGCCTGCCTCGGCTTCCCAAAGTGCTGGGATTACAGGCATGAGCCACTGTACCCGGCTTGGCTTTCATTTAATTGTGATTTCATTGGAAGAAGATGTTAGACTTCTGTTCTGTACCTCAAGGCAGATTCTTGGTCTTAGCCTAATCCATGCAACTCATTTTTTGAAAATATATATATTTTTTCAGATTAAAAAAAAATATACATTCCATGGAGAAAATGTGAAAAACTCAAAAAAATGATCTGTAATACCACTATGGCTTACATGAACATTCCCTATGACCTTCTAGCCTTTTATATTCATAAATGAACATTTACAAACAATATCAAACTGCACGTATGGCTTTGTACCCTGTCCTTTTTTGCATATATATAGTGAGCTGTATTTTCCCATGCCAACACACCATTGTTATGGCTGCACAGCCATGGTATGCTGTACCTTAATTTATTTAAGCAACTCTAGTATTCAACATTCAGGCTCTTTGTAAATTTTTGCTGTTAAGAACAATTTGCCCTGAACATCCTAGTGCATGCATGCCTGAACACTTGTCTAGTTATAGTTATCCTCTCAGGTAATACGTTCCCAGAAATGGAGATCAAAGACAAGGTACACCTTTAACTCTTAGGCTGTCTAACTTTTTGTGTTTCTGTGGTGGTGGAGGGGTATAGGAACAGAACTTGGTGCCACAGAGGGTCAGACATGATTCATGTCATGTGTGAGTGTTGCACTAGCATGTGGGGAGTAAGACCAGCCTCTGCCCTCAAGGTTAGGTACTAGGCACTTCCCAGGCAGTGCGAGGATGTGATGGAGAAGGGATGAAGTGGAGAGGGGGTGGCGCGGGGTTGGCTCAGCCTAGAACCAGTGCCACACATCCACCTTGAGACTCCAGGGTCTCAGGCTGCATCCAACTGCTCGGCCTGAATCCTGCCGGCCTGAAAGAATCCTGCTGGAGCCACTTGATTACACTCTGCCCTGCCCTACATTCCTGACCCCATATCCCCTCCCTAGCTTGGCCCACTGGGGCGGTGGCTTGGGTTGGGGGTGGGGACACATGCTGAGTTTTAGGGTGGGGCCACACCAGCTTTCTGTTTTCAGCTTAGGGGGAGGTTTCTGGGTTTGGATGACCTCTGCACACATGCCTGGAGTCCCTGCATGTCCACCCCCAGCCCTGCTCTCTAGACTTCACCCCATGTGGGGCTGGGACACCCCTCTCTGGGAGTGAGGGCTGTGTGAGTGGAAGGGAAGAAACCTGGGGTGGGGGAAGGAGGAAAGCAGAACGCAGATCTCTACTAAGTTCATCACAGGCCTCTGAATGTGAGCTCTGAGCCCCCTGGGTATGTCAGGCTGGTCATGCGAAAGGTGCCAGTGACACCCAGCATTTGTACCTGCAGTCACAATTCCCTGCAGTCAGGACACCTGGCTTGGAGAGCTTGGGGTCACGCAGCAGGGGACTGAGAAGAGAAGTTTGTAGGGCCTTTCAGGCTAGGGACTGTGAGAGAAATCGTGGGTGCAGAAATGAGGCTGGGCGTTCACAACACAGTGAGTCCAGGGTGTGGGCTGGGGATGGAACTGGGTGGAGCCACATGCCACATTACAGAGGGATTTCCACTTGGGGAGACAGTCAGGAGAGACTCATTGCAGAGGCTTCAGTGAGGGAGTAAAATGGCCAGAGTGCTATGTTTTTTTGGTCAGCAGGTGGGCAGAGCCGGAAGGGGCTGTCAACACAAATCTCAGTCCAGGAGCAGCTGCAGGTGCTTGAGGCAGACACCTGTGCATATTTGGTTAGCAAATTGCTCTCCCCATCGCTCAGCCAGCCAGCCCGCCAGCCAGCCAGCCATTAGCCCTTCCTGCACAGTGCAGGAGAGCCCTCTTCTCCAGTATGAGTCTAGAAATAGATGATGGGGGTGATATAGGTAATGGGAGGGAAAATTAAGTCTGTGTCTCAAAGATGATGATGATGATGGCAGTGGGTAGACTTTACAGATCACTTACATTGGGTGGCCCTGGCCTTTACCTATGCTCTCACAGCCTGAGGCATAAATACAATTCAGGAAAAGTAGTGGGAAGCATTTAGAACACCAATTTGCTTACCACCTAGACTTAATCATTGTTTACAGTGGTCACATTTGATATTTGTATTTTTTGCTGAAGTATTTTATGATAAATTACATACATTGCATCTTTTTCACCTCTAAATATTTTATTATACATCCCTATGTAACTACAGTGTTGTGATCACACCAATTAATAGTTTCCTAATAGCATTCAGGGCCCAATCCATAGTCAGATGTGCCCATTGTCCTCAGTGGTGTGATCAGAGTTCACTGTAACCTCGAACTCCTGAGCTCAAGCAATCCTCCTGTCTTGGCCTCCCAAAGTGCTGGGATTACAGCCACTGGGCCCAGGTTGTCTGTGTTTGACCGACCATTGGTTTCTTTTTTTTTTTTTTTGAGATGGAGTTTCCCTCTTGTAGCCCAGGCTAGAGTGCAATGGTGCAATCTCGGCTCACTGCAGCCTCTGCCTCCCGGGTTCGAGTGATTCTCCTGCCTCAGCCTCCAGAGTAGCTGGGATTACCAGTGCCAGCCACCACGCCCAGCTAATTTTTGTATTTTTAGTAGAGACGGGTTTCACCATGTTGGGCAGGCTGGTCTTGAACTCCTAACCTCAGGTGATCTGCCCGCCTCAGCCTCCCAAAGTGTTGGGATTACAGGCGTGAGCCACCACGCCGGGCCTGACCATTGGTTTCTTTAAATCAGGATCCTAGGCCAGGCGCAGTGGCTCATGCCTGTAATCCCAGCTCTTTGGGAGGCTGAGGCAGGCGGATCACGAGGTCAAGAGATCAAGACCATCCTGGCCAACGTGGTGAAACTCCGTCTCTACTAAAAATACAAGAATTAGCTGGGCATCGTGGCACATGCCTGTGGTCCCAGCTACTCGGGAGGCTGAGGCAGGAGAATCACTTGAACCCGGGAGGTGGGGGTTGCAGTGAGCTGAGATCGTGCCACTGCACTCCAGCCTGGCAACAGAGTGAGACTCCGTCAAAAAAAAAGAAAAACCATCGAGATCCTGTCAAGGTACTCGTGTTACATTTTCTTATGCCTCTTCAGTTTCCTTTAATCTAAAACAGCGCCCCGCCCTCATCTCCTTTTCCACCATGAACACTGAGTTTCTGGCAAGGCGGGGTTGTGGTGTAGGCTGCTTCACTTTCTGGATTGATTTGTCAGGGCTGCCTTTGTTGCTTTGTTTCCCAGAGAGCTCTGCGGAGGTTTGGAGCCAGGGCGAGTTGGCCTGAGGGTCTGCCCTGCTGAGGGTCCTACAGCCTCAGTTACTCTGTCAAGTGAGAAAGACTGAGAGAGTCCAGTTCTGGGTTATGGAGAGTGGGAGACAAGCCTGGGGCTGGCAGGCCAAATATATGAGGCAAGGGCTGGCTGGCGGCCCATGGTTGCACCTTTTCTCCCTCTCTTCCCAGCTTTCCCTTTGGTCTCCTGCTCCCTGTCTTTCTTCTCCTTGGCCTTACAGATATGTCCTCCCATGCACCCAGCACCGCTGTAGAGACCCCAGGACTTGTCAGACAGCCCGCCTGACCCTGACAGCCAGAAACCCAGGCCTGTGGCAGAGGCAGGGTGGCACACTGGCCCCGACCTTTATTTCTACTGGGCCAAGTTTAGTTGTTCTTGCTATCTCCATTCTTCCTGGAGAGACTATTTGGGTTCTCTGCGTGTGCGGCTTATTGTCCTTTCTAGACTTTAAGCTTTCTGAAGGCTTTAGCTGTACTTGTTTTAAAATTCTATATATTCCATATACTGTCTGGCCCCCCGTTGGTTGGCACAGGGTGGATTCTTGGTAAAGATATGTAGAGGTAAAGGAAATGGTTGCTTTTGCAGGGATGCAGGAGTTAATTTCTTTTCTCTGATGAGCCAGGAGCCCCAACCAGTGAATCTGGGTTTCTCTCTTAACATTCCGCCTAGTAGGTGTGACTTTGGCTATCTGGAGAAAGGGCCCCCCAGGCTTCCCACCCACCACCAGCCCATCCCAGTGTTCTGACAGTGCCTGCTGTTGGAGTGGCCTCCTTGGGGCTGGCCTGCATCTGTGGAGTGGTGGCCAGTTGTAGGGTCTAGCCCTACGGGGCTTAGTGGGTGTTCTCCCCATGTGCGGAGATGAGAGATTGTAATAAATAAAAGCACAAGACAAAGAGATAAAGAAAAAACACCTGGGCCGGGGTGACCACTACCATCAAGACGCGGAGACCAGTAGTGGCCCTGAACGGCTGGGGTCACTGATATTTATTGCATACAAGACAAGGGGGCAGGGTAAGGAGGGTGAATCTTCTAAGTGATTGACAAGGTGAAGCAAGTCATGTGATTACAGGATAGGCGGCCCTTCCCTTTTAGGTAGCCGAAGCAGAGAGGGAAGGCAGCATATGTCAGCGTTTTCTTCTCTGCACTTGTAAGAAAGATCGAAGACTTTAAGACTTTCACTATTTCTTCTACCGCTATCTACTGCGCTCTTCAAAGAGGAACCAGGAGTACGGGAGGAGCATGAAAGTGGACAAGGAGTGGGACCATTGAAGCACAGCACCACAGGGAAGGGTTTAAGCCTCCGGATGACTGCGCGCAGGCCTGGATAATATCCAGCCTTCCACAAGAAGCTGGTGGAGCAGAGTGTTCCCCAACTCTTCCAAGGAAAGGAGACTCCCTTTCGCGGTCTGCTAATTAACGGGTGCATTCCCAGACACTGGCGTTACCACTTGACCAAGGAGCCCTCAAGCGGCCCTTATGTGGGCGTGACAGAGGGCTCACCTCTTGCCTTCCAGGTCACTTCTCACAATGTCCCTTCAGCACCTGACCCTATACCCACCGGTTATTCCTAGGTTATATTAGTAATGCAACAAAGAGTAATATTAAAAGCTAAAGATTAATAGTGATTGCTAATTGTCCATGATCATCTCTATATCTAATTTGTATTATGACTATTCTTATTCTATTTTTTTTATTATACTGAAACAGTTTGTGCCTTCAGTCTCTTGCCTTGGCACCTGGGTAATCCTCCACCCACAGCCAGTGTCTGGGGCTGGGAGCCAGAAGACCTGGGATCTGGAACTTGCTGTTCCATTAACTTGTGTGACCTGGGCGGGTCAGTTTCTCCTCCATGCCCCAGGGACAGTTTTCTCATCCACAGCTGAATGGGGGTGGGGGGAGGGTTGTTCAGGGTCCCTCGGGGATTTCCCCAGTCTGTCATTCCCCCAGTCTGTCATTCCCCCTCCCATGGTGCTCTGATGGTGGCCAAGGTGGTAGGTTTTGAGTCAGGCTCCTTGATAGTCACCTGCCCCACTTCTATCTAGCTCCCTTCCTCCTCCTTATCTAATCTTTCCAGACAGCACTGACCCACCCTGCTACCTTTCCCATGGCGCCCACCTGGATCTCAAAGTCCACGCAGGGTGGAATGGGGCAGAATGGGATGCAGCTGTCTTCCTCTCCTACCTCAGATCAAGGTCTTGGGGTGTAGACCCCGTGGGCATTTCAGGGACTGTGCCCTCCTGCAACCCTAGAACAAGCTGTCAACCAGCTCCTCTCCAGAGGGCCCAGAACAGCCCTGCCTGCCCACAGGCCTCCAGCCAGGACCCTTTCCCTGTAGCCCCATCCTCCTGCTCCCTCTGCTGTTCAGACTGGTCTTGTGCCTCCCAGTGGATGGAAGGCGCACTGCAGGGACTGTTGTCCTCTGGGCTCCTGAGCCTCTGCTGGGCTGGTCCTGGAGGGGAGAAGGGGACACACAGGTGTAGACAGGGCTCCTGTCCTCGGCACTCAGCGTGGTCGCAGGAGATCCCAGAGGGTGGGGACCACACCCAGCACATAGTAGGCTCGTGGTGAGGTCTGTCGAGTAGATGGAGGCCTGGGTTGTGTCTGTGCCATTCTCTGACCAGCTGTGTGGCTCAGGGGTTCCATCCACTCTGTGGGCCTCACTCTGGACTGTGGTAAGAACACAATGAGATACTGGATGTAAAAACGATTGATAAACTATAGAGTCGCGCGATGGAGGGGCAGTTTTTTTGTGATCTTGGCTGGGGTACCACCGGCCTCTAGGTGAGGGGCGATGCCGGTGGTGGGCGTAGCGGGGCGTGGGCAGGGAACCACACGGGAGCCTCAGCTTGGCCTTGAGATGGCAGGAGTGGGATGGGGCGTCATCCTAGTAGAGGCTGGACAGTGAGAGATCGGTGGGCTGGTAAAGGGTGGGAACAGGTCTTTTCTGGGGCCCGTGGGTGGAGGGACCTTGTGGGGAGGCGTTGGCGAGAGGGGGGTGAAGCGAAGCGGCCACTTACCCCTGTAGAGCGCGGCTCTGGTTTCAGCGCCCGGTGCGCACTCAGCAGGGCACCTGTGGTCCGGCTAGTTTGATAAACACAGGTGCCCGCCATGAGGAAGAGTCGGGGTGGGGCGCTAAGGCCAGGGACGTCGGTGCCATCAGGTGGGGAGGGGTACCCCGGGGCCGCCCTCCGCGGGCAGACGAGCGGGGGAGAGCAGGAAAGCGCGGGCGCAGCGGCACATCACCCGCCCCGCCCCCGGGCGCGTCTGGCGGAGGCGCGGCGTCCTGGCAGCGGCCGGCAGTCGGAGGCAGGCCGGGGCGAGGCCGCGCTGGCCCTCCCTTGGCGGCGGCGGCGCGTCGTGGGAGACGGCTGCACGTGGGACGGCGAGTTTCGCTTCGCCGCGGGGGCGGGGGCGGGGCCGGGGCCGGGGCCGGACGCCCGGAGCTCGCGGGCCGGGCCAGGCTGGGGGCGGGGCGGGCGCGGGGCGGGCGCGGGGCGGGGCCGGGCCGGGCCGGGGCGGGGCCAGGGAGGCCAGACCTACGCTCTCCGGAGCCGCGCGGACCCAGAACCGCTCCCACCACGCAGCGATGGGGAGGTCGCGGCCTCGCCCGGTGAGGCTCCCTCTCCATGCAAACTTGCCTAACTTGTGTCCCGGCCCTCGGCCCTCCCTCTGGCCCCAGGTCTCCCGACAGGCCATCTGATAAGAGCTTTCTTGCTTATCTGTTAATGACTTCACGCGACGCTCCCTCCCGTCCCCTCCTGCTCCCCTGTCGCCAGAGATCACCTTCATGGGATCCCTTAGGCCTAATGAGTACGCACAGAGACACGGGTGAGGGGAGCTTGGGGGCACGGTGGGACCCTGCAAACATCTGCCCAGGGCCACCTTCTTTATCTACACACACCAGGTGGGGGCTGCGCTCAACTTCTGGAGAATAAAACAAGGAAGGCAAGGTGGCAAGGTGCCACCTCTTGGAGGTTCTTGGGGGACACAGAATGGAGCTTAGCATTCCCAGATGATGCCTGTTTTGCTGGTCCTGGCGGACCCGGGAGAAAATGCCCAAGGTCCCATCTCCTGCCTCCCAAGTCCTCACTCCTGACCGACCCTCCCTGCTTTCCGTAGCCCTGCCCAGGGCTTGCTTCTCTGCTCCAGTCCCTTCCACAGACCGTTGTCGTCTGCTCAGCTGCACATCTGGGATGTTTTCCTTCCCAGCCTTGTTTGAATTCCCCTCCGGAATCCGTGCTCCCCTTCTGACCGGTCCCTCCCTTCTCTAAGTGGCTTCTGTTTGCACTCCTTGCTTTGTGGACTGCTGGGCACTGGCATGGGGAGGGGCTGAGCTGGAGAGGCGGGGCTTCAGAAGCTGTGCCAGCGTGGGCTCGGACAAATGGACATCCACCTAATGACCAGGTGGGCTTGTCCAGAGGGGTGAGGAAAAACGCTTTGGCCCCCAAATTTGCATGTCTTTCCTGCATGTGTGACCCAGACAAGGAGTTCCCAGGAGAGGCGTGGAGGGGTCAGGGATGAGGATGAGTTTTTTCCTCAGACAGGGACCCTCTGAGGAGGGGGACTCTGCGGCCTCTTCCTCTTTCCCCCGCTACAAGGCCCTGTGTACCGGTCAAGATGGGGGCTGTGGGGACTGCCGCCAGCCTCTCTTCAGCTGCACAACCTCCATGCTGCCCTGCGGCTCCATCACCCCAGTCAATGCTTTCTTTCTCTCGCCATCAAAATTCATCCATCCTGTGTCCCCTCCCTTCAGGGCTTTGCTAAGAGACAACCAGCTAATCTGATTCACTAATATCTTACAGGAAATTCTATGAATTATTCAAGGCTCTGAGCAGTTCCTGCTTCTCCCACACCTTCTCTGATTGGCCAAGCAGTGACCTCTCCCTTCCCTGAATTCGGACGAAACCCACGGCTGGTACCACCAGTCGGCTCTGATACATATTCTTTATATTATTTATCTTCTGAGTATGTGATTTGTCTTCCCAATGAGATTTTAAACTACCTGAGGCGGGGACCTTGTCTTTTGCTTCTTGTGTACTTTACTGCACAGCTAGTAAAATGAATTAATTAACTCAGTATGTATTTTGTGTGTCCCCTCTCTGCACCAGACAGTGGTTTGGGTGCTGAGGATACGGCAGGGAGCAAAACAGACACGTCTGTGCCCTCACGGCACTTAACATTCCATGGGGTCAGGCTAAGGGATAGTAAACAAAATAAGTAAACTAGCTAGCCAACCAGGTGGTGATAAAGGCTGTGGATAACAATTACACAGGGAGGTGCATACTGAGTGTGGCAGGAAGCAGTTTGCAATTTTTAATAAAAATGGGAGAGAGGGTCTCCAGTCTCCATGGGAACAGGCTTGTTTGAGCCCAGATCTGAAGGAGGTGAGGATCCTGGAGGTAGAGGGTTCTGGGCAGAGGAAGGAGCCAGTGCCCACTCCCCTGGGGGATTGAGGAGCCTGGAGGGGGCTCCAGGGCTGGAGCAGAGGGGTGAGGGGAAGGGGGATGGGGAGGAGATGCGATCAGAGATGTGAGGGGGTGGACCACGTGGGTCTTTCAGGCCATGTAAGTTCTTTGGTTTTATTCTGAGATGGGTGGTTCTGGTGAGTTCTGAGTGGAGTGCTGGCCTGATTTGACTTACCTTTTAAAGGGATCCCCTGGCCGGGTTCGGTGGCTCACGCCTGGAATCCCAGCACTTTGGGAGGCCGATGCAGGTGGATCACCTGAAGTCAGGAGATAGAGACCAGCCTGGCCAACGTGGTGAAACGCTGTCTCTACAAAAAAAAAAAAAAAAAAAAAAAAAAAAATTAGCTGGGCATGGTGGCAGGCACCTGTAATCCCAGCTACTTGGGAGGCTGAGGCAGGAGAATTGCTTGAACCTTGGAGGCAGAGGTTGCAGTGAGCCAAGATCATGCCACTGCACTCCAGCCCGGGTGA
The DNA here is from genome assembly GCF_000001405.40 of Homo sapiens. Classification (NCBI taxonomy): domain Eukaryota; kingdom Metazoa; phylum Chordata; class Mammalia; order Primates; family Hominidae; genus Homo; species Homo sapiens. The sequence continues at coordinate 33,636,283 of NC_000006.12, forward strand.
CAGAGTAAGACTCTGTCTCAAAAAAATAAAAAATTAAAGGGATCCCCCTGCTTCTGTGTGGGAAATAGGCTGAAGGGAGTGAAGGGGGAACCCAGGAGACCAGTGAGGAGGTAGTTACTGAAATCCAGGTGAGAGCTGGTGGGAGCCTGGACAATGTGGTGGTGAGAGTGACAAGAAGAGGTCCAATTCTGTACCTGACTGTGTATTTTGAAGATGCAGCCCACAGGATTTCCTGACAGGTTAGGTGTGAGGTGTGAGTGGAAGGGAGGAGCCAAGGATAGGTCCAAGGTTTTTGGACCAAGCAGTTGGAAGGATGGAGTTGCCATCGACTGAGATGGGGAGGACCTCTGGAGGAGCATGTTCCGGTGGGAGGCCAGGAGCTCAGCTTGCACAGGCTGAGTTTGCGATGTCTGTGGACACCCAAGCAGAGATGCCGAGTAGGCAGTTAGATCTCCGAGGCTGGAGTTCATGGGAGGTGAATGTGGGAGTTCTCAGTGAAGGTTTTGGAGGTGCTTTTAAGTTCATGAGTGTGGTCAAGATGCCCAACGACGTGAGTGCAGATGGAGAAGGGAAGAGGGCCAGGGACTAAGCAGGTGCTGGAGGCCGGGAGAGAAAAGGAGACAGAGGACCCTCTGCCGTCCCGTCATTCTGCAGTCCTGCACAGCGCCTGCTCTGACGCCGGGCTGCCTGGCTTCAAAACCTGGCTCTGTGGATTGTTTAACATCTCTATACCCTGGTTTCTCTGCCTGCAAAATGGAAATAACAAAGTAGAATTAGAAACTTAAATAACAATATATGAAAACATGAGGTAGTTCTCCAGTACTCTGGGGACACCACCTGGATGTCCTGCAGTTCAATTCAATTCTGACACTATCTGCCTGGAGTCAGTGTCAGATCCCACAGGTGGAAAGCTCAGTCCCCCAAGACTAACATCACCTCAGATGCCAGTTGCAAGTCCGGGCTTCTGGTGCTTCTGACCAAACAGCCATAAATCTGGGGTTCCCACAACTCCCTCTTTATGTTTAATAATTTGCTAGAATGGCTCACAGAACTCAGAAAACAGCCAGATGGAAGAGATTAATATGGAGCAGGAGATACAGAGCTTCCAGGCCCTCTCCAGGGGTGACCCCCTCCCAGTACCCACATGTGTTCACCAGCCCAGCTCTCTGAACCTGGTTTTTTGTTTGCTTGTTTGTTTGTTTTTTTAACGGAGTCCCGCTCTTTTGCCCAGGCTGGAGTGCAATGGCTCGATCTCAGCACACTGCAACCTCTGCCTCTAGGGTTCAAGCGATTCTCCTGCCTCAGCCTCCTGAGTAGCTGGGGTTAGAGGTGTGTGCCACTACACCCAGCGATTTTTTTTTTTTTAGACGGAGTTTTGCTCTGTTGCCCAGGCTGGAGTGCAGTGACTCGATCTCGGCTCACTGCAACTCTGCCTCCTGGGTTCAAGCGATTCTCTTGCCTCAGCCTCCCGAGTAGCTGGGGTTACAAGAGTGCGTGTGCCACCACACCCGGCTAATTTTTTCTTTCTTTCTTTTTTTTTTTTTTTAGTAGAGATGGAGATTCGCCATGTTGGCCAGGTTGGTCTCAAACTCCTGACCTCAGGTGATTAGCCTGCCTCGGCCTCCCAAAGTGCTAGGATTACAGGCGTGAGCCACTGGCGCCTGGCCCCTTTTGGGTTTTTACAGAGGCTGCCTTACCTAGGCACGTTTTTTGTTTTGTTTTGTTTTGTTTTGTTTTTGTTGAGATGAAGTCTTGCTCTTTCGCCCAGGCTGAAGTGCAGTGGCGTGATCTCGGCTCACCACAACCTCTGCCTCCTGGGTTCAAGCGATTCTTCTGCCTCAGCTTCCTGTGTAGCTGGGATTACAGGCGCGCACCGCCACGCCCAGCTAATTTTTGTATTTTTAGTAGAGATGAGGTTTCACCATGTTGGTCAGGCGGGTCTCGAACTCCTGACTTAATGATCCACCCGCCTCAGCCTCCCAAAGTGCAGGGATTACAGGCATGAGCCACCGCGTCCATCCACATAGGCATGATTGATTAAACCATTGGCCATTGGTGGTCAACCTAACCTTCAGCGGCTCTCTCCTTCCAGGAGGAGGTCGTGACGGAGGTGGGGCTGAAAATGGGAACCCTCAAATTACACGGTTATTCCCCGGCAGCCCCATCCTCAGGGGCTTTCCAAAAGTCACCTCATTAACATAAAACCAGGTGTGGTTGAAAGAGGCTTGGAATGAACAAAATTCATGCCATTTCATCTTTATTGCTTCCGATCTATTTCAGGAACTGCATACAAAAATCTAAACATTGTAACTCTTCTTGCCTTTATCACTTAGGAAGTTACAAGGGCTTTAAGAGCTCTGGCCAGGAGCCGGGATGAAGACCAAATATATATTTCTTATTATATCATTAACACTTTGCATTGTGCAAGGTGTTAATCATTACAAAGAAAACACACAGGGGCTCCGTTCTCAAGGAACTCACAGTGTAGACACAGCAAGTCAAGAAGTGGGGAGAGACACTGCCAGGACCAGGTGCCGGAACATGAAGGAGGGAGGCCCACAGGGGCTGGCCAAGGAAGGCTTTGTAGAGTAGGAAAGCAGAGCTGAGGGTGGAAGGATGGAGTTTTGCTAGGCCTGTGGCTTCATGGGGCCAGAGTGGAGTGAGTATTAAGGCACTGCAGGCTGCCAGGACTGCCTCTGGAGAGATGAGAGCTCCAGGGACCTTGGGATCAACTGGAGGTTTAGTAGAGTTGGGGCAAGGAAATAGTGAGGCTAGCTAGGGAGTAGGTAGAGGTCAGATCACAAAAGACCTTGTTAGACTGGGCGTGGTGACTCACACCTGTAATCCCAGCACTTTGGGAGGCTGAGGCAGGTGGATCACGAGGTCAGGAGTTTGAGACCAGCCTGGCCAAGATGGTGAAACCCAGTCTTTACTAAAAATACAAAAATTAGCCAGGCGTGGTGGCAGGTGCCTGTAATCCAAGCTACTCAGGAGGCTGAGGCAGGAGAATTGCTTGAACCCGGGGGGCAGAGGTTGCAGTGAGTCGAGATTGCGCCACTGCACTCCAGTCTGGTCGACAGAGTGAAACTCTGTCTCAAAAAAAAAAAAAAAAACAGAAAAGACCTTGTTAACCAACCCAGGGAGAGGAGGTACAGAAGGAGCACGGGCTTTGAAATCAGCTCTGTGGGTTTAGGCAAGTTATTTAATATTCAGATTCGGTTTTCTCCTCAGTAAAATGGCACTAAAAACAAGCCCCTTGCTGGCAAGTTGGTGAGAATTCAGAGGTAACAGGCATGGGGGTGTTAAGACAGAGTTGGCCTTTGACACGGTGGGTGATCAGCATCACTTTATCTTAGAGGCTGGAGTGGCATTGACAAATTTTAAATGCAGGAAGGGTGGCTGGATGGGTAGATGGGTGGATGGGTGGATGGATGGGTGCATGGGTGGGTGGATGAATAGATGGATGATTGGGGGCTGGGTAGATGGATGGGTGGAGGGATGAGTGGATGGGTGGATAGATGGATGGGTAAATGAATGCCCTCAAGAGATGCAAGATTAATGCCAGCATGGCTATAAGAGGGAAATTGTCCTAGGGTGAACCAAGGAGGAGACTATGAAATGAGGCCTGACTGAGACTGGGAAGGGGTGAGAATCATCATCCTTCCTTGGAGACCTAAAGACTCATGCCGCTAGTTTGGTGTCTCCTGTGCTTCTCTCATCTGTCTGTCTTTGGTCTCTCTCTGCTTCTGTTTCTTATGCTTTTTGTCTTTCTGACTCTCTGTCTCCCTCCCTTCCACTCCTCTATGCTTTTGTTTTTCTCCTCCTCTCCTGCCCCCTTCACCCACTGCCCATCCCATCAGGGCAGCAGGGTCTCAGGGCTGGGACAGGAGATACACCTGCAGCATGTGACAGGCCCGACTGGTGGCAGAGTCCCCCCAGGACAGCTGCAGCTCCAGTCAGGGGGCTGGGGTGGGCTGGGTGTGCTTCTGTGTTCTTCCTGGGGTTCTCCCCGCCCCCAAGAGACACCTTGCCTTTCAACGGTGGTGCCAGGAAAGAATGACTTGATGGTGGGGAGCTTGTTAGAGATGGAGGAATTATCTTAGGGGCTCACTGGTACCCTGGCATCCCCTGCTCTAAGGGAAGGGATACTGTGGGAGATAGGTCTCTTCTCTCCTGCTGACCGAGCTGCTTTGTTCCCCAGGCTGGTGGATGACCGCTGTGTGGTGGAGCCCGCGGCCGGGGACCTGGACAACCCCCCTAAGAAGTTCCGTGGTAAGACCTCCGCTTCCTCTGCCCCCGCCCCTCCCAGGCTGCAGGGTTCTGGACCTGCGACTGAATTTATTCAACTGCATTCAGCCCCAGTGGCTGGATTAGATGTGGCGCTGCCCTGCAGACCTCACTCTGCTGTCGGCGGAATCCCCCTTGGCTTGCACTGCTGCCATCTTGGCACAGACGTGCCATTCCCTTCATTTTCTGGGGCCACACCCCACTTCTCAGGGGCACACCCACTTCTGGCCAGGGGCCCATTCTCCCCCCAAAATCCCCACAGCCACAGGGCTTTCTTTGTCTGTGTGACTGGATGTTTTCTGAGGGAACGGGTGGAAAAGAGAATTGTCTTAGACTTTAGGAGGCCCTGGTGACAGCCCTTCCCTGTGCCTCAGTTCCTCATCTGCATGGTAAGAGATTTGGACCCCATGGTTTCCAGAACTCTTCTGACCCTGGCTGTGTCCTCAGCCCCCTCCTGTGTGTGAGTCCTGCCCTGCAGGAGGCTCTAATAACAAAGCCCCTTGGTGGGAAGTTGGTGAGAATTCACCTTGGGCAAGTGACTTCGTTCACGGGACCTTGTCCTGAGTGGTCAGTGGGCTCCTCGGGCCGCCCAGCAGGCTGAGGGCCTTTGTGGGGATTAAACAATATCCTGGCTGTCATTATGCCAAGCCAGGGTGAGGTGCTATTGTTGTGCTTACCTGTGAGGGCTGAGACCGACTGACAGTCAGACAGACAGGTCCTGGGCGTGTTGGGCAGGGTGGGAGCAGGCAGCAACACGCTGGGCCTGCTGCCACCAAGTCTGCCCGCGTGGCTGCTCCTCTGGGGAGAGCTTAGCTGGGATTGTCCTCGCGGGGGATGCTGGAAGGGGAGCGGGATTTAAGACAATCCGGCGGCATCCTTGGCTGGCTGGCTGGCGGCCGGGGTCCTTGCCCATCACTTGGAACCTGCAGAGGGGCCCCCTGTCTGCAATTCTGTTCCTGCTTCCATCACGGGGCTCTGAGTGAGGGTTTTGGCTGGTGGAGGTCTTAGGTGGGAACTGCCCTGGCCCTGGACGAACCGCACCACCATAAGGCCCCTTCACCCTACACCGTTGGCCCCTGCTGCCTCTCCACCTCATCCTCTCCCCCTTGCCCCCTCCCACTTCCCTGCAACCACACCAGCCTCCCTGCCATTCCTCACAGTCACCAGCAACACTCCCGCCTCCACATCTTTGCTGTTCCCTCTGCCCTGAACGTTCTTTCTCCAAATATCCACGCAGCCCAGATGCTCAGCAGCTTTAGGTCTCACATCTTCAGCGAGGCCTTCCCTGACCACTCAATACAAAATCGCACTGCTGGCCCCACCTCCCTTCCCTGCTTTCTTTTTCTCTGTAGCATGAATCTGCTGTGCTCAGTGTATTTTATTTATTTGTGTTTGCCATTTTTCTGCCCCACTAGAATGTCAGTTCCACCAGGGGAGGGATTTCTGTGTTTTTGTTGTTGTTGTTTGCTGTTTTACCTGCAGTGTCTGCCACACGGCAGATCCCCGAGCACATTTGAGTAATCAATGCATGCACAGGGCCCCTCCCCAGCGTCCTCTTGCCCTGCCCCTCACTCAGGCCTGGCTGCTCCATGTCCTGTTGTTGTGACCCACCCAGAATCTCCCCAGTGGAGCCCAGGCTCTGTGGGTTTAATGTGCTCACTTGGAGGCACAGGTCTGACCTCGCCTGTCCCAGTTCCCTGAAGGATGGACGGGTAGAGAAAGGAGGCCTGGGCCTCTCCTGGAGTCAGAAATGGGAGGGCGTTGAGGCTGCAGATGGAGGCTAGATTGCCATCTAGTAGGAGGATTTAGTCTAGTTCTTGGAAAGAACTTAGAGACAGAGAGAAAGAGAGAGAGAGGTGAGGGTCCCAAGGGTGGGCTCTGCCAGGACCGGAAGGGGAAGCTTTGCATGTGTGTCGAGGTGTGTGTGGGCAGCTGTGTGGTGTGACAGGCTGGTGACAGGGAGGTGGGTGTGACCGAGGAAGACTTGCCCTAAGCTTCTAGTGAACAGTTTGGGGCCAATTTTTGACAACAACAAAGCCACTTAGCAGAACAAATGCGCCTTTGACTTCTTGCCCTCCTCTGTCCTCATTGCGCCTTCCCTCTCCCTCCTCCCCCAGGCCCCTCATCTCATCTTCTCCATTTTCCCAAAGCCTGTGAATGAGGCCCACCCCAGGATACCTGGGCCACCCCGTGGTCCCATATCCTCGCTGGGTCCATCCAGCAAAGTGATGTGGAAGAGAAAGGTTCAGACTCCATCTCCTTCCCCCTCTTCTCTGCCCCAGCTCCTGGTTCCTTGATGTCTTGGTGAGGTGGGTAGAGGCCCCTCTGGACTCCCTATGGCCCTGTTGGGACCTGAGCAGAGCCAACCTTCTGGAACAGAGCCAGGCCTCCGTACACCCTTTGGCTGGCGAGTACAAGTTGGGGCATTAGAATGTGGGATGAGAGACATGGACTATAGCCTCTTCAGTTTTGACACTGGAGCCCAGAAAAGACAAAGATGGAGCTTGGCCTCAAGCCAGGAGTCCTGGCTTTCACTGTTTCCACTGGCCCTGGAGGGTGGGACCCAGCAAGGGGGTGGGGTTATGGCAGGCGTTTTAGAAGTTGGCTGGTGGTCATCAGAAATGGCCTTGTCCTGAAGACTCCCAGAAGTTCTGCCCCCCACCATCTTGGGGTGAGCCTGGCCATTGCTGGGACTCCCAGCTCCCTGCCCGGCTCCCTGCCAGCTCCCCTTTCACTTGCTGACCCTGGAGGCTGGACTCGCAAAGCCCCCACCACCCCCACCTCGGGAAGGAATCCCTGCATGGCTCCTTGCTTGTGGCTTCAGCTCCAGCCACCTTCGAAGCCACCCTAAGCCCCAACATGTTCAGGGAATTATTTCCAGAGCTGGCAAGGCCCTGGGAAGCCCAGGCTGCTGATGCCCTGCTATGTGTGGCACCCACGCTAGGCCAGCCCTTGAACTCTGCCTGGCTGTAACGTTTCGGGCTGTGGCTGCCGTGAGTCCCGAGCTGCTGACTGGGCTGAGCCTGGGGCACATTCCCTCTCCTAGCCCTTTTTCCTTCTTTTCCTCCTCCTGTTGGGGCAAGGGACCTGGGTAGCCCTTGTCTCCAGGTCTACCTCAGGGAAGCTCAGAGCCTGCACCCCCAGCCCCAGTGCCCCCAAGACATGTGTGTGGGGGCAGGTGCCAGGGAGGAGAGTGATGAGGTGACTGCCCTCCATTTGCATGACTGGATGCCCCCTTCCCTAGCCTACGCCTCCTCTACCTGTCCATGCTCCAAGCCCGGCTTATTGTTATTGTGATTAAGATATATTTCAAGTCTACACGATAGTAAAGAGAAAAATAGGGCTGGGCGCGGTGGCTCACGCCTGTAACTGCAGCACTTGGGAGGCCGAGGCAGTCAGGTCACGAGGTCCAGAGTTCGAGACCAGCCTAGCCAACATGGTGAAACCCTGTCTCTACTAAGAACACAAAAATTAGCCGGGCATGGTGGCATGTGCCTGTAATCCCAGCTACTTGGTAAGCAGAGGCAGAAGAATTGCTTGAACCCAAGAAGCAGAGTTTGCAGTGAGCTGAGATTGTGCCACTGCACTCCAAGCTGGGTGACAGAGCAAGACTCTGTCTCAGGGGAAAAAAAGAAAGAGAAAAGTGACACACACCCCATGCACCCACTGCTGAGCTTTGTCAAATCCTTTTTGCTACGTTTATTTCAGATCTTTTTACTTTTTTTTTTTTTTAAGTAGAGATGGGGTTTCACCTTGTTGTCCAGGCTGGTCTGGAACTCCTGACCTCAGGCAATCCGCCCGTCTCGGCCTTCCAAAGTGCTGGGATTACAGGCGTGAGCCACTGCGCCTGGCCCAGATCTTTTTACTTTTAAAGAATTAACATAGCTGTAGCCGAAGCCCCCTACATCTTCCTCCCTTCCCCTTCCTCTCCTGCCTTCTCCAGAGGTAAACACTTGTCAGAAATTGGTGTGCATCATTCAAGGGCCTGTTTTATTTTTATTTTTTACTCATGCCTAACACAAAGCTTTGACCAGGGGTCTGTTTTAATGCTTTTGCTATTAATGCATAGGGATGTAACTGTGCACAATATAGGTTTTTTTTTTTTTTTTTTTGAGACAGAGTCTCGCTCTGTTGCCCAGGCTGGAGCACAATGGTGCAATCAAGGCTCACTGCAACCTCTCCCTCCCGGGTTCAAGTGTTTCTCCCACCTCAGCCTCCCAAGTAGCTGAGATTACAGGTGCGTGCCACCACGCCCAGCTAATTTTTGTATTTTTAGTACAGATGGGGTTTCATCATGTTGGCCAGGCTGGTCTTAAACTCCTGACCTCAGGTGATCCACCTGCCTTGGCCTCCCAAAGTGTTGGGATTACAGGTATGAGCCACTGCACCTGGCTAAGTTTTTATATTTTTTAAACCCCATATATTAAAGGTAGCCTCCTGGACAAATCCTTTTGCACTTTTTAAATTCTATACTGGTTCCTGGCCAGGCATAGTGGCTCACGCCTATAATCCCAGCACTTTGGGAGGCCAAGGCAGGTGGATCACCTGAGGTCAGGAGTTTGAGACCAGCCAGGCCAACATGGTGAAACCCCCGTCTCTACTAAAAATACAAATATTGGCCGGGTGTGGTGGTGGGCACCTGTACTCCCAGCTACTCAGGAGGCTAAGGCAGGAGAATCGCTTGAACCCGGGAGGCGGAGGTTGCAGTGAGCCAAGATCACGCCACTGCACTCCAGCCTGGGTGACACAGGGAGACGCTGTCTCAAACAAACAAACAAAAAATTAATAAAATAAAAATAAATTCAGTACTGTTTTTGAGATTTATCTGAGTTGATACACATGGCTGTAGTTCATGTGTTTAATTGCAATGTTGCATTCCATTGGGCGATAAACTGAATCCCTTCATTGGCACTCCTGTTGATGGACTTTCAGCTCATTTCCAGCTTTTGGCAATTGCCTGCGATGCTGCAGTGAGCCTCCTTAGGCTCGTGTGCTCGGGTTCCTCTGGTATGTTCTGAGTGGGGGGATTACTAGGTGAGAGGAATGCGCCTCCATGGCATGAGAAGTGACCCTGTGGCGACTGTGGGGGCAGCTCCCTTCGCTCTGCCCACATCCTTGCCACACTTGGTCTTGTCCCACTTAAATTTCTTCCAGCCTGCTGGGTGTGAAATGGCATCTTACTGTGGTTTTAATTTACATTTCTCTGACTACTAGTGAGGTTGAGCACCTTTTCATAAGTTTTTTGGTCACTGAAAATGTACTCTTTTTTTTTTTCTTTCGTTTTTTGAGATGGAGTCTCACTCTGTCACCCAGGCTGGAGTGCAATGGCACGATCTCAGCTCACTGCAACCTCTGCCTCCTGGATTCAAGCGATTCTTCAGCCTCAGCCTCCTGAGTAGCTGGGATTACAGGCACGTGCCACCACACCTGGCTAATTTTTGTATTTTTAGTAGAGACAGAGTTTCACTATGTTGGTCAGGCTGGTGTCGAACTCCTGACCCCGTGATCCACCCGCCTCGGTCTCCCAAAGTGTTAGGATTACAGGCGTGAGCCACCACACCTGGCCGAAAATGTACTCTTATTCCTTTTTTTCCTTTTTATAAAAGTAAGACAAATACATGATCTAGGATCCCCCACTCTACCCTGGTCCTCCACTCTACCCTCCTCACTCAACCTCCTTTCCCCTTCTCCAGGGGCAACCATATAAGAAAATCTAACTAGGTAATTTATTCATTCTGTTAAAACATCAAAACACCATACAAACACAGACTGAGAGTCTGCTCCCACCCTCTTCCCACCCCCCACCCCCTCCACCACTGCCTCTTTAGGTCATCACTGTCTTTAATTGCTTATGTCTCTTCCAGTGTTCCATTCTGCAAATACAAACATATATCCAGATTTTCCCTTTTCTTATAGAAAGATAGCATTCTATATACACTATTCTGTTTTTTTGCTGGTTTCGCTTTATAAATCTTGCTGTAGACAGACCCTTCTGGAGATCTTTCTCTCTGAATATGTAGAAGCTCAAACTTCCTCTCTCTCTCTTTCATTAATTATATTCACTTTAGCCAGGTGTGGTGGCTCATGCCTGTAATCCCAGCAGTTTGGGACACCCAGGTAGGTGGATTGCTTGAGCCTAGGAGTTTGAGACCAGCCTGGGCAACATGGCGAAACCCCGTCCCTACAAAAATACAAAAATTAGCTGGATGTGGTGGTACACCCCTGTAGTCTCAGCTACACAGGAGACTGAGGTGGGAGGATCGCATGAGGCCAGGAGGTCAAGTCTGCAGTGAGCCGTGATTGCACCACTGCTTTCCAACCTGGGCGACATAGTGAGATCCTGTCTCAAAAAAAAAGATGAAAAAAAGTATATTCATTTTAGTTGCATATTGTGGACAACCATGAGAAAATAGTCTCCTACAAATTACATAGTAATTTGTCTTAAATATTAAAAAAGGTTATTTATTTATTTATTAAGACAGGGTCTTGCTTTGTTGCCCAGGTCAGAGTGCAGTGACACCATGGTTCACTGCAACCCTGACCTCCTGGACTCAAGCAATCCTGCCTCACCTTCCAGAGCAGCTGGGACTACAGGTGCGTGCCACCATGCTTGGCTAATTTATTTATTTTTTGTAGAGACAGGGTTTCACTGTGTTGCCTAGGCTGGAAAATAAGCGAACTCTTGGACTCAAGCAATCTGCCCGCTTCAACCTCCCAGAATATTGGGATTACAGGTGTGAGCCACTGTGCCTGGCAAAAGTCACTTATTTTTAATTGTGGTAAGATTCACATAACAAGGAGTTTCCCATCTTAACCATCGTTAAGCATACAGTTGAGCAGCATTCCGTACATTTTCATTTCTGTGCAACTATTACCACCATCCATCCACAGACCTTTTTTCATCTTGCAAAACTGAAACTCAGTACCCATTAAACAATAACTCCCCATTTCCTCCTCCCCCCAGCCCTTGCAACTACCATTCTACTCTCTGTTTCTATGAATTTGATTACTCTTGGTACCTTATACAAGTGGAATCATGCAGTGTTTGCCCTTTTGTGACTGGCTTATTTCACTTAGCATAATGGGTTCATCCATGTTGCAGCATCTGTCAGAATTTCTCTCTTTCTTATGGTTACATAGCATTCCACACATAGAGTTATGTGGCTCTATTGTAATTTGTTTCAGCAGTCCCCCTGATGGACTCTTGGGCTGTTTCAAGTCTTTTATTATTCCTGTTGGTGCTGCAGCAAAGACCCTCTTCTGTGGTCATTTTATGTAAGAGCAGGTGCGCTCCGAGAATGCAAGCCCAGCACTGAGGTTGCTGAGGCAGAGGGCGGGAGCTCGGTGATTGCCACTTGCCCCCCGCTGCCGTTGTATCATTTTGCACCCTCACCAGCAATGTAATAAGAGAAAGCAACCCCTTTTAACTCTTTTCATGGTTTCTTCTGCTAGCTACCCCTGTGTCTCCAAATGTTATGATTATTCTATTTCTTTTTCTTTTTTTTTTTTTTTTTGAGACAGGGTCTTGCTCTGTCATCCAGGCTGGAGTGCAGTGGCGCAATCATGGCTTGCTGCAGCCTTGACCTCCCAGGCTCAAGCCATCCTCCCACCTCAGCCTCCTGAGCAGCTGGGATTACAGGTGTGCGTCACCACGCCTGGCTAATTTTTTAATTTTTTGTAGAGACGAGGTCTCACTGTGTTGCCCAGGCTCGTCTCAAATTCCCGGGCTCAAGCAATCCTCTTGCCTTGGTCTCCCAGAGTGTTAGGATTACAGGCATGAGCCACAGTGCCCGGCCACTACTGCTTGATTTACCAATTTTAGAGTATCTGTTGGTGCCCTTCTAAGATAGATGATAATTTAGCTTTCATGACCTGCTCTTCCATTGCCCCCCTCATCCTCCCAACAGCATCCTGTGGCCTGTAGATTCTCTAGGGTCACCTTTATAAACCTGAGAGTCTCAGTTACCCTTTTTTTTTCTTCCTCATTCTGTCAATTCCTCCAAGCACTCTGTCCATGTCTCCCTCCCACTACTGCCATGTGTATTTTTTTTCTTTTCTGAGACAGGGTCTGGAGTGCAGTGGCACAATCATGGCTCACTGCAGCCTGGACCTCCAGGGCTCAAGCAATCCTCCCGCCTCAAGCCTCCCAAGTAGCTGGATCACAGGTGCGTGTCAACAGACCCGGCTAGTTTTTAAAATTTTTTGTAGAAATTGGGGGTCTCACCAAGTTGCCCAGGCTGGTCTTGAACTCCTAGGCTCAGTGATCCTCTTGCCTTGGACTTCCAAAGTACTTGGATTACAGGTGTGAGCCACCACGCCCAGGCTGCCATGTGTATTTTTTTTTTTCCAAGACGGAGTCTCGCTCTGTCTTCCAGGCTGGAGTGCAGTGGCGCAATCTCGGCTCACTGCAACCTCTGCCTCCCAGGCAGGTTCAAGCAATTCTCTGCCTCAGCCTCCTGAGTAGCTGAGATTATAGGCTTGCGCCACCATGTCTGGCTAATTTTTTTGTATTTTCAGTAGAGACCGGGTTTCACCATCTTGGCCAGGCTGGTCTTGAACTCCTGACCCCGTGATCCACCTGCCTCAGCCTCCCAAAGTGCTGGGATTACAGGTGTGAGCCATTGCGCCTGGCCTATGCCACATGTATTTTTATTTTTATTTTGTTTTTGTTTTGAGATGGAGTTTCACTCTTGTTGCCCAGGCTAGAATGCAATGGTGCGATCTCGGCTCACTGCAACCTCTCCCTCCTGGGTTCAAGCGATTCTCCTGTCTCAGTCTCCCAAGTAGCTGGGCTTGCAGGTGCCTGCCACCACGGCCAACTAATTTTGTATTTTTGGTAGAGACTGAGTTTCTCCATGTTGGTCAGGCTAGTCTCAAACTCTTGACCTCAGGTGATCCGCCTGCCTTGGCCTCCCAAAGTGCTGGGATTATAGGCGTGAGCCACCGCGCCCAGCCTATTTTTATTTTTAAGTCATCAAGACTGAATGACCTTTCCATCCTCTTCTGTAACCACAATGACATCTTGGGTGTTTTGTTCTATAGGTTGAGTCTAAACATTGAAGATGATTGGAAGCAGATGCAGGCATTATTTCTTGCAGAGCTTTTACATTACTGCAACCGTATAACTTGCTTTGCTCTCTGTCCTTGACTTGGATCCTCTACTCTGGTGCTTGATTGAGCAGCAGAACCATGTGGGGTAGAAAGGGAGTGGGGGAGAGGTGCCTTTAAAAATGCATATTCCTAGACCTCACCCGAGACCTGCCAAGATCTGTGGAGGACCTGGGAGTTTGTGTATTTTAAAGCTATCCCCCTTGCCCTGGAATGATGGTATGCAGTGGCAGTGGGCATTTGGAGTGGTAGGCACCTTAGTCAGTATTGGATGAATGTTGACTGACCTTATTTAATAAATGAATAGCCTCTTGCCTGCAGCCTCACCAGCCCTGTGCCCCTTCATCCACAGGTACACACCCCGGGACACACAATCCTTACTTTAGGAAACCTCCCTGGACCCTCCACCTTTTCTCATGGTCTTTGATGCTGCAACTCCTGTGTGGGCCCAGTCTCCTGGCTACCCATCCACCCTCCTTCTCTCTGCCCTTCAGCCCTGTGGTTTAGTGACAGGGAAGGCTCAGGCCCCTTCTGGGGTTCTGACAGGGCTGCCTTTGGGCAAGGAGCACAGCGCAGTAGAAGCATGGGATGTGTATGGCGACGGGCCCCGAGTCTACCCACTTGTTTATTCATTCACTCAGCATCTTCTGGCATGTGTATGTGTGGGCAAGGCTCTGAGGGAGGATCTATGTGAGAGAAAAAGTTGAATCTTACAAGTTCCAGTTATTAAGTTTCCAAGAAAGATACGGAGGAGTCAGGAGGAGCAGGGAGGGCTCTTTTCTGACTTCACTGCTCTCCCGGGGATGCTTCAGGGCAGTGTGTCTCATGCAGGCACAGGCTCTGACCCGCTAGTGGGCTGTGAAGTCACTTGAATGGGCTCAGCCATCATCGACAGAAATGGATAGGGTAGAATTGGAATGCATCCACCCTATAAGGGCTGTTATGGTTTCATTAATTCTTTCTTCAGCTCTGGCTATTCTCTGGTTAAATATGTCCAGTGAGTTTTAAATTTTGGTTATTGAAGCTTTTTTTATTTCTAGAAGTTCTACTTGGTTCTTTTTTCAGTCTGCTATGTCATTTTTTTTTATCGTTTTCTGTTCTCTGCAGGGATCTTCAAGCTTTTTTTTTTTTTAATTGATTGAAGCAGAGAAGACATATCTGTTTTACAGGTGATGTCTGCGTCTGAAGTCTCTGCCTGTGTCTGTTTTTAGTGTCTATTTTGTGGGCTTGTTCTCCCTCGCGGTGTCTGGTTCCCAAGGATCCCTGCTTTTCTTTGAGCATATACTGGTTATTGCATTTGAAAAGTCTGGTTTGAGTTGCCGGGCGGGGTGGTTCACGCCTGTAATCCCAGCACTTTGGGAGGCCGAGACGGGTGGATCACGAGGTCAGGAGATCGAGACCATCCTGGCTAACATGGTGAAACCTCGTCTCTACTGAAAAATACAAAAAATTAGCCGGGCGTGGTGGCACGCGCCTGTAATCCCAGCTACTCAGGAGGCTGAGGCAGGAGAATGGTGTGAACCCGGGAGGCGGAGCTTGCAGTGAGCCGAGATCGCGCCACTGCACTCCAGCCTGGGCGACAGAGTGAGACTCCGTCTCAAAAAAAAAAAAAAAAAAAGAAAAGTCTGGTTTGAGTCTAGGATGAAGGTACCTTCCTCCAGGAAGGCCCTGGTGTTCCTTCTGCCAGACTCCTGAGGGTCTCGCCAGTTCAAGCCCACTTGAAGCCCAGGTCGTTTGGGGTTACTTGAACCATCTGGGGGATTCCAACTAGTATCTTTAGCTCCTGACATGAGCTGTTCTACTGTGGGCTCAGCCCTTGTCTGAGACTGTATCCCTATAGGGTCCCGGTCTTCTGTTGACCCCTCACCTTCTGTGGGCCTGGGCATGGACCTCTGATCCTTCCATCTGAAGAAGCTGTCAAAATAAAAGTCCATGCTTCCGGGAATCAGGAAGTCGCCTCAAGGCAAAAGTAGCTGAGTGTTTCTATGTCTGTTTTGTTTTCCTTTCTATCTTCTCTTTTTGGTGGGTAATTCTTCACCATCTTGTTGATTCTTTAAGTCTTAGCATAACACACATTTTAAAAATCCAGTTGTTTTAGTTGCTTTCTGTCACCATAGAAGGTCACCATGGTTCTCAGCCCTGTCGGACCTGGAGCCTGGTACCATGACCAGGGACAGGGAGTCCTCATGCCGTTTTAAGCAGTGGTGATCTAAGTTTTATTTCTTAGGTGAGTCAAGGTCGGAAAAGCTTGAGACCCCTGCTCTAGGGGCTGTACCTGTCCCTTTCTGCCTTTTCTCCTGTCTGGACTAGGGTTCGAAGGGGCTGGTGGGCCATGTGGAGACCAAGTAGCTGACAATCCCCAGGACCTGTGGGCTCAGACACAGGGCCCTGCACCTCTCAGCCCTTCCGGTCTCAGCTCAGCACCTCCCTTGCCTGGCCCCTCTTTCCTGCATGAGCTCCCTGCCCCTGCCAGGAGGAACCTCTGTCCTGTTTCTAGATGCGCCATATCCTCTCCCACCTCCTGCTCTTTCCTCCAGTTGTGTGCCTCGTAACCTCTTCCTCCCTCCAAGGCTAAATCAAACCCTACCTCCTTATACAGGAGGAAGTAATTTCTGGGTTGATGTATGCATCCGGCAGATTCATGCTGAGCCAACAGGTTAGGGGCTGGAGAAACAGTGATGAGCTTAACCAGGCCCTGCCAGCCTGCCCACCCCGAGTCTGGTGAGGGTAGCAAAAAACATAAAGTGGAATTGATAAATAATATAATCTATCCATATCCATATTTTTATTTTTTATTTTTTGGGACGAAGTCTTGCTCTGTCACCCAGGCTGGAGTGCAGTGGTGTGATCTCAGCTCACTGCAGCCTCTGCCCCCGACCCCCGGTTCAAGTGATTCTCCTGCCTCAGCCTCCTGAGTAGCTGGGATTACAGGTGCGTGCCACCATGCCCGACTAATTTTTGTATTTTTAGTAGAGATGGGGTTTCACCACGTTGGTCAGGCTGGTCTCGAACTCCTGACCTCGTGATCTGCCCGCCTTGGCCTCCCAAAGTGCTGGGATTACAGGCATGAGCCACCGTGCCTGGCCTATATATCCATATTTATATAATGCAAAATGGTGGCGGTCTAGAGCCAGGGTCTGAGTGAGCCTGGAGCCAGGGGGAGGGAATGAGGTAGTTTAATGTCCTCAGTGTGACAAAAAAGAGAAAAGAAAGGAAAGTAACTTTAAAAATATATATATTTTAGTTTTTAGACAGGGTCTTGCTCTGTCGCTCAGGCTGGAGTGCAGTGGCATGATCAGGGCTCACTGCAGCCTTGACTTCCTGGTTTCAAGGGATTCTTCTGCCTTAGTCCCCCAAGTAGCTGGGACTACAGGCATGTACCACCATGCCCAGCTAATTTTTTTGAATTTTAGTAGAGACAATGTCTCGCTATGTTGCCAAGGCTGGTCTTGAAATCTTGGCTCAAGCGAACCTCCTGCCTCAGCCTCTTGAGCAGCTGGGATTACAGATGCACACCACCATGCCTGGCTAATTTTTTATTTTTTTAAATTATTTTTATTTTTTCCCACCACTTGCTGCCTGTTGATAATTTTTTATTAACTTTTTTTTTTTTTTTTTGTAAAGACAGGATTTCGTCATGTTGCCCAGGCCAGTCTCGAACTCCTGGCCTCAAGTGATCCTCCTGCCTCGGCTTCCCATAGTGCTGGAATTACAGGCGTGAGCCACTGCGCCCAGCCCACTTACCTTTAAATCATGAATGTGGCAGCCACACATGCACCCATTTGGTGTGGCCATGAGTGATGTATTTTCTGAAATAGCAGAAAACTCCTGGGAAAATTTGAACAACACAAAGGACAGCTTTCCCTCAGTTTATATTGGAGTTGCATTCCTGGAAAATTCAGTGTTTGCTAAATCCATGCAAAAAAATTTGTGCCTCTGTGTATAGCTCTAGGCCCAGAACACTGCTCATAGATGTCCACCTATGCGTGTGGGCAGGACATTTGCCATCAGGCATCACCCAGGATAATCTCTGTGGTGCAGGCGTCCAGCAACCCTGTTCTGCTCACTAAGTGCCACTGTGACAATTGGTGGTACAACCCAAATCACTCCCTGCCCACTGAATTTCCGGAACATTCCCTGGTGTGTCCCATTCCCCACCACTCTGTTGGGAATTGCCTGCCTCTAACAAGGCACTGAGATCCACAAAATGATGTGGGGAAGCCCTGGGAGTGCCAACCCAGCCTGAAGAGGCAGGAGGACCCCAGCTGCCTCCTGAGGGCCGAGCCGAACCCATAAAGATGCACTCTCTGCCGGGCGTGGTGGCTCACGCCTGTAATCCCAGCACTTTTGTAGGCCGAAGTGGGTGGATCACTTGAGGTCAGGAGTTTGAGACCAGCTTGGGCAATATGGCGAAACCCCGTCTCTACTAAAAATACAAAAATTAGCCAGGCATGGTGGTGCATGCCTGTAATCCCAGCTACTTGGGAGGCTGAGACAGGAGAATTGCTTGAGCCTGGGAGGTGGAGGTTGCAGTGAGCCGAGATTGCATCACTGCACTCCAGCCTGAGCTACAGAGTGAGACCGTGTCTCAAAAAAAATAAGAAAAATAAAAAAAATAAAAAAGACACACTCTCTCCAACAAACTGAGTGCTCTTTCGGAAGTGATGTCCACTCATGCTGGCAATGCTGAGGGGCCTAGGTGGGGCAGCCCTTGGTGGCTCCATCTGCTTGTGGAATTGCCATTTTTCCCTTTTCTTTCTAGGAAGTTCTGTCTTCCTTGATCTTTGGTTCACTCTGTTTCTACTCCCGATGGTCCCATGGAGCTTTTGCCTCCTTATGAACTGGATGGAAAATCTAATTTTTCTTTGGTCCCTTGGGACTGGATGACCAGCTTTGACCAGAGAAAAGACACAGCTTTCTTAGAGGGAACAGGAAAGGACCTGAAGAAGGGGTTTTGTTTCTGGGACCCTCGAGTGGCTCTCTCCTCTCCAGTCTCCCCACACAGCCATCTCCTTTCTGTTCCACACTGCCAGAGCATTGTACAATCAGGGACTCACACAGCTGCAGCATGAGAGGGATCTCAGGGCCACTGAGTCCTGCTCCGTGCCCAGGCTGTGGATCCCTCCTGTGATGGGGAGCTCACTGCTTCCCAGCCCAGCCCAGGCTATTGTCACACAGGCCCAGTCACCCACACCAGCCCCTCACCAGCACCCAGAATCCTCCCTCCCCTCCTACCAAGCTTTCGAACAGGCTTTTCCAACTCCTGCCTCCTTTGGATAAGCAGAAAAATTGGACACCCTTCCTGCAGCTTAGGCTTATGGGAATGACACTTGTTTTATCTACTTGCCAAAATAAAAATTGTACTAGAGAACATGTTTCTGGAATTTGGATTTGCCTTGTCTTAGGTCAGATTCCTAGAAGCAGAGCCTAAGATGGGTGAATTCTTGAGGAAGTTCTCAGGAGAACACAGTGAGGGAGCCTCTTCCTCTTTGTATAGGGCAGGAGAAGAAGCTGAGCAAGGGTGTGGTTTCAGTGGAAGATGCGCCTCAGCCTGACCCCTCGGGGAGCTCAGGATTGTGAGCTGTTCCTCGGACTGTCCCCTCCAGAGGCTGGGCTGTTCTATGCCTGTGTCAGTCACTGGATAGGGGCTGCCCCTGGGAAGAGGGGTATGTCATTTCCCAGGCATCTGTGTGCAAGATGGTTTCCATCAGCCAAGGCAATTAGCTAAAGAGGATGCAGATGTGAGCTGTTAGCTGCCAATACTCACAAAAGCTGGGCACAGACATGGCATAAGGGTGAGGCCCCAGCAGCCTCTGGTAAATCTCCTAGGGGAAGAGGGCACGTGTCCACCCCACCAAGTGAGATGCACTGCTCTCAAACCTGCCTCTGAGCCTCCCCATTCTACTCAGCATATTCCAGGATGCTCCAAATTCTGTGAGGTTCTTCCAACCGCTTCCTCTCTACCTGCAGCGGGGAACGGGGGTGGGGAAGGGTTGGGAGAGAAGAGCTGCAGGCTGGGGTTTTCTCCAGGGAGGGCCCTGAGCCCCAGATGAATCATTCCCCTCACCCCCAACCTGCCCCACCACAGACTGCCTCTTCAAGGTGTGCCCCATGAACCGCTACTCGGCCCAGAAGCAGTACTGGAAGGCCAAGCAGACTAAGCAGGACAAGGAGAAGATCGCTGATGTGGTGTTGCTGCAGAAGCTGCAGGTATGTGTGTGTGTGCAGGCGTGCATCTGTGCACATGTACCAGGAACCTGGGTACACAAGCAGCGGTGCTGCTTGTCGGAGCCAGTAGGGGCTCTGTGGCTGAGCTGAGTGGTTTCTAAAACTCGTATGGGCGTGACAGTTCACACCTGTAATTCCAGCACTTTGGGAGGCCAAGGCAGGAGGATTGCTTGAGGCCAGGAGTTTGAGAGCAGCTTGGGCAACATAGCAAGACCCTATCTCTACAAAAAATTAATAAAAAATAAAAATAAAAAAATAAATTCCAATACGCAAGAGATTGGTGTGAATTGCTGTGAAGGAGGGGATGTGGGGGGAGTAGGATCCCTTCCCAGTGACCCACCAGTCTGTGTAACTCTGTTGTGTCAATGAGAAGAAAGTGCCCCTTCCTCCAGGCTGGCACAGCCCTGTGCCAGGGTGCATGGCTCAGAGAGTGGAATGTCGACACCATAGAGCAGTGAACAACCTGTACAGCTGTCCATGGAGTTCCCAGTGGCTCCTGGAGACAGTGGCTCTGGGGAACCCAATTTGGGAGCCCTGGATCTAGTCTTAACCTCTCCCCTTGTTTTATAGAGTTGGAGCCTGGGGCCCTTAGATGGGACTGGTCTGTCCATGGTCTGACCATCCTGTAAGTCTGCAGTAGAGCCTAGATGGCCCCCAGGTCTCTGACTCACCCTGGCTTCCTCAGACATGTGGATCGTGCCATGATGCTGGAATGTGGTGGTCGCTCATGAGCCCCTTGTGGGCAGTGGCTCAGTTCACATCCTGGGCAGATCTCGGGGTCCCAACCCCGTTCCCCAAACCACAAAGAGAGTGGGAGGCTTTGGCTGTGGTCAAGAACTTTGTAGCCTGGGCCCTGGGCCCTGTTGCCCCACCCCTTGTCATACAAACCTTGCTTCTCTCTGTCCCCTTCCTCTAAGCCCCACGCCTAGAGGAGGTGGGTCTAGAATGGGGACATTGGGCTGCGCCTTATAGCTGTGGACTGGGCTGGAGAGAGGGAGCTGCAGGTGGGCTGCCTGAGCTCTAGTATTAATACCTCAGCTCTCTTCCTGGAATGGGGGCTGCAACAGGCTTCCTTCCTGCTGCCAGCAGGTAGAGGCTGAGCTGGGGATCTGGCCTGGGGGGAGGGCATTCACCTATGCAGAGCCACATAATCAGAACCGCAAGCGGTCACACAGCCACATGCTGTTGCTTTGTGGAAAGTCACATGGTCCATGGCAAGGCTCTCCTGCTGCCACCTTCGCCTCGGTCTCAGTAAAGGACTGAGGAGGAGGAAAGGACAGAGACCACTGCTCTCAGAGAGTGCCAGTCTGATGGAGGGGACAGGGCTCCTGCCCTCCAGGAACCCCTAATCTGGTAAGGAGGCAGGGCACCTATCCTTAGGCAGCTTCCAGTCTAACAGAGGACAGAAGAGCCTAAAAAGCTGTCTCTAATGGGATGCAAACCAAATCCTCAAGGCCACCAGCAGTGGATCCATCAGACTGGGATGTGACCACTCAGGGAGGGCTGCCTGGAGGCAGTGGGCTGAATGCACACAGTTTTGGGAGGGAAGGTTGCAGAGGAGTGGGGGTGGTGGTGGGAGCCAGGAAATGGCACCAAGCAGCCCCTGCCAGCGTTTGGACTGGGACAAGGGTCCCGTGTCTGGGGCATTGGGAGTCTGGTGAGGTGGGGGTGGGTGGTGAGACACACACAGCTTTAGGTTCCTGGGGGGGTAAGGGGATTGCGGGGGATGCTCAAGGTCCTGCTGGCATGCCCTCTCCAGGGGAGGTGGCTGGGGAGGGTTAGGGATTTGGCTCCCTGGGCTGTGTGTGCTGTGAGACCTCAGGCTGCCTTCTGCACTCAGAGTGCAGCACTCTGGGTGCAGCACCAAGAGCTGGGGCAGGGGTCCAAGGGGTCCTGGAGTCCAGGGTGACTGTGTGTGTGTGTGTGTGTTTGTGTGCATGTGTGCGTGCATGTGTGGGGCTGGGGTATGTCTTCCTCTAGGAGCAGCTTCTGAGCCCACCCTTCACTTCTGTGTGTGTCTGTGCAGCATGCGGCGCAGATGGAGCAGAAGCAAAATGACACGGAGAACAAGAAGGTGCATGGGGATGTCGTGAAGTATGGCAGTGTGATCCAGGTGAGGCTGGCCTGCCTCTCTCCCGCCTGCCCCTCTCCCTGCCTAAGAGGCTGGGCTGGTGCTGGGTGAGGGCTGCCAGCAGGCATTGCCCTCTGTGCATGTGTGTCCCCGGGTGAATGAGTGGCCCTGGGGCCACCTGTGTGGCTGTGCGTCTGACTGTGTGTGTGTCTGTTGCTGTGTGGCCTGAGTAGCTGTGCCATGGGTGTGTTTACAGCATGGTGGCCATCAGCATGGAGTCTGGAGCCACGTTGTCTGGATTCAAATCTTGGCTCTGCCACTCCTAATGGTGTAACTTGGGCAAGTTACCTAACGTCCCCTGGCGCCTTGGTTTCCCCATCTGTGAAATCAGGCAGTAATAGTACTTCCCTCTTGGATCGTTGTAGGTTACTTGAGCTAATCTATGTAAAGTATTTAGAACAGCCTCTTTCTTGTGATCACCAGGGTGTCCATGGGGGTGTGCCTGTTGTGTGCACGTTTGTGTGTGATTGTGGTTGTGAATGTGGGTGTCAGCCTGTATGTTTGTGACAGGTGTCTGACACTATGTGTGCAGCCAGAATGTGACCAAGGGTCTAGGGGATCCCCCCATATCCCCTCCCTAATGGGCCGACTCCTGTGGCGCGGTGACCTTCCCGCACCCCACCTGACCCCCAGCTCCTGCACATGAAGAGCAACAAGTACCTGACAGTGAACAAGCGGCTTCCGGCCTTGCTGGAGAAGAACGCCATGCGGGTGACTCTGGATGCCACAGGCAACGAGGGTTCCTGGCTCTTCATCCAGCCCTTCTGGAAGCTGCGGAGCAACGGGGACAACGTGAGGGCAGGGCCAGGGTTGGAGGGGCCTGGTGGAACTCCCGAGGGGCTTCTGTAGGGTCTTCGGTGTGGGGACTGGATAAGGGCATGCCCATTTCTTAGAAGGGCAGACTGAGACCAAAGGGAGGCCTGGAGGCGTGGTGACAAGAGGGCCCTGCCCTTCCCACCTAACCTGTCCCACCTGTCTGCTCAGGTGGTCGTGGGGGACAAGGTGATCCTGAATCCTGTCAATGCCGGGCAGCCTCTGCATGCCAGCAATTACGAGCTCAGCGACAACGCCGGCTGCAAGGAGGTGAGGGGGTGGGGGGTCAGCCATGCAGTGCAGGGACGTCCACACACCCCTGGTGGTGTAGACACCCCGCTCCCTGCCATGGTCTCTGCCTCCAGCCCCATCTGACCTGCCGGACAAGCTGGGCCTCACGGCTTCTGCATCCATTTCCCAACACTGCCCTCATTCTCCACCCCACAGGCTGGTGGCCCCAAGGTAGCCGGGCTGGGGTCTGGGGACCCTGGCTAGGAGAAGACACCCTGTCCTTGTGCTGTAATGGTGGCTGGGCTGCTTCTTCCCTTCAGCCCTGCTCTGGGCCCTCAGTGGCTGGGGTCCACCTGGCGTCACGGGTCTTGTCACCCTTCCGCAGGTCAATTCTGTGAACTGCAACACCAGCTGGAAGATCAACCTGTTTATGCAGTTTCGGGACCACCTGGAGGAGGTGTTGAAAGGGGTAAGGACTGGGAACCCCTGCCCTGCCCAGCTGGCCACCTAGCCCTCCCCACCAGGGCCCTCTTCCTGCCTTCTCCACCCGCCAGGCCTCAGGCCCTTACCCTCTCCCCAGCTTTGCACCCCCCAGCCTCCCTCCACCTCCACAGGGCCCCACCCACATGGCCCTACCAGGGCTGCCGCTTCTCTCGTCTCTGGCCACAGCTCCCTTCTCCATTCTCCCTGGGTCCTGCCTGGTCTTTGTTTTCTCCCTTGTTTAAGGGGGTGTCAGTGGACTGGGGGTCTCCATCCCCCCACCACCCAGAGCCTTTGAGCACCTTCCTCTCCCCAACTCCTGCTGCCTGGATCCACACCAGGCCCCCGCCCCTTGCCCTGTGCCCTCATTGGCAAGCGAGTGAGGCTGCCCTGTCTGCTGAGTTAGGGGTCACCGCCTGTCTCCTTCCTGGTCCCAGACATGCTGGTGTGGGCTCTGGGAGAGAAGGGAGGCCTGGGAAATACTGCAGTGAAGACTTCGGGAGGATCCAGGACTGAGGGCAGAGGGAGCTGTCTGGGGCCACCAGAGAGACCATTCAAGAAACCCTGAACAGCAGATGTGGGCGAGAGAGGAGAGTTCAGATGTCTCTTGGGTGGGGCTGCAAGGGATGGAACCAGCAGACGGGGTGTAGACGGTCTTGAGGGAGGGCAGATCTGTAGAGTGTGAGGCTGTCCAGCTAGGGGAGCAGGCAGGAACATCAGCTGTGAAACCTGTTAGAGGGACAGGTGACAGGCCCGAGAGCAGCCACCTAAGGAGTCTTAGGTGCTCCTCCCTGCTCGGAAGCTGCAATGGCTCCCTTTGCCCTCCTCCCCACGCTGAGCTGCTCTGTTAGACTCTCCTGCCCTGCTCAGGCTGCCTCAGTCCCCCACCCTCCTCATCCTTCTTACCTCCTGGGCTGCTTCCCGTCTACCCATGCCCTGCCCCAATGCCTTCTCCCTCCCTCCCTCCCTTAAATCTGCACATCATCCACACATTAATCAAGGTGCAGCCATGCACTACCCCTCCTGGAAGCCTTCCCTAATGTTCCAGCCCCGAATCTGTGCAGCACTTAGGAAATGAAGCATCTTGGCCGGGCGGGGTGGCTCATGCCTGTAATCCCAGCACTTTGGGAGGCCGAAGCGGGTGGATCACTTGAGGTCAGGAGCTCAAGACCAGCCTGGCCAACGTGGAGAAAGCCCTTCTCTACTAAAAATACAAAAATTAGCCAGGCGTGGCAGTGGGCACCTGTAGTCCCAGCTACTCAGGAGGCTGAGGCAGGAGAATCGCTTGAGCCTGGGAGGTGGAGGTTGCAGTAAGCCAAGATTGCACCACACTGCACTCCAGCCTGGGTGACAGAGCGAGACTCCTTCTCAAAAAAAACAAACAAGCAAACAAACAAACAAATAAATAAAATGAAGCATCACTTGGGCCTCACTCTGTGGTCTACATAGAATTATTTCTGGGGAATCCGTCATGGCTCCGTGGTTCCAAGGCAGCTCAGAAGCAAGGCTTTCTGGTGCTAAGTCCACTGCTTTTTTGCCCCTGCCCTGCGCTACTGGGGCACAGAAGTCACTAGGTTCTGCCATAGTAACTGACCCAATCTTTATATCGTCATTCATTCATGCATTCTTGCATTCACTGCTGCATTCACTCTGCAGGTGTTCACTGAATGCTTTGTGTCTAGTGTGTGTTCAGTGGAGGGAAGACAGAAAGTGCCATTAGTGATGATAGCAAGAGTGGCAGCCATGCATTGTGTGCCTGCTGGGCGGCAGGCTCAGCGGGAGGAAGGTGATGGAATGATTAAGGTGCAGGCCCTGGAACTGGGCCAAAGATTCATGTCCCATTTGCCATTAGTTGCATGACCCTCGGCAGGATACTTACCTTCTCTATGCCTGAGTTTCTCCACCCATAAAATGGGGCTAATGATGTATTTACCCAGAGGGTTGATGTGAGGATCAGGTGAGAAAGCTTTCAAGTGCTTGCACAGTGGCTGGCACGCGGTAAGTGTGCAGTGTGACTTCATCACGCATATTATAATCCTCACAATTTCTGCAAGGAGGTCATTGTATTCCCATTTTACAGAAGAGGCAACTGAGGCTCAGACATGTTAAGGAACTTATCTGAGGTCACACAGCTTTTAAGAGCAGAGACAGAGGCCGGGCACAGTGGCTTATGCCTGTAATCCTAGCACTTTGGGAAGCTGAGGTGGGTGAATTGCCTGAGCTTAGGAGTTTGAGGCCAGTCTGGGCAACATGGTGAAACCCCGTCTCTACTAAAAATAAAATAAATTAGCCGGGCGTGGTGGCAGGCACCTGTGGTCCCAGCTACACAGGAGGCAGAGGCATGAGAATCACTTGAACCCAGGAGGCGAAGGTTGCAGTGAGCCAAGATCGTGCCATGCACTCCATCCTGGGCAACAGAGTGACTGTCTCTGAAAAAAAAAAAAAAAAAAAAAAAAAGACAGGATCCAAACGTGGTATCTCTGTCCAAAGCTATGGAGATGCCCTCCATGCTGCCCCCATCCAACAGGGGAGCAAAAGAAGTGGGCATGAGCTACCAATATTTAGGCAGAAAGGACCCTGAGAGAGGGGCAGCCATGGCCCCGGGGACACTGAGGGGGTAAGGTCCCCCTCCTTCATGGAGGGGGTGACTGGAGATGGGCCGTTAGAGGTTAGGCAGGGTGTCTAGAGGTACACATAGGGAGAGAGGTGGTCCAGGGTGGGTTTGAACATGGGAAGGCCTGGGAGAGCTCTGGATTTGGGGTCTGGGATGCGGGCTGAGGGCAGAGTGCCTGGGCTTTGGCTGTTCTCTAGGGGGCTCAGCTTGCATCCCCCTCTCTGTGTGCTGGCTCTGGAAGAGGGGCCCTGCCAGCAGCCAACCCTGTCTGAGGCAGGTGGGGCTGGGCCCTGGGTGGGTCCTTGAGCCTGGAGGGGCCGCAGCCATCCTGAGCCACACCCTGCTGCCTGCAGGGAGACGTGGTGCGGCTGTTCCATGCGGAGCAGGAGAAGTTCCTGACGTGTGACGAGTACAAGGGCAAGCTGCAGGTGTTCCTGCGAACTACACTGCGCCAGTCTGCCACCTCGGCCACCAGCTCCAATGCTCTCTGGGAGGTGGAGGTCAGAAAAGCCCTGCTTCTGGCACCCCGGACTCAGCCTTGGATGCCACCCCTCCCTCTTCCCCACCATCCTGGAGGGTGGGATATTGACCCCTACCTCCCTCTGAGTCCCTCCAGAGTCAAAAGGCCAGAGAGGGTCCAGAACCCACCCACCCAGAGATCTCCAGGCCTCCCTGGGGTCTGACTCCCCATGCCTGTCCAGTCTCTCCTTCCTGCCTCACACCTGTGTGCCCCTAGGTGGTCCACCACGACCCCTGCCGTGGAGGAGCTGGGCACTGGAATGGCTTGTACCGCTTCAAGCACCTGGCTACAGGCAACTACCTGGCTGCTGAGGTGAGCGGGAGGTAGAGGGCATGCTGGGGCTCGTGTGTGCATGTACACGTGGGTGTGCGGGAACATGTGTGCACATACTTGCATATGTGGCACATGTGCCTATGGACCCTGACTTCTCTGCACTCATGCATTTATCCAATATTATCAAATAAAGGCATGACTGTAAATAAGCCTAATAAATATCACTGTGCTCCTACTATGTGCCAGGCACTATTCTAGGCACAGGGGATACAAAGTGAGCAAAATTTCCCGTCTGTCTGTAATGCGCACACTTGTGTGTGTTGGAGCATTGGTGTGTATGTGTGTATGTTCATTTGTGGTTCTATGGAGAGGGGCCATGAAGGGCTCCCCTGGAATGATATGGGCACCCCTGGGAGGGTGCAGCCTGCCTGCCCAAACCCAGGGCCCTATGTAGGTGACCATGTTTTGCAGTGGGTCGTGTGGGTATAGTTTGGTGTCCAGTAGCTCCCCCACATCTTGTATCTCTGTCCAGGAGAACCCCAGTTACAAAGGTGATGCCTCAGATCCCAAGGCAGCAGGAATGGTGAGGAGCAAAGCAGGTCTCCAGTGAGACCATGGGCCTGCCCTGGGGGTAGGCGGGGGCAGGGGAGGCCGTGAAAACCTGGGAGGTGGGCTGGAGGGAGACAGATGGGATCTCAGGTGGGATCCCAGGTGCTTCATGGGCTTGAGAAGAGGGAGGGCCTTCTACCTGATTTGGGGTCCTCATCCAGGGGGCACAGGGCCGCACAGGCCGCAGGAATGCTGGGGAGAAGATCAAGTACTGCCTGGTGGCTGTGCCTCATGGCAATGACATCGCCTCTCTCTTTGAGCTGGACCCCACCACCTTGCAGAAAACCGACTCTTTCGTGCCCCGGTGGGTATGCGCCATGTGCCTGGGAGTTGACTGGTGGTGCTCAGGGTGGGCCCTCCTGTCTCTGGGACTCTCTGGATCCCCCACTCCTCCGCCCTCCTGCGGTCCTTTAGCCTCTGGGGTCTCTGTAGGTCCCATCCCTCTGGGGATCTAGCTCTGAGTCTGTCGGCGGCTGACCACCATTGCATGCCTGCCTGGTGCCTGGCGCCTGCCCCAGTTGGTCTGGGTGCTCAAGCACAGGCTGCATGGCAGTTTGTCTAGGACACCAGCAGCACAGGGAACCCAAACACTGGATGGGAAGGCCAGACTCTCTGGCCTTTGAGGTCCCGCCAACCCCGAGATTCTAGGACGGAACATCAAGAAACTTCTCAAGTGTCAGTACAGGCTTTGGCGTGTCCTTAGCTGTATGACCTCAGGCTGCTACTCACTCTGCCTCCATCATTTTAGTGGGAACATCAAGTTTCCCTGTCAACAGGGCTAATGGGAGAGTTAATTGAGTCACTACATAGGCCCACAGTCCCTTCCCTGAAACTCTTGGGGGTAGATGGATTTGGTATTCAGATTGTTTTTCATTTTAGAAAGGTAAACTTGCATTTTGTAATCATAGACATTGAGTATTTTTGTGTAATGCATGTGTTTCTATGAAATGTGTGCATCTTGACATTCAATGGGATAAATAGTTAAATAGCCTCATTTGTCCAAATGAATTTTGGTCCCAAGTGTACAAACAAGCTTTGGTTTTGGAAGCGTGGACAAGGCTGCCCGTGTCAGTGCAGTGGTCAGGACGGGGCCTGGGCGCAGGGCTAGCTCTGGCTGTTCTTATCTGGCTTCAGCCTCCTCATCTGGAGGGGCACCAGTGGCTCCTGTCCCACAGCTGTTGAGGGTGTGGAGTAGGGTGGCAGCTGTGGCAGTGTTGGGGAGGTAGGCCGGCAGGCAGCATGACGTGCTCTGTGGTGCACTCCCCGAGTCCTTTCCCTCCCACCCACCTGCAGGAACTCGTACGTCCGGCTGCGGCACCTCTGCACCAACACGTGGATTCAGAGCACCAATGTGCCCATTGACATCGAGGAGGAGCGGCCCATCCGGCTCATGGTGCGTGTCCCTGGGGTGGGGGTGGGGCTGGGGCCAGGGCCGGAGCTTGTTCCCAGGTGCCCTGCTGACCCCTGTCTCTGCAGCTGGGCACCTGCCCCACCAAGGAGGACAAGGAGGCCTTTGCCATCGTGTCAGTGCCCGTGTCTGAGATCCGAGACCTGGACTTTGCCAATGACGCCAGCTCCATGCTGGCCAGTGCCGTGGAGAAACTCAACGAGGGCTTCATCAGCCAGAATGACCGCAGGTGGGCTGCAGTGGCACAGGGGTTTTCTGAGTGATCTTGCCCTCCCAGGGCCTGCATTTCATGAAGAAAGGAGTCATGAAGCAGAAGCTGGGCAAACTGGGGAGAGAGTAGGGGACTGGCCCCTGTGGGGCCCTGGCTGAGCCTGGGACCCTGGAGTTGGGTGCCTCACGGCTTAGGTACTCCCAGAACTAACCCTATGATGGAGCTGGTTACTGTGTTGAGCCTGGTCTCAAGGCCAGTTATGATGGGTCTGAGGCTCAGAGAGGTTACGAGACTTGCTCGGGGTCACAGTTAGTAAGTGGCAGAGTCAGGATGCAAATGCAGCCCCCTTCACACCAGACTCCCCGCCTTGTGCCCTGTACTTCCTTTCCAGGTTGGGATATTCTGAGATTCTGTGTCTTGGGGCCACTTTGGAATCCAGGGTGGGTGGGGCTGGGCGTGTTTGGAGAGCATTTCAGGGGAAAGCCGGGAAGAGGAATTGTAGGCTGAGGATGGGTTTTGTGCTTTGGGGGCCGCTGAGTGAACTCATGAAAGCCATGTTTTGGGAGGGACTGGCTCCCCAAGAGGGACACCTGCTGGGTGGGTATCTCACACTCGTCATCCCCGGGTCCCCTCACCCAGGTTTGTCATCCAGCTGCTGGAAGACCTGGTGTTCTTTGTCAGCGATGTCCCCAACAATGGGCAGAATGTCCTGGACATCATGGTCACTAAGCCCAACCGGGAACGGCAGAAGCTGATGAGGGAGCAGAACATCCTCAAACAGGTGCGTGTGCACCCATGAGGGGACGCAGAGGGGCCGGGTGCCCGGGAGAGGGATGCCTTCAACTGCAGGCTCATCCCCCGCTTTAACAAAAATCAGTATATATGGGGCACGACCACGTGCCAGGGACTTCCCTAAGTACCCCACATGTGTTGACGAATTTGATCCTCACTGCCTGGAGGAGGCGCCGTGATTCTTACCCCGTTTTACTGGTGAGGAAGCTGAAACACAGGCCAGAGTCGCTGTCCCAGGGCTCACAGCTAGGAAGCGGCAGCCAGGATTTGAGCTTGTGATGTTGGGTCCAGAGCTGTGCTTCAAAAAATTTTTTTAAAAATTTTTTTATTATGAGAATCATCAAATATTGAGAAAGTATTGGAAGAATAGTACAGGGAACAAGGTGCCTCACTGTTTTGCTGCCTTGGCTTTATGTAGCTCGGTTCACACATCCGTCTTTCCATCCACACATTGCAAAATAGGCAGCATTTTACACCCAAAAGTTTCAGCAGGCATCCCTAACAATAGGGACATTGCCTTACATAACCATAGTACATGATCACACCTAAGAAAATTACAACAATACCAAGTCCATATCACATTTCTCTAATGTTCCCAGAATGTCTTTGTAAAGTTTGTTTTTTTTTTTTTAGAAACGAGGATCCAATTAAGGTTTTTTCATTCCATTCTGTTGCTCTGTCACTTTGGTCTCTGTTTCAGAACAATTTTTCACCTCTCCACCCAGCCCCAGCCTTTAAAACATTTTTGTAATTATGTAACATTTTACTTTGACAAGGCAGGCCTGTGTCTCATCTCTTAAGCTCTGGCCACAGCGGTCCGGCCTGCCTTTTCTCTTAGCCTTAGACCCTGAGCTGCCGAGACCCTCTGCTCCTCCCCCAGGCCCCAGATCTGAGCTGGGATTAGAATCCGCATCAGGGAGGGATAGGCTGGGGTCAGCTTCGGGATTCCAACAAGGAGTAGGGAGAGCTGGGGCTGAGGATGGCTGGGCTGGGGTTGTGGTCCAGCTTAGAATCAGCTCGAAGCTGATGTCCGGGCTGGCTTTAGGGCAGAGTCAGTTGGGACTCAGGGATGACTCCTGGGATGACTTAGGGGTACAGACAGGTGTTGGGGAATCAGTCCTCACCCTCTGTATTCCCCCAGGTCTTTGGCATTCTGAAGGCCCCGTTCCGTGAGAAGGGGGGTGAAGGTCCCCTGGTGCGGCTGGAGGAGCTGTCAGACCAGAAGAACGCCCCCTACCAGCACATGTTCCGCCTGTGCTACCGCGTGTTGCGGCATTCCCAGGAGGACTACCGCAAGAACCAGGTGCGCCGCTGCCCTGCTGGCCCACTCGCTGGCTGCACGTTCCTTCCTCAGCAAGCGATTTCCTCAGGCACATGTGCTGTGCCAGGCACTGTTTTGGGGCCTAGGGTCCAGTAGGGCACCAGACAGCAGGGCCGGGTTCATGGGAATGGGACCTGGCCCGGTGCTCACAAGGGCCTTGCACTGGGTTAGATGCTCTGCTGCTGAGCAAGGGTCCTGCTCTTTCATTCTGCACTGGGCCCTACAAGTTATGTAGCCAATCCTTCCACACAAACAAGGTCCCTGCCCTCGTGGAGGTTTCGCTCTGGTGGGAAACAGCCCACAAGCTAAATAACTATGTAATGTAAGCCACTCTTCTGCCCAGCGATGCTTCCTTTCCTGGACCTCTGCCTTTCTAGGGTATTGGGTCCTTACCTCGGGGTTTGGGGGCAGCGTTCCAGAGCAGAGCTGGGCCCTTGGCCCACCTGTGACTCTCTGTGACCCCCAGCCTGTCTGCCCCCCCAGGAGCACATTGCCAAGCAGTTTGGGATGATGCAGTCCCAGATTGGCTACGACATCCTGGCCGAGGACACCATCACTGCCCTGCTGCACAACAACCGCAAGCTCCTGGAAAAGCACATCACCAAGACCGAGGTGGAGACCTTCGTCAGCCTTGTGCGCAAGAACCGGGAGCCCAGGTGGGCCCGAACCCCCTCCCCGGCCGGCGCCTGCTCCTCCCTCCTCCCTTGCCTGGGTAGAAACTCTGCTGGTTGTGTGAACTATTCCTGCACCTGTTGGTAACTGCCACCCTGAATAGCACTGGGTGGCTCAGCACTGGGAGGCCCTAGCCTCCCTAGCCCTTCTCTGGGATCCCCTAAAATTTGGCCCACTCTGGCAACAATGGGAATGACTCCTTGTACCACTAGAGGCCCCCAAGACCTTCTCCAGTGACAAAGTCAGAACCTGTATTGAACCAGTTGTTAAATATTTTGAATATCACCTCGGCCCTTGCGCTTCCTCACCCTGTCCGTCTGAACCCCCATCTAGCCTTCCCGGACCCCAGGGTGATGCCCTGGGGCTTTCCCTCCTTGGGGAGCTGGGAGTCCATCCCACCCATCTCTAAGCCTTGGGAGGGAGCTAGTTCCAGGGTGGCGGTGCTGCCAGCTGGGGAAGGGGAAGGGTGGGCTCTGTCCTTAGAGGGACCAGCCTCTGAGACCCTCTTCCCACCGCTGGCTGTCACCACCCCAGGTTCCTGGACTACCTCTCTGACCTGTGTGTGTCCAACCACATCGCCATCCCCGTCACCCAAGAGCTCATCTGCAAGTGTGTGCTGGACCCCAAGAACAGTGACATTCTCATCCGGACCGAGTGAGCCCTGTGCCCCCTGCCCGCACTTGGGCTCCACGCTGCTGACCCCCAGCTGTCTTAGAGCTTAGGCCCTGTCTGGGTTCAGGCTGGAACTGGCACCCTTGCTCTCTGCAGCTGTGAACTCTGTGCCTGTTATGTGCCCCGCTGTGTGCCTGGCACTGTGGGGGAGTGGGGAAGGGGCACAGAAAAGAATGAGCCACGGACCCTGCCCTTGAGATGCATATGGTCTCTCTGGGTCCCCGTGGTGGCTGGCACTGTGTGGCCGGGTGTGCTCAGGGAGGGGTCCAGGCGTAGTGCCCTGGACCTGGCTCCCTGTGACAGGTTGCTGGTGGTCTGCAGGCTTCGGCCCGTGAAGGAGATGGCCCAATCCCACGAGTACCTGAGCATCGAGTACTCAGAAGAGGAAGTGTGGCTCACGTGGACTGACAAGAATAACGAGCATCATGAGAAGAGTGTGAGGCAGCTGGCCCAGGAGGCGCGGGCCGGCAACGCCCACGACGAGAATGTGCTCAGCTACTACAGGTGCCCCGCCCCAGCTCCTCCCCTCCCTCTTCCTGTGCCTTTGGGCCTTCTCAGTAGGCCGTCAGTCAATCCCTGCTGAGGATGAGCTCTGACAGCCTCAGGTGGGGCTCCTGCCTCCTCAGAAGCGGAGTCCCTGCTGTCACTCCCCTGCCACGAAGCCTCATTCCAGGAAGGCTGAGTGAAGAGGACTGTGTGCCCCGAATAGCACTGGGTGGCTCGGCACAGGAACCAGGCTTCAAAGAAACCCAGACTGTTTTCAAACATGTATATTATTAAAATAATCTCACCAAATTAGCTAGCCATGGTGGTGCACACCTGTAGTCCCAGCTACTTGGCAGGCTGAGGCATGGGAATCGCTTGAACCTGGGAGGCGGAAGTTGCAGTGAGCCAAGATCGCACTACTGCACTCCAGCCTGGGTTACAGAGAAAGACTCTGTCTCAAAAAAACAAATCATCATCATAATAATCTCTTTAGACGCCCTTCTTACAATGCTTGCCACGTAGTGGGCACTTTTTTAAGCACTTGTCCTGATCCTTCATTTGAGCCACATGACAACCCTTGTTGTAGCTACTATAGTTACTCCTGTTGTAAAGCTGGGGAAACAGTGGCAGAGAGAGGTAAAGGAACTTGCCCAAGGTTACACAGCCATCAGTAGAGAGCCAGGGCCCACACCCAGGCTATCTGGCTCCAGAGCCCCCAGGAAGTCATGTCTGTGAGGAGGAGGCAGAGGGCCTGGTATTGCCAGGGCAGCACAGAGCTTCCCACGTTCCTCATTTTGGTATCCCCTCTATCAAGGTTGCACCCCTTTCACCACCTCCCCACCTCCCCCTCCTCCCTCTCCCATCTTGCCCTCACCCTCCCTGGCCAAGGCTGGCTCTTCTCATCTCACTGCCCTCCCCTGTCTCCCACCCTTTCCCTCATCTTTCAGACGTCCCTCTTCCCATGAAGACCTGTCCTGGCTGAGCCTTAGCCAGGAGGGGGAGAATTGCAAGTACTGGTTATCACAGACAGGTTTTCCGTTCACCTTTCTAACTCAGAATTGCAGCTGGCGCATCTTTAACCTAATCCCTTTGCCACTTTACTGAGTCCTCACCAAGTCTAGTGCCCAGTGCCAGCAGCCTCCCGGCTGCCATCTGCCGTGTCCTCACAGTCCTCCCTGTCCTGCAGGTACCAGCTGAAGCTCTTTGCCCGCATGTGCTTGGACCGCCAGTACTTGGCCATCGACGAGATCTCCCAGCAGCTGGGCGTGGACCTGATTTTCCTGTGCATGGCAGACGAGATGCTGCCCTTTGACCTGCGCGCCTCCTTCTGCCACCTGATGCTGCACGTGCACGTGGACCGTGACCCCCAGGAGCTGGTCACGCCGGTCAAGTTTGCCCGTCTCTGGACTGAGATCCCCACAGCCATCACCATCAAGGAGTGAGAGGGGTGGAGGCAGGGTGGGCGGGGCAGGGGCAGAGGCTGGAGTGGGTGTATCTCGGGGACCTTCATGCCTCATGGCCTCCACCCTCAGCTATGATTCCAACCTCAACGCGTCCCGAGATGACAAGAAGAACAAGTTTGCCAACACCATGGAGTTCGTGGAGGACTACCTCAACAATGTAGTCAGCGAGGCCGTGCCCTTTGCCAACGAGGAGAAGAACAAGCTCACTTTTGAGGTGGCTGGGGGAGTGCCCAGGGGCTGGGGGTCCGTGGAGCTCTTGTTGGCCCCACACTGGCCTCGGTCTTCACCCAGGAGTCGGCTGTGGGATCCATGACCCCACTTCCTTCTGTGTCCCCAGCCAGTGCAGGGGGACCGCATAGAAGGCTGGGATTCTCCAAGAGGCAGGCTCCTGTTCCAATGCCTGGGAAAGGGCTGCCTCTCCCTGCTCCGCTCTCCCTCCTGGGAACCCCGTCCTCATGACGCCCCTTTCGCCCTAGTTTCCCCAGTCCTGGCCTGCCCTCCACGAAGCCCCGCCCCTACGCGCCGGCCCCTCCCACCTCACCTCGGCCACGCCCCCTTCGCAGGTGGTCAGCCTGGCGCACAATCTCATCTACTTCGGCTTCTACAGCTTCAGCGAGCTGCTGCGGCTCACTCGCACACTGCTGGGCATCATCGACTGTGTGCAGGGGCCCCCGGCCATGCTGCAGGCCTATGAGGACCCCGGTGGTGAGGCCTTTGCCCGGCTCGGGCCACCCTGGTGGTCCTCAGCCTCCTCCTAGCACAGGAAGTTCCCTCAGATCAACACCTTCCCCAGCCCCGCATTCCCCCCACCCAACCTGGCTCTGCCTCAAGGGGATATCTTGGGCCCAAGCCCCTCCCACCTCAGCAGGACCAGAGGGGTCCCTGCCCGGACTCCCTGGAGACCCCGGGTCTGTGGGAGTTGCCTTCCAACCCTGCTTGGTCTTGAGGGGAGATAGTGAGGGAGGAGCGAGACAGCTCTGTCATCGTGTGTGTGAGGAGGAGGGAGGCACAGCCTGTCTGAGGGTTGAGCGGCAGCCCTGCCCTCCCAGACACTCCCAGGCTGCATAAAGTCATCTAAACAAAAGGTGCCTAGAGCCTGGCACTGGTTTTCGGGGCTGTCCTCCCCGCAGTGTCCTCTCAGCCCCCAGGCTGTGTAGCTGCTCTCATGGTTTCCTACAGAAAATTCTCAGTCATCTCCCCACACAGCTCACCTTTGCCCTGACACCTCCTTCTTTTCCCAGATTTGCTTAAAGCTCATGTCCTCCAGGAAGCCTTCCTGGGTTAGCCCTGTCCCTTCCTTAGCAAGGCTTTGCCCTGCAGCTGACATAAACAGATTATGCATCCTCTGCCTCCCTCATCAGACCAGGGACCCCTGTGTACAGCCTCTACAACCTCCTTGGCAACCTCCTCTGCTTCCCCCTCCACAGGCAAGAATGTGCGGCGGTCCATCCAGGGCGTGGGGCACATGATGTCCACCATGGTGCTGAGCCGCAAGCAGTCCGTCTTCAGTGCCCCCAGCCTGTCTGCTGGGGCCAGTGCTGCTGAGCCGCTGGACAGAAGCAAGTTTGAGGAGAATGAGGACATTGTGGTGATGGAGACCAAGCTGAAGATCCTGGAAATCCTTCAGGTGCCTGGGCCAGGACCGTGTGGGAGGTGTTGGGTATAGGGGGAGGGTAATGGGGCGGGTACAGGGAGGCTGGGCAGGGCGAACCCCTTCAGATCTCAGTATTTAGTACTGGAAGTCTCCATCGTGACTGGCTGTCAGGCCCAGCGGTTCCCACAGTGTGGTTCTTGGGCCAGCCTCACCTGGGAGCTTGTTAGAAGTGCACATTCTCGGTTGTGCGCAGTGACTCACGCCTGTAATCCCAGTGCTTTGGGAGGCCAAGGTGGGAGGACTGCTTGAGCTCAGAGTTCAAGACCTGCCTGGGTGAGACCCCGTCTCTATTAAAAAAAATAGTAATAACGATAAATAAATAAAAAGAAAAACAGAAATGCACATTCTCCGGCCCCACCCTAGACCTACTGAGTCAGGAACACTGGAGAGGGGCCCTGTGGGCTGTGTTGTGACAAACCCTCCAGGTGATTCTGAGGTGCACTGAAGTCTAGTTCAATTCTCCCATTTTACAGATGGGGAAAGTAAAAGCGGGGAGGTAAAAGCGGGGGCCGGGGGGTGCTTTCCCAAGGTCACAGGGATTTTGAAGCAGAGCTAGAGATTTAAGAACCTATTTCTTGGCAAGGTGGATGCAGTCATCCCTGTTGTGGTCTCATCTGAGACTCCCCAGCCACACCCCAGGAAGGGGCTCATCCCCGAGGAGGGATGAGGATGCTTGCTTTTGCCTTGCTGTCACCGGAGGGCAGGAAGGGTAGTGCAGTGACCTCCGTGGGGGACCTCTGGCGGTCAGAGTGGAGGGAGCTTCTGACTCATTCTGAGGGCTGGGCCTTCCATGTCTGCATCCTGGGGCTTGGCCAAAGGCTCAGTGCCCCATGAGACTGTGTGACTCACCCATGTCTGCAAGCCCTGCATCCTCACGTCTGCCCCACAGTAGCCTCTCCTCCTCCCTCACAGGCCTCAGTTTCCCCTCCCATGAGTATCCAGGGTCTGTTTGGCTGAGCAGGATAGGAGGACAAGAGTCAGTTTTTGGACCTGGGGGCTTCATTCCCCTTCCTGTCAGTGTCTAGCTTGGGAAAGAGGGACTGAGTGGGCCGGGCGCAGGGGTGCTCGCTGCCTCATGCTGAGAGGAGGCCCTCATACTCCATCACTGGGGCAGGAGCTGGGGAGAGGGCACCCTGGGCCTGGGGAGAGGGGTCTTGTTTTCTTGCTGTGACATCCTGGAGCATCCCAAATGACTGTGCTGAGGACCCTGCTGCCCCAAGTGCTAGAGCCTATTTGGGGGCTCCCTGCCCCCTGCCCCCCATAAAGTAGGAAGGGCCTTCTGACCTCAGATCAGTCCTCACCCCATCCTCACCTGACCTTTCCTCTCTTCTCCAGTTCATCCTCAATGTCCGCCTGGATTACCGCATATCCTACCTGCTGTCTGTCTTCAAGAAGGAGTTTGTGGAGGTGTTTCCCATGCAGGACAGTGGGGCTGATGGCACAGCCCCTGCCTTCGACTCTACCAGTAAGCCCCTGCCCTGCCTTCAGGCTGAGGCTGTGCGACTCTCCCAGGGATACACAGCAGTGGGGTGGAGCCAGCTCCTCAGCCCTGCTCCTTTTTCTAGTCTGCAAAGGCCTTTTCTTTCCACTGTCTCATTTAATTGCCTCAGTGAGGGGGAAGGGCAGGGATCCTTCCCTTCGTTTTCCAAATGGGGAAACTGAGGCTCACAGAACAGCAGGGACTTGCTCGAGGTGACAGCCAGTCAGAGGCTGAGCCAGACCGGGATCTGGTCTCCTGACTCCCAGCCTGGATCTCTGCCCCCTTTGTACTGCCCTGCAGGGGAGTAGGGGGCTGTGGCTCCTCCCCTACTTGGTTCCTTCCCAGAAAGGGGCAGGCAGAGCAGCTGCTGTGCAGCCAGTGCAGGGAAGAGGGTGGTTTGAGTGTCTCCCTGTGCTCCCCTCTTTCCCGGGCTGGGCCTACAATCTGCTTCCATCTGCCCCTCTCCCCACAGCTGCCAACATGAACCTGGATCGCATCGGGGAGCAGGCGGAGGCCATGTTTGGAGTGGGGTGAGGCCAGGGTTGAGCTGCAGGGGTGTGTGGGGTTGGGAGGCTCGACACCCCCTCTTGGTCTGGTCTGGGTTCCTGGGCTGGGGGCTGGCTCTTCCTCTCTGCCATTCCCTCTGCAGACCCTCACCGGGCTTTGTGCTCAGCCCCTCCCCTGCCTCCCCAGTCCCAGAGATCTGGGGGGCCCTTTGGTTCCCAGTCATCCCGTCATTCTTCCACCCCTACTCAGGGCAGGTGTGCCTCTCTTGTGCAGTGGACTTGAGTCAGGTAGCTGGACAGCTGGAACAACGTCCCCAGTCCCACAGCAGGGCGGAAGTGTGGGGACATGCATCCCATCCACCCGAAGCCCTGAGGGGCTGGAGGCAGAGGCTCACTGGGGGCTTTTAGCATCTTGGGGCCAGGCTTGTGCCTGGGTCTAGCAGGGCTTATGGACTGCTTTTCAGAATGGTGATTGTAAACTCATAAAATAAAGCACATAACAAGACAAAGGGAACCAGTGGCTTGGAGCGAGTTATCAAAATATTGGAGAAAACAAATTAGTAGTGACAGTTATGTATGTGCCTCTTTACTAATACGTAAAGTAGCGAGCTGCACTGGTGGGTGTAATTAGTACCACTACTTCAAGGCAGCGACGAATATAAACGATATTTTGTGATTTAACAACTCTGAGGTGATGTGAAAACATCTGTTATATTTATTGGTGACAGACTTACAGGTGCCACAAATATTTCCTCACTGAAGGAAATGCTGTATTTTGGTTAGAGGTTGGGAAAAATAAAGATGTAACATTTTCTCCATCTCTGTTCATGGGCCCCGCTTCTATCCATGAATCCCCCGCATGGTGGCAGTGGGATCTGTGTTAAGAGTCCTTGTTTCTGGCTAGGTGTGGTCGCTCATGCTTGTAATCCCAGCACTTTGGGAGGCCGAGGTGGGCAGATCACTTGAGGTCAGGAGTTCGAGACCAGCCTGGCCAACATGGTGAAACCCTGTCTCTACTAAAAATACAAAAATTAGCCGGGTGTGTTGGCACACACTGGTAATTCCAGCTACTCAGGAGGCTGAAGCAGGAGAATCATTTGAATCCGGGAGGTGGAGGTTGCAGTGAGCCAAGATCATGCCACTGGCTGCATTCCATCCTGGGTGACAGAGCAAGACTCTGTCTCAAAAAAAAAAAAAAAGAGTCCTTGCTTCAGTTGCTTAATCAAGGGGAGTCCCGAGAGATCCCAGGAGACACGGGTCACTCCGGAGATTCAGGGGAGTGGCTGTTAAACTGCTGAGAAAGTGTCAATATTTTAAACACATTTAGACTGGCCCTGCATCTGCTAATTGGGTGGCGGAGAGTGTGCTTGTGCCAGGGCCCCTTACCCACCACGGACAGCAGGGAGTGTGCCAGTCTCACCCATGCGCCCTGCACCCTTGTGCCCGCAGGAAGACAAGCAGCATGCTGGAGGTGGATGACGAGGGCGGCCGCATGTTCCTGCGCGTGCTCATCCACCTCACCATGCACGACTATGCGCCGCTGGTCTCGGGTGCCCTGCAGCTGCTCTTCAAGCACTTCAGCCAGCGCCAGGAGGCCATGCACACCTTCAAGCAGGTGACGGGACTACCTGGCCCTGGCCCTGAGCATGAGGCCTGCACCAGGCACGGGGGGACAGTAAACGATGATTGAGGAGCTCACAGCTCAAGGGGTAACTTGGGATGCCCATTTGGGGTTTTCAGCCTTGCTGAGTTCCTAGGTGAAGACTGAGTCTCCTGGCCTGGCTCAGTGCCTGCCATTTCTTATGATGTGGACAGCACTTTACAGCTTGCAAACTATTATATGCACCTATGCTAAATGCTTTGAATCATGCCTAGCATGCAGACAACCCTCACTGACGTGACTGGCATTTGCTATTGTGATGTCACGCAGTCCCGACAGCTCCCTGTGAAATATCAATACCAGTCGGCGTTGGCCTTTAAAAAAATAAGTGCCTGCCATGTACCAGGCACTGAGTACTGGACTTGCATTATCGCATGGCATTCTCACAGCAGCCCTGACAGTGAGGTTACTACTCTCCCTCCCATTCCAGAGCGGGGAGAAATCCAGGCCCAGGGAGCTTTCCTCCATTGCCCACAGACCCAGAGCGAGGATGGTGGCAGTCAGACGCAGGCCTGGGTCTTTCAGGGTTCAGGGCTGCCAATATGTTTTGCCCTGCCTGTTTGGGGTCTCAGTGGATAAGTGACAGACCACAGCCACATGTGACACTAGTCAGTGAGTAACTGAAGCCAGGTTATGTGGCAGCTCAGGGCAGGCAGTGCAGGGAGGCCTGTGGCCAGCAGGGAAGGCTTCCTGGAGGTGGTGGGCTTATGGCAGAGCCAGAAACATTGAGTGGGAATCGGCTCGGTGGAGAGGGACAGGTGGTGGTCTACAGGAGGGGAACCCTAGAGTAAGGAAGGTGCTGGAGGTCTCTAAGTGGCATGGACCTGGAGCCCATCTCACCAGCCAGGCCCATCCTCCACCTTCAGGTTCAGCTGCTGATCTCAGCGCAGGACGTGGAGAACTACAAGGTGATCAAGTCGGAGCTGGACCGGCTGCGGACCATGGTGGAGAAGTCAGAGCTGTGGGTGGACAAGAAGGGCAGTGGCAAGGGTGAGGAGGTGGAGGCAGGCGCCGCCAAGGACAAGAAAGAGGTAAGTGGGGCTCCAGGGGGCCAGGGCAGGCCTCCCTGTGAGGGCTGGGCCTGGCTGATCTCCTTCCTCTCTCTGCTTTCAGCGTCCCACGGACGAGGAGGGCTTTCTGCACCCACCAGGGGAGAAAAGCAGTGAGAACTACCAGATCGTCAAGGGCGTGAGTGGCCAAGGGTCCTCGGGGTAGGGATCTGCAGCCCCAGTGGTCCTGGGGGCTCCCGCTGGCCCGGCCCCCTGTGCCTCTCCCTGTGCTGGCCACTGGCCCTCACAAGAGACATCTTTCAGCCTTTGCTGCACATTAAAAACAGCCCTGCCAAGGTCCAGATGGAATTATTTTAAAGCCGAAGGAATTCCATGAAATTCCATTTCACAGTCATATTGTTCTATTTACTTTTATGGGTGGAATTGGTTTTTTTAGTGCTTCCCTAGCCTGTTGCAAGGGTCTGATTCAGCGCCTGTGACCTCCTTCCCCCTTCCTGTCCCGGGTGCCAGCTGGAACTTGGCTGTGGTGGGCTGGGCAGAGGGCAGCCTGAGAAGTAGGGAAGGGGCTCTGGCTCACCCGCCTCCCCTGCAGATCCTGGAAAGGCTGAACAAGATGTGCGGGGTTGGGGAGCAAATGAGGAAGAAGCAGCAACGGCTGCTGAAGAACATGGATGCCCACAAGGTCATGCTGGACCTGCTGCAGATCCCCTATGACAAGGTGGCTCTGACTTCTGACCTCTGACTCCCCAGGGTGGCTTCCCCCTGAACCCCGGCCTGACCTGTATGCTAGGCCCTAATGCAGGCAACCTCTCCCAGCCTCGCCTGGCCTCTTACACTGCCCTGTTTGTTTGCAGGCACACCTTGACCCCTGAACCCTGTCTTAGTATCGGTTCAACCTTTGACCCTCTACCCCTCATCCTAATTCCCTTTGACCTTGATTTGACCCCAGCCTTATGCTGATTCTTGACCTTGACTCCCTTTTCTTCCCCCTCTCCAGCCTAACCCTGATAATCTCAGCTTCATCTCAACCTTTGACCCTCAGCTTCCTTACCTTGACCCATGTTGACCCTAACTGAACCCAACCTCTCCTTGACCCATGACATCAATGCTGGCCTTGTCCTGACCCCTGGTTTTGATTCCTCATCCTGACATCTTATGCTGACCTGTCCCCAGGCCCACCCTGGCTCCTGACTCCAATCTTAGTCTCATCTCCCCTTTTGACCCTCAGCCCCTTGCCATGACTGATCTTGATCTCAGTATGTCCCAGGCCTCACCTTGACGCTGACCGTGACACTTCACCTTGCCCCAACTCCAGCCTCATCTTGGCCATTGAGCTCCCGCCCCTCACACATTTCCATCCTGACCTGGGGGCCCCACTTTCCCTTTACGCTGGCCTCTTCACGGTCCCAGTCCCAAGCCCGACCCACCCCTGCTCCTGTCAGAGCTCAGCCAGGGCCTCGCCTCCCTCCTTGGTGGGCCCAGCACCCTCTCCCTGACTCCTGTGTCCAGGGTGATGCCAAGATGATGGAGATCCTGCGCTACACGCACCAGTTCCTGCAGAAGTTCTGTGCAGGGAACCCCGGCAACCAGGCCCTGCTGCACAAACACCTGCACCTCTTCCTCACGCCAGGGGTGAGGGTGCAGGGCTGGGAGCACCTGGACGAGGCGGGGGATGGGGGGTGGGGGCGGGGCCCAGATCTCTTTCTGACAGATGCCCCCCACTGCAGCTCCTGGAGGCAGAGACCATGCAGCACATCTTCCTGAACAACTATCAGCTCTGCTCCGAGATCAGCGAGCCTGTGTTGCAGCACTTCGTGCACCTGCTGGCCACGCACGGGCGCCATGTGCAGTACCTGGACTTCCTGCACACCGTCATTAAGGCCGAGGGCAAGTACGTCAAGAAGTGCCAGGACATGATCATGACTGAGGTGAGGGCGGGGCTGAGGGGTGCTCAGGCATCTTGGGGTGGGGGACCGGAGCAGAGGCTTGGCGGGAAGGCCACAGAGTTAGAGAAGTCAGACGGTGGGTCACAAAAGGAACACTCAGCTGCTGACCATGGAGGGGACGCAGAGGGAGAAGTGAGGCTGCAGATGTGGTAGAACTCAGCCTGTGGGCCTGATAGAACTCAAGCAGGGTCCCAGTAGCATCAGGCACCTAGCAGAACTCAGACAACAGGCCAGAAAGAAATCAAGCATGCATTCCTTGTCACTTGTCGTCGTTTATTTAAAATCAGGAAGCACCTGCTACGTGCCACGGACTGTACATGCATGGGGGACATCAGCTGAGTGTCAGCTCCTGGGGGGCACGGGCAGGGACCCCATCCTTTGTGTGCATCGCCAGGGCCCCAGTGTGTGGCGCATAGTAGGTTCTCAACAGACACCTGTTGAGTGAAGGCACGAAGGATACAGGGCTGAGTCTAAATCTGGAACAGACGTGGTCCCTGCCCCTGAGCATCTGACAGTGTAGGCGGCAGGGGGAGAAAGAAGCAAACACTGAAGGGAGATTAGGACATCATAAACAAGACATGATGTGCTGGAACTGCTGTACAGTGTTAGTTTTATTAATTTCTATTATTATATTACTGC
This sequence comes from Homo sapiens, assembly GCF_000001405.40. Taxonomy (NCBI): domain Eukaryota; kingdom Metazoa; phylum Chordata; class Mammalia; order Primates; family Hominidae; genus Homo; species Homo sapiens. The sequence continues at coordinate 33,679,497 of NC_000006.12, forward strand.
GAATAATGCAGTCGCTGGCACGAGAGGTGTGTGCTCAGTGAGGAGGGTTTAAGTAACTGCTGCGGGAGCACAGGGGAGGGAGGGGGTGAGCAAGGCGGGATTAGCGAGGCTTCCTGGAGGAAGCTGCCTCTGAGATGACCCCTATGGGACTTCTTTCCAGTGGGGAGAAGCGGGGACTTTCTGGGTCATGGGGTCAATATCTCTGCTGGCAGAGGGCCTGAGACATCAGCTGGGGAACCCCCAAATCCCAGCCAGGGGAGGGTTTTCCTGATTTCAGGTAAGGGCTGTGGTCAGAGTCCCAGTTTCTCCCTGGTAAGCAACGGAGAGGAGAGCCCAGGGCTTGCTGGACCGAGAGAGTGTGACACGTGCCCCCTCCCACCCGCAGCTGACCAATGCAGGTGACGATGTGGTCGTGTTCTACAATGATAAGGCATCGCTGGCCCACCTGCTGGACATGATGAAGGCCGCCCGCGACGGCGTGGAGGACCACAGCCCCCTCATGTACCACATTTCCCTGGTGGACCTGCTGGCCGCCTGTGCCGAGGGCAAAAACGTCTACACTGAGATCAAGTGCACCTCCCTGCTGCCGCTGGAGGACGTGGTGTCTGTGGTGACGCATGAGGACTGCATCACTGAGGTGGGGATCGGGAGACTGGGCAAGACGGCTGGAGATGGGGCGAAGGGGTGGGTAAAGCCACGGGACAGGAAGAGTGGGTGAAGCAAAGCCAGGGAAGTGGGCAGGAACCGGAGGCCAGGGGACAGGAGCATTGTGGCAGGGAGAGCCTGGCCAGGCGGCCCTGCTTGCGCCCCTGACCTCCCGCCCACTGCCCAGGTGAAAATGGCCTATGTGAACTTCGTGAACCACTGCTACGTGGACACGGAGGTGGAGATGAAGGAGATCTACACCAGCAACCACATCTGGACGCTCTTTGAGAACTTCACCCTGGACATGGCCCGGGTCTGTCCCTGTGAGGGGTGTGGGTGAAGCCCCCCAGGAGGTGTGGGAGTGGAGGGGCCCCATGTGAGGAGCCCCCAGCCATCCCTCTCTCCTGCCTCAGGTCTGCAGCAAGCGTGAGAAGCGCGTGGCTGACCCCACCTTGGAGAAGTACGTGCTGAGCGTTGTGCTGGACACCATCAACGCCTTCTTCAGCTCCCCATTCTCTGAGAACAGCACTTCCCTGCAGGTGAGCTTCTCCTCTCCCACCACCCCAGGGCCGACTTGCCTAGCTTTTGTGAAGGGAAGGGGGGAAATAAGAATACATATTTATATTTGCTTATAGTACAGAAAGAAGTAACAAAAGGATACATAAGTGTATTGGTTATCTTTTTTTTTTTTTTTTTTGAGATGGAGTTTCACTCTGTCGCCCAGGCTGGAGTGCAGTGGCGCGATCTCTGCTTACTGCAAGCTCTGCCTCCTGGGTTCACGCCATTCTCCTGCCTCAGCCTCCCGAGTAGCTGGGACTACAGGTGCCCGCCACCACGCCCAGCTAATTTTTGCATTTTTAGTAGAGACAGGGTTTCACCGTGTTAGCCAGGATGGTCTCAATCTCCTGACCTCATGATCCGCCCACCTCGGCTTCCCAAAGTGCTGGGATTACAGGTGTGAACCACCGCGCCCGGCCTAAGTATATTAGTTATCTATACCGTGTTAACAAATTATCCCCAAACCTAGCAGTTAAAACAACAAGCATTCGCTATCTCAGTTTCTGTGGGCCAGAATGACGGTGGGAATGGTACCATCCAGCAGGAACTCCTAACTCCAGTGGGTGGGCGGATCCCGGAGTGGCAGCACTTATTCACCAAAGATAAGGCAGACGTGCCATCCATGGGATGGTACAGCCAAAGCAGGGATCACGACAGTCTCCCTGGCAGGATCCTTCGTGCTGGCTAGTTGATCATAGTGATCTTAGAACTGAAATAGGCAGGCAGCCTTCTGAAGGCCTAAGCAGAAGGGCTCCAGGCCAGTGTACAGAAGCCTGATTTGAATCTCGAAAGATTCATGGCTCCTTGGTCAATCCCCAGATTCCCAGACTCGAGCCAGTGCTCAGCCCAGAGCCCCCCTGAATGAAAGCGAGCCAGGTTCCCTTAAGGAAGGGCCCTGCTACATGACCGAAATCAAAGAAACACTGGAAGGATACAAAAGAAACCCACAAAAGGGGCTACCTAGGGGCATAGGAGCTGGGGTGGGGTGGGATCGTGCTTCTAAGTCTGGGGGGAAAAATGCTGAGTCCTGCCTTCTCAGGAAGGGTGGTGTATTTTGACACACATTGTTTGGGCCCTGGGATCGCATTGGGACGATGGAACTCTGGTAATTGATATCAGCTTTCCCCATCCTTGATCAGCTCCAGGGCAATGAGGGTGATGGGGGAGAGACTTCTCAAAGTGTTATGTTTTTTTTTTTTGAGACGGAGTCTCACTTGGTGCCCCAGGCTAGAGTGCAGTAGCACAACCTTGGCTCACTTGCAACCCCTGCCTCCCAGGTTCAAGCAATTCTCCAGCCTCAGCCTCCTGAGTAGCTGGGATTATAGGCACCCGCCACCACGCCCGGCTAATTTTTGTATTTTTAGTAGAGACAGGGTTTCACCATGTTGGCCAGGCTGGTCTCGAACTCCTGACCGCAAGTCATCCACCCACCTTGGCCTCCCAAAGTGCTGACATTACACGTGTGAGCCACTGCGCCCAGCCTCAAAGTGTTATCTTTTAAATAACCTTTTGGTTTTTCAACCATGTAAATCCATCACCTTTTTATGACATTAATTTTTTTAAACATTTTTTAAAAGGGTCAGCAACATGGCTATGAGCCCACGGCCTTGGTGAGTTACAGGGCTGCCGTGTACAGTTGGGCAGGTCGTGCACTGCTGAAGGGAATACAAGTACCTTTTTCCAACTGGCACAGAGGCACATGGTGGCTAGTGAAGGCTCCGTCTCTCCACCCATGCCCATTCTGATTGGGCCCTGGTTCCTGGACCTGGGGTTGCCCAGGGTGGGGGCCTGGGCTGCAGCAGCGGGCTCTGTGACTTCTTGCAGACACACCAGACGATTGTGGTGCAGCTGCTGCAGTCTACCACACGCCTCCTCGAGTGTCCGTGGCTACAGCAGCAGCACAAGGGCTCCGTGGAGGCCTGCATCCGGACCCTCGCCATGGTGGGTGAGTGTGCCGGGGCACTGGCCAGCCCCAAACCACTCCTCCTGCCGCTCACAGTGGGGACGCCTGCCCTCCTAATAAACACTTTATCCCTAAGCTCGCCCATCTCCTGCTCCCAGGTGGTTGTCAGTAAGTTCTTCTTGGCGTCTGCCTCATCCTGGCAATTGAGAGAAGCTGTTTTCTCCTCTGGGTCAGTTCCCCAGAGAAGGATGCTCGCCGACATTCTCCAGCTAGTTTTTTATGGGTATTTGCAGATGGGCTCAGGCAGGAGCAGGCCTGTGGATTGTTAGGGACAGTTGGGGAAGAAGAGAGGACAGGTGAGAGAGAGGAAGGGGAAGTCAGGGTAGAGCCGGGGGGAATCAAAGAGGCAGAAACTCCTTTTACCCAACAAGGGGAAGAAAGCCTCTCAGTCCCTCAAGCATAGGCCGGGGTGGGGGGGGTCTCTGTCTCCCAGACCCTTGGTCTAGTTCACTCTGTCTCCTGGTGTGGCAGCCCTGAGCCTGGCCTCTGGCTGGCTGAACTGCCCCCGCACCAGCACTCCAGCACTCCCTCCCTTCCCACCCAGCCAAGGGCCGGGCCATCTTGCTGCCCATGGACCTGGATGCCCACATCAGCTCGATGCTCAGCAGTGGAGCCAGCTGTGCAGCTGCCGCCCAGCGGAACGCCTCCAGCTACAAGGCAACCACGCGGGCCTTCCCCCGCGTCACCCCCACCGCCAACCAGTGGGACTACAAGAACATCATTGAGAAGCTGCAGGTGGGTGTGGGGCTGCCTGGCATCTGCCTCGGGAGCTGCTTGGTTGAGTCAGCAGCTCCCCTACTTTGGAGGGGCAAGTTCTCGGGGAGTGTTTCTTCCTGTCCTGCCCACACTTCCAGGAAGGGGCTGGTTGGCTTCTCTACACTCTGGGGCTGCTAAGGGCCGACCCAGCAGCAAGGGACTGGGGAACCTCCTTCCAGAGGAAGCCTGGAGAACCCAGAGGCCTGCTAGTGGGGTTGGAGCTCATGAGGGGGTCGGGACCACCCCTCACTCCTGCAGCGCCCTCCTGTCTATGCAGCACATTTCTGTGCGCTGTCTCGTTGGCCTGTAGAGGGGGTGTGGTGGATTATTTTCCCCACGTGGCAGGAGACTGAGGCTCAGAGAGGCTAAGGGGTTTGCCCAAGGTCACACAGAGCTGGGAGAGAAGCCAGGCTTGGCAGCTCCCAGCCAGGGCTCTGAGCAGACAGACATCACGCTGTGTTCAGGGTGTCTCTGTGGGTGTGGGCCCCTCAGACAGAGGCAGGGCAATCTGTGGGGCTGTTTGGCGTTTGGGTCGGAGGAATGGCAGTCACACCCGGGTCATTTCTTGGGCCTGGCAATGACTCTGCCCTGCCCACCCCAGGACATCATCACAGCCCTGGAGGAGCGGCTGAAGCCCCTGGTACAGGCTGAGCTGTCCGTGCTGGTGGATGTCCTGCACTGGCCTGAGCTGCTCTTCCTGGAGGGCAGTGAGGCCTACCAGCGCTGCGAGAGTGGGGGCTTCCTGTCCAAGTGAGCGAGACACTGGGGCATGGGGGCAGCAGGGGTGCAGCGGCAGGGGACAGAGAAGGGCCCGGTGGGGACTAGACAGGCTCACTGGGTCAGAGGGCCTGGGGGTGTTCCTGCCTGGGATGGGGTGGGGAAGTAGCTGGAGGGAGGCAGTGTGGGGCTGCCCTGAGCTGCCTCCTTGGCCGGCTCAGGCTGATCCAGCACACCAAGGACCTCATGGAGTCGGAGGAGAAGCTGTGCATCAAGGTGCTGCGGACCCTGCAGCAGATGCTGCTCAAGAAGACCAAGTACGGGGACCGGGTGAGTGCCCTGGTGGGGCAAGTGCTGGGTGGGCCAGTCAGGAGTACCCAGGGGCTCAGGGTCAAGCCCGTCAGGCCAGTGGTCAGTGGTGGGCTGTACCCACAATGGGGCCTCACTCCCATCCTCCCCCAGGGCAACCAGCTGCGCAAGATGCTGCTGCAAAACTACCTCCAGAACCGGAAGTCCACCTCGCGGGGGGACCTTCCCGACCCCATAGGCACTGGTCAGTATCACCTTCCCCTGCCCCCGGGCCCTCCCTTCCACTCTCCTGTCACACCAGCTCTCCCTCAACCGAGTCCCGCCTCCAGGCCTGGACCCAGACTGGTCGGCAATCGCAGCCACCCAGTGCCGGCTGGACAAGGAGGGGGCCACCAAGTTGGTATGCGACCTCATCACCAGCACCAAGAACGAGAAGATCTTCCAGGAGAGCATCGGCCTGGCCATCCACCTGCTGGATGGTGGCAACACAGAGATCCAGGTGTGGGGGGCCTGGGGCCTGGACATGCCCTCCTTTGCCTCCCTCCCTTTTTGGAGGAGGTGGGCCTTGAGTTGGGCACTGAAGGCCGAGGAGGGTGTGAAAGAGGAGAGGCCTGAGCAGTGGCTGAGAGGTGAGAAGAGTGGGCATGATGGGGGCAGGGTGGTGAGGAGACGGGCTCAGGCCTGGCTGGGGCAGAGGGGTATGCGGGGGTGATGAAAGGACCACGTGACACAGGAGCAGATATGGGGCATGGAGCCGCCCATGGGTGGCCATGGATGCTAGCCACCAGCACCCAGGCCTGCAGCCAGGCCCCTGCAGCCCCAGCGGCCCCAGCAGTGTGGTGTGCCTGCCCCACGCCCTGAGTAGGAGCAGGGCCCAGTGCTGAGGTTGTTCCCTGGCCACTGTCCACCTCCAGAAATCCTTCCACAACCTGATGATGAGTGACAAGAAGTCAGAGCGCTTCTTCAAGGTGCTGCACGACCGCATGAAGCGGGCCCAGCAGGAGACCAAGTCCACGGTGGCAGTCAACATGAATGACCTGGGCAGCCAGCCACATGAGGACCGCGAGCCAGTCGACCCCACCACCAAAGGTCAGGGGTCTGAGGCAGAGGCACGGCGTGACGGGGATCCCAGGATAAGATGTGCAGGGGGGTGGCCAAGGGGGTGGGCAGCTCCAGCCTCACCAGGTCTCGCCCACAGGCCGCGTGGCCTCCTTCTCGATACCTGGCTCCTCATCCCGCTACTCGCTGGGCCCCAGCCTGCGCCGGGGGCACGAGGTGAGCGAACGTGTGCAGAGCAGTGAGATGGGCACATCCGTGCTCATCATGCAGCCCATCCTGCGCTTTCTGCAGCTGCTGTGTGAGAACCACAACCGGGACCTGCAGGTGAGTGCCTCGCCACACACCTGCCCCTTCCCCCGCTGGCCAGCCGGCATGCAGACTAGGCAGTGTGGCTGGTGTCCCTCTATGGCAGGTGTGCCCTGCCCTGGGCACTGCTGCTTTGTGGCTGGTGGTTCCCCTACCCCTGCAGCACACAAGATCGTGCTTCCCAGGCCAGCCTCCCTCTCCGTGCTGTAGCTGTGCTGTGCCCAACCCTTCTGTGCCCCGCAGAACTTCCTGCGCTGTCAGAACAACAAAACCAACTACAACTTGGTATGCGAGACGCTGCAGTTCCTGGACATCATGTGCGGCAGCACCACGGGCGGCCTGGGGCTGCTGGGGCTCTACATCAATGAGGACAACGTGGGCCTCGTCATCCAGACCTTGGAGACCCTCACTGAGTACTGCCAGGGCCCCTGCCATGAGAACCAGGTGAGCTGTCCTGGTGGCATAAGTGGCAGCCAGGGTGGCAGTGTGGACATGTGGGTAGATGGAGCCAGCTGGGGCAGGGAGAGAGGCTGAGGTCTCTGGAGCTGCCACTATTCTGAGAGGGCCTGGGCCCTGTGTCCCCCACTGCCTCCTGCCAGACTTGCATTGTGACTCACGAGTCCAATGGCATAGACATCATCACCGCACTGATCCTCAATGACATCAGCCCCCTGTGCAAGTACCGCATGGATCTGGTGCTGCAGCTCAAGGTGGGGCCCAGTGGCAGGTGTGTGAGTGCTGGGTGTGCATGTGATGTGCATGCATGTATGTGTGACTTGTGTGTCAAGTGTACATAGTGGTGTGTAATGTGGGTGTTAGCATTGTGTGATGGGGCATCATCTGGATGCACAAGTGTGTGGTGTGTGCAGGGTGTGTGTGTAATATACGCATGTTTAAGCATGCTGGAACATACACTCACTCTGGATGCAAATATATTCTGGTTTAGCTGAGGACTTGCTATGTGTGTGTCTGCTGTCTGGGTAGCTGAGTGTTTGCCACAGCGGGGGTGAAGGCAAGCCTATGGGTGGGCTGGCTGTGCAGGATGCTTCTCATTAAGCCGGGGGGAGGGAGGATGGGAAGGTCATGGCACCTGACCTTTTGTTGGATGGGAGAGCTGTTATGGAGAGGAATGAGGGAGAAGTTGTCAGGGGCATGGTGTCCTGAGACTGTGGCCTGCCTCCCTCTGCCCCTCCACCCAGGACAATGCCTCCAAGCTGCTCCTGGCTCTGATGGAGAGCCGGCATGACAGTGAAAATGCTGAGCGAATCCTCATCAGCCTGCGGCCCCAGGAGCTGGTGAGGCTGGGCAGGTGGGCAGGCGGGCGGAACCAGGTGGAGTGTGTTGGGATGGGGATGAGGGCCCGGCTGGCCCTACCGCCCTAGGAAGAGAGCATTGGAACAGGCACTGCCCCTCCAGGTGGACGTCATCAAGAAGGCCTACCTGCAGGAGGAAGAGCGTGAGAACTCGGAGGTGAGCCCACGTGAAGTGGGCCATAACATCTATATCCTGGCGCTGCAGGTACCAGTTCCACCCGTGGCAACGGCCATCACCCCCCTGGCCACCATACCCCGCCCCAGCTGCCATCATCCCCCAGTCGCCATTGTCGCCCCCCAGCCACCATGTCCCCCAGCCACCACACCCTGGTGACTGTGCTGCCATTTCCCTCAGCTCTCCAGGCACAATAAACAGCTGCAGCACCTGCTGAAGCCGGTGAAGCGCATTCAAGAGGAGGAGGCCGAGGGTATCTCTTCCATGGTGGGTGCTGGCCCCGAGACTGGGGTGGGGGTGGGGCCTGGAACCCAGGGAGGACACTTGACCCAAGGGCGTGGCCTGGAACAGAGTGAGGCCCTAGAATATGAGCCAGGCTAGAATTTGGGGGTACAGCTCAGGGGGCTGATTGGGACTGGCAGCCGTGGGTGAAACCCAGACAGAAATGGAAGCAAGGCTCAGGTGGGTCTAGGGTGGGTCTGGAAGCTTCAAGCAGGACCCGGGCTACACTTGGGCAGGACTGAGGAGGCCCCCGCTATCCTCTGGGATTCTCTGGTCATGGCTCTCCCACTCCCCTCCCTTTGGCACCAGGTTCTCAAGGCTCAGTCCTAGTTGGGCTGGGCTTGGCCTGCTCTGGCTTGGCGGGGACACTCGCTGAAGTGTAGTTCAGAGCTAGGCGAAGGCCTGGGAGGGTGGGGGCTGAGTGCCAGCCTGGATGTGGAGGCTGGGGCCTGACCTCCGCGCCCTCCCCACCTCCAGCTCAGCCTCAACAACAAGCAGCTGTCACAGATGCTCAAGTCCTCAGCGCCAGCACAGGAGGAGGAGGAAGACCCCCTGGCCTACTATGAGAACCACACGTCCCAGATCGAGGTGGGCCTGTGGGCAGCAGGGGCGGGCGTGGGAGCCTGCGCCGGGCGTGACCATGTGCTGTGTGTGCTCAGATTGTGCGGCAGGACCGCAGCATGGAGCAGATCGTGTTCCCAGTGCCCGGCATCTGCCAGTTCCTGACGGAGGAAACCAAGCACCGGCTCTTCACCACTACTGAGCAGGACGAGCAGGGCAGCAAAGTGAGCGACTTCTTCGACCAGTCCTCCTTCCTGCACAACGAGATGGAGTGGCAGCGCAAGCTCCGCAGTGAGGACCCACGGGCGGGAGGGTGGGGCGGTCTGGAGCTGTTCACTGATGCCCTGTTATAACGGCCTCCTTTGCCTGCCTGTGGGTGCCCTGCGCCCAACCCCGCCTCACCCCAAGGAAGGGCTCTTCCATGTGTGGCTTCCTCCTGAGCGGGGCCCCACATGCAAGGGGCAGGGGGTGCTCACCAGGGCCCTCCAGCAGCTCACCGTTGCCCTCCTCTTCAGGCATGCCGCTGATCTACTGGTTCTCCCGCCGCATGACCCTGTGGGGCAGCATCTCCTTCAACCTGGCCGTGTTTATCAACATCATCATTGCCTTCTTCTACCCTTACATGGAGGGCGCGTCCACAGGTGAGAACACAGGGCTGGCCGGCAGGTTCCCCGGGCCCTGCCATGCTTCCTCCCTGGGTTGGGGCAGAGCCTTGAGGCCAGCTGGCCTCTGAGGGCACCAGATGCAGAGTGTGCAGAAGCACCCCCTGCGCCATCCTGTGGGCTCTCGCCCCATCATGGAGACACAGGTGCGGTCAAAGGGGATGGTCAGGGTCTTTGACCTCATGGGAGATGGCGCATGCAGGCACGTGCACACGCATAGATGTGTCAGCCAGAAACAAAACCTGGTAGCCGCAGCCGGACAGGGCCTCCCGCTTAGGCCTGAGAGGCAGGTGTAATGGAGGAGGCTAAAACCAGGCACCAGGAACTTAACCGGGAAGGCGGCCAGGAGAAGGTGGCTTTTCGGCACCTGTTGGACCTGCTCTGGGGCCGTGGTGGGCTTGAGGGAGCCCTGCTCACCCTGCCCCTGGCCCCCAGGCGTGCTGGACTCCCCTCTCATCTCATTGCTCTTCTGGATCCTCATCTGCTTCTCCATCGCGGCCCTGTTCACCAAGCGCTACAGCATCCGCCCCCTCATCGTGGCGCTCATCCTGCGCTCCATCTACTATCTGGGCATCGGGCCCACACTCAACATCCTGGGTGCCCTCAATGTGAGTGCCAGAGGGAGCCCCCATTCCCAAACAAGCTCATGCTCACTGTGCATTCAGACGGCAAGCTGGCCTGCTGCTTCCAGGAGCCACTGCTCTGTCCCATCCCCTCCTCTCTGTTGGGCTCCCAAGTTCCTTATAGACCGGTGGCAGGGACTGTTCTGTACCTTCTTCCTTTCCCTCAACACCTGAGGGCAGCTGGCACTCAGAGACAGAAATTCAAGAGTCCCTTTGGAGCAACAGGGTCAGGGTGGCTGTGCACACTGTGCGGGCTGTGCACTGCCCAGAGGCACTGCTACGCGGCAGACGTGAAGATTCATACATAATGACAATCTCCTGACAGATGGAAATAAAGTGCTTTGAGCGAGGAATACCTTTCCCTGATAGAGCCAGTCAGTGGTCTTCTCTGTCCCCATCCTCCGTTGCCTGTACCTCACTGTCTTCCTGGAACTGAGGACCCAAGGGGCTGCCTCTGTATTCTGAGTCCCAGGCGCCTAGATGCGTTTCTGGAAGCAATTTCATTAATGCCATGCCTCCCAGGCTCTGAGCTGGGCACTGGGGGACATGCGTGCAGATTCAGCATAGGTGGTAGGGTGCTGACTCTCATGCCTTGCACTCGCCCCCAGCTGACCAACAAGATCGTGTTTGTGGTGAGCTTCGTGGGCAACCGTGGCACCTTCATCCGGGGCTATAAGGCCATGGTCATGGACATGGAATTCCTCTACCACGTGGGCTACATCCTGACCAGTGTCCTGGGCCTCTTTGCTCATGAGCTGTTCTACAGCATCCTGGTGAGGCCTTCTGGGTGGGCTGGGGCTGGATGGGGGCATGGGGTGGTTGGGGCTTCCCATGAGTTGTTGGCAGTTCCCCGGCACCAGTCTGTCTGTCCAGTCCTTTTGCTGCTGGGCTGGGAGCAGTGAAATTACAGAGTCTTCATCTGCCTGACCCAAGCCTGGCCCTCAAGGCCCTGATGGCCACTCCTGGTGGCCATCTGACCCCTTTCTCCTGTACAGTGGTGGTTCAAGCCTGGACTCTGGAGCTGGACCAGGGCTTTGCATCTCAGCTGGGCTACTACTAGCTGTGTAACTGGGCAAGTTTCTTAACTGCCCCATGCCTCAGTTTCCTCACCTGTAAAATGGGGATAACAACAGCCCCTGCATTCTAAAATAATTGTGAGATGAAATGAGCTAATGCATGGAAAGCACTTACACTGTTTCCTGGCATGCAGCAAGTACATTTTAAGAGTTGGCTGGTATTCAGCCACCCGTTTCACCCCTCGTGCCTTCCCCTGGGCCACTCCCTTTCTGTGACCTTAGAATTCCAGGTTTCTCGAGAAGCTCCCCTGACAGGCCCACCCAGCTTGGATACGACTAAGTGCAGACCTCCCTGGAGGAGCCTTGGGAAACTGTCTGGAGCCCAGGCAGCCCTCAGGGTTCCAGTGGCAGCCCCAGTGAGAGTGGCCGGCCCAGCCCCTCAAGGTGCCATCCCTATCTCAACCCCATCCTGCAGCTCTTTGACCTCATCTACCGCGAGGAGACGCTGTTCAACGTCATCAAGAGTGTGACCCGCAATGGCCGCTCCATCCTGCTGACAGCCCTGCTGGCCCTCATCCTGGTCTACCTCTTCTCCATCGTCGGCTTCCTCTTCCTCAAGGATGACTTCATTCTCGAGGTCGACCGGCTGCCCAACAACCACTCCACAGGTCTTGGAGGCTTCCTCTCCTGGGCAGGTTGTGGGGAATGAGGTTGGGTCTCACAAATGTCTGGCGTCAGGACCAGGACCTGCAGCGCTTACCTCACCAGGCTCCCGTCTGCTTCTCCTCTTGGCTTCTGGGGACGTCTAGCTAACACCAGTCTGCCTCGCTCTTTTCTGGAACACACTGAGTGGGTGGGAGAGCCTTGGGTCTCTGGCCCCTAAGGAACCCCTTGCTTGAGGGCTGGAGTCCCTTGAACTGTCATTCATGTTAAACCCAGTATTTGCAGAAACTGCCCGTGTGCCAGGCCTAGGGGTACAGAGACCCCTCCCTGCCCTTAGTGTGCAACCCAGTCGGGGGCAGAAGCGTGATGACCCTTCACTGTGGCTGGACAGTGGAGGGCTGGCGATCCAGGACCAGGGAAGGTTTCCTGGAGGATGTGACACTGGGGACAGAGCCAGGGGATAAGGCCAGGCACTGGACCTCCTGATGATCTCATCCATATCCCCTCCAGCCAGCCCCCTGGGGATGCCACATGGAGCTGCTGCATTTGTGGACACCTGCAGTGGGGACAAGATGGACTGTGTCTCAGGGCTCTCGGTGCCTGAGGTCCTGGAAGGTGAGGGTGGTGTGTGTGCAGGAGTCTGTGTGGGGTAGGAGGAGCAGGCAGCCCGGGCCTCAGCACACTCTCCGCTTGCAGAGGACAGGGAGCTGGACAGCACAGAGCGGGCCTGTGACACTCTGTTGATGTGCATCGTCACTGTCATGAACCATGGGCTACGCAACGGTGGTGGCGTGGGCGACATTCTCCGCAAGCCCTCCAAAGATGTGAGCACTCCTGCCCACTCCCAAACCTGTGGGGCCCAAGCCACTGTCCAGATCAGCAACTGTGGAGAGTCCTGTCCTTGGCCTCGCGTCAGATATTCAGGGTTGAACCCCCTCCCCCGAACTTGTATCCACTTTTCCCTGCTTTCCACACCTGGCCAATTCCATGATATTACTGCTTAGCTGCCCCCTCACCCTCCCATTCCATAAGGAAAGACTTTGGCAACCAAACTTTGCCCCAGGGCTAGGGATGGTGACCACTGGCTTTCCTAGCCCACAGCAGGTGGGCAGAGGGCGGAGCTGAGTCAGCTTTATCAGGAGGCCTCATGATTTGGCTTGGGCAGCCACATTCCCGAATGTCAGGCCTTCCCCTGTTGCTTGGGAGTGAGAGGCCGCCTCCCTGGCCAGACAGAGGGTTTCTGGAATGTGTGAGGCCAGGCGTCCTGAGGGTGGGCAGAGGTGTTCAGAGCTGCCTCTTTCCCTCATCAATGTTAGGGGCAGAGACACACCGAGACTCGTAGCCCTACCTCCCCGCCAGACTCCTTCTGCAGGCCTCCACCCCGGCGTGTCCTGAGTCCACGCTTTCCTAACCCAAACTCAGGGCTTCTGCTTGCAATTCTTGCTCTGTGGAGCCAGGTTGGGTCCACTCTGCCATCTGATGGCCCCCAGGCCAGAGGCCCTCATTTCCTTCTGCTAGGGGCTGGGTCCTCAATATCACAGCCCTGGCCCCAACCTGAGTCCTATCTTGCCCCAGTGAATGTGGGGACCACCGGGCCCAGCCTCCCTGCCTCATCCCCTGCAGGAGTCTCTCTTCCCAGCCCGAGTGGTCTATGACCTCCTGTTCTTCTTCATCGTCATCATCATTGTGCTGAACCTCATCTTTGGGGTAATCATCGACACCTTCGCTGACCTGCGTAGTGAGAAGCAGAAGAAGGAGGAGATTCTTAAGACGACATGCTTCATCTGTGGTGAGGGCTGCTTCCTGCTCTGTGGAGGCCGCAGCGGGGCTGGAACGTCATCTGATGCCAGTGGCAGTAGCGGTTTGGCCCTTCCTGCCCTGGGGAACCCTGGCCCGGAGCTGATGACTTGATGCATTTGCTCATCCCAGAACTGGGGAGAACATGACCCTGCCTGAACTTGGAGTCAGAAAGGAGTGGGACAGGCCCATCCCTGTAAACCCTTGGGGTTTCTAGGTGAGGACATGAGCCCAGTCAGTGTCTGGAGCTTCTGGTCTCAGTCCAGTGCTTTTCCTACCCCTGAAATGAAGTGCTAGTCCCCTCACCAGCCACCTCGGGCTCAGGCAGGTGTCACCTGTATGGCCTGTAGGACCTCGCTCATTCAGCCATTCGGGCTTCCCCTGAGTTCGAGAAATTCTCGCGTTTACTCCTGGAGTCCTCGGTTGCTGCTGCGGGAGGGCTGCAGCTGCGGCAGGGCAGGATCTCCACTAAGTGGCTGCTGCTTTAAATAGAAGTGACCCAAATAGCCCAGAGCGAGCTGTTGGAAGCGCTCATCCCGAGAACAAATGCCTCCAACCCCCGGAAGCTGGGTCCCCTCCAGCAGGTGACCCTGCAGTGGCTCTTGAAGGCTGATGGTTTCATTCCCGCCCTCTGCACCCTCAGGTCTGGAGAGGGACAAGTTTGATAACAAGACAGTGTCATTTGAGGAACACATCAAGCTGGAGCACAACATGTGGAACTACTTGTACTTCATTGTGCTGGTCCGCGTGAAGAACAAGACCGACTACACGGGCCCTGAGAGCTACGTGGCCCAGATGATCAAGGTGTGAGCAGGGGCTGTGCCAGGCCTGTGGGCCCAAACCAGCCATTCTAGAGTCATCACTGTGCACCAGAGGCCTCATGGTTTTAGCTTCTGAGTACCCTGGGCCCTGGAGAGGAGTGGCCCTATCTGACTGTTGGCCCTAGGAGGCCAGGCAGAGGGGCTCGGACAGCTGCAGACACTTGTTGAAAGGTCAGCAGGGCGAGGAGCAGCAGCTGGAAGCAGCTCTGGGCTGCACGGAAGCCGCTGCTGCAGAGGGGCCTCCTCACACTTCTGGGTGTCAGGAAAAATCCCACAGCAAACCCATGCGCCCCGAAGAACACGTGTGGTATCCCTGGGCCTGTCGTGCAGTGATGCTGAGGAGGGGTGGAGTTGGGGAGACCCTGCCCGTGGCCAGTGATCTGTGGGCCGCTCTCAGGGAGTGTTTTCTAGCTCGGTGGGAAGGCAGGCTGCTTCCTAAAAAGTCTGAATTAGATGATCCTGGGCTGAAGGGGAGCCTGGAAAAACTTTAAAAATCACTTACAGAAATCAAATGTCATCTGTCCAATTTCTGTAATAATGGAGTGAAGGCAATGAATCATAAAGAAGGAATTATTTATCGTTTAGTCTGTATTTCAAACTGATCTTTGTGTACAGGTTTATCTGTTGGTCTGAGAATTCACAGCTTACTACAAGGAAGCTGAGAATTGCTTGGTGCCCCCTCCCCCCCCGACTCCTCTGTCCTGGGAAACGTGGCTTTGCCTCCCAGACACGTGTCAGATGCCAGCTCTCCTCAGCGGAGCCTCCTGATCCCTCAATTTGCCATCTGTCTGACTCGCGTCTTCCCGGGGCGTGGGGCGTGCTTGTCAGGCAGGCGGGCGGGAGGAAGGAAGGAAGGAGATCCAGGGTCTGTCTGGGTGCAGAGGCCTTCCTCCACCTCTCAGGGGGTGTTATGAGAGTAAACAGATGGTGCTGATACCAGCAAAGGACTCAAACTCAGCTGCCGACGCTGCCTAACGGAAGTCAGCCTGTCTCGGTGGCAGAGGGTTGACAAGAGGGTTGACTGCCAGCTCACTCTGGCCCCGGGGAGGACCAGGTCAATTCAGATTTTCCCATGACACATCCCTGACGAGTAGTTTTGTTAAGGGTGTGGCAGAAGCCTCCCCCCACATTACTGTTTTTCTAAATGAGGCCTTTCTAGGCCGGGCCCACGCCTGCTTAACCCACTGGTGATGTTTTTCAGAACAAGAACCTGGACTGGTTCCCCCGGATGCGGGCCATGTCCCTTGTCAGCAATGAGGGCGAGGGGGAGCAGAATGAGATTCGGATTCTCCAGGACAAGCTCAACTCCACCATGAAGCTGGTGTCCCACCTCACTGCCCAGCTCAACGAGCTCAAGGAGCAGGTGTGCACCCCGCCTGATCCCAGGCCCACCCTGGGTTCTATCCCTGGGCAGTCCCTGCCTGCCTTCATCCTTCCTGACCCACCCTCTTCCCCACTGGCCTCTGGCCCTGGGCCTGGATGAGAAGGCAGGTGCCAAACCCACTCTCCCCTGCATGGCAAGTCAGACTGGGGTTGACAACCCCTGCCTTGGGCCGCTAAAGACAAGGCCAAGTGGAAACTTTAGTACAGGGTGGTGGGGCCCTCTGTCTCTCATCCCCTTCCTCTGACAGCTGCCAGGTAGGTCCTTTGAGGGGATCCCCATCACTGGAGATGGGGGAGTTTAAGGCCCTCTTGCCTAGACATCCTCTTCTGCATCTGGCAGTGCCTGCATGAAGATGAGGCAGCCTCTGTTAGTGGGCTGGTTTCCCAGCTGCATCAAATCCAGGGTTTGTGACACGCTAATTGAGAACAAGGGTTTGGTGCTGACATCGACATCCTTAAAGCACCCCGAGGGGCCCTGGCCCGCCGCCAGTGCCGAATAGCAGCTGGGCCCACAGGGGAAGACGGGTGCCAAGCTCTTCCACAGCACCCATGGAGGGAAGGTGCCAGGCGGCCTGACCAGGCCTGTTGGCATCTGCTTAACCCTAGATGACGGAGCAGCGGAAACGCAGGCAACGCCTAGGCTTTGTGGATGTCCAGAACTGCATTAGCCGCTGAGGAGAGCCACCGAAGGCCCCAACAGGGGATGCTCATCACTGGAGACTGCGACTGGGAAGAACACTGCCCCCTCCCTCGGGTTGGGTGGCCCAGCCAGCTGGCCAGCCTCCACTCCCACTCTGCCAGACACCCTGACACCCACCCAGGCTTTGAAGAGCATGGAGGGGGAGCCTCAGAGCTGACAGTCCTGCTTAGAGCCCTTAAAAAGACTTGAAAGTTCACTGGGACTCAGTTTACCTTAATGCCTTAGCAGAAGATAAATCCTACCTAGAGACCTTTGTTCCTTAAAGCAATAACTGACAACTCTTTGTAGTCCTCCTTGTGGGTAGTTAAGAGTGGGGTCACCCCTTTAACTCCAAGCACTACATTTTGGCGGCTGCCGGCCTCTGGGGGAGGTGGCAGTTATGCTGTTACTAGTGATTTTAGGGCTTTGTTATTTAACTTATTTCAAGGGTGCTGTGCTCAGCCCTGCCCATGGCTGTGCAGCTCCCTCCGTGCCTCAGATCTGCTGTAGCCAGTGCAGACCTCACTGTCGTGTCCATGCCACCCCCGGCATGGCTCCAGGTGGCCTGGTGACTCCATG